>NC_000004.12:46242682-46552106 GCF_000001405.40 Homo sapiens | reverse complement strand
ATCCAAAATTTTGTGACTATTTTTTGCATTTTAGGTATATAACACATATTTATCACATACCACATATGCCACAATATTAGTCTGTGGAGCTATAAATGAAAAAAAGGCTTTGACATTCTTTAAGGGATTTAGGTTTTTCTTAAAATTATTAAGAAGGCATCTACTTTCTATAGGAAGTCTCCTTTCAAATTTTATACAATAGTGAGGTAATTTTTCCTTGAATGATTGGTGCTATTTGGTTTGTTTGAGGTGACAAAAAGTTTTACAAAAAGTTATTACATGAGACAAATATTAGTCTACTTTTAGGAAACATAAAAATATGTTGAGGATGTTGACAGCTTAATACTGTCCTTAGAAAAGCCTTAAAAAGAAAAGAGGGCAATAATATTGGAGAATAAGGCTCATCATATTTACCTTTAAAGATCTCTTTCATGTGTTTATTTTAATGACAGGAAACTCATTTTAACAATGACATATAAGCATCGCACATTGATAATTTCCTAGTATGATTTTTCTCAACATTTTAATAAACATTAAATAAGATTATGGTCTCCTTTTAATGACACAATTCTGAACTTTGATTGCTAATCTCTCCTAACATTAGACCCTTCTAAATGGCTTTCTTTGGTACAATATTTCTCTCACTAAACTCCTACCCTTTTACTAAACATCATTGTATTTTCCAATTTTTTTTGTTGTTGGATTTCCTAATGTGAGTCTCCAGATTGATAATTTTTTCCTTGCACACTTCTAAAATGGAACTGTGTGGGCATTTCCATTCCAAATTCAACTTCTATAACGGACCACCTAACTTAAATGCATGTTCACTGGTGACTAACTACATGGACCTTTGTCTCCCCATTCCTCCCCCTCCCTCCCAACACATGGCTTACCAGATTTACTCATTATGTCCTGCATTGTTAGATCTAAAATATATTTACACACAAAATAATGTAGGCATTTGGAAAAGAAAATTAAAGGATTTGAAGATTTAGTCTTACACCTGTTACTGTAAAAATTGCATTAAAAATGTAGATAGTATAATTTAAGCATTTATATTAAATGTATATTTTTCATCATTTTTGGAACACTTTTTCTGTCTAAGATCTATCTCTTTTATTTTGGTTTCAAGAACAGACCTGATAATTTTCCACAGAAATGTGTATGAGATCCACACATTATGTGCTTCTGATCCCTGTCAGAACCATCTGTGCACTTGGGACATTCAAGCAGTTTTAATCAGAATATAATGTGGACAGTGATATATTTATATATCATATCATATCTCTATCTCTCATATCATCCGTTTATATTTCTACCTATATATATCTATATATGGTAGAAATTTTCTGAGAGCAAAGCACTAAGGACCATTTAAGCCTTGAATTGCTAGAAGAAAACTCTATACCCCTATATGGACAGAGTCATACAGAGAATGAAACCAACAAAGAAGAGAACTGGAAGATGGAGGGAAAGTTTCAAAGCCTTGCTGAAAGCTTTCAGATCTCTAGATTCTGCCTTACTTGAAAACTATTTCTGAACTTATCTGTTATATAAGCCAAATAATTTTTTTTATTATTTACACAGGTTTCTATTACATTTATGTCACTGGCAATTAATATTTTAATAACCAATATTTCTCTTATTGATAACAATAATGATAATAACAATAGCAACAAAGTAACAGAGATTTAAGGAATCATTTTCCTTCCCTTGCCATAAAAGGAAGAAAAATGATTTACCATTAAATGAGAAAATAACATTTACCATTTTTTATTTTTATTGTTTTTAAATTGTTTCTTCTTAAGCTGACTTTGTAGGGACATTGTCAATGAGTCTCCACAACCAATTAAACAATATGCTGTGTAAAATATTGTACATTATGCTCAATTCTTCCACAGCAGCGGTATCTTTAGCAATGAACATATAATTATTTATTGTTAAGTTTCAAGAAGAGAGTGTTCAAAACTATTATATTTTTTAGAGGTCTCAACTCAGACTGAAATTCTACTTTTATTAAAAAATGCAGCAGAGCTTAATTGTAGATAATTTTTAGAACATTTATGTAAAATCCTCTGGTTTTATCTTTGTTTTATCAAAGGTAAAATGGGTGATAATATTTACATGACAGATTTAGAACAAATTAAATGAAACAACCCATGTGGAAGTAATTGTGTGCCTGACACATTGTAGGCACTTGGTTATAATATTTCCATTTGTTATGGAGCTTTGAGATCAGATCCAATCTGAAGCAGAGGTGTAGAACACAGGAATAGTGCCCGTGTGTGTGTGTGCGCATGTGTGTGTGTTTTACTTGTAATTAATATGTGAGTCACAGTTTGTAATATGATGTTTTAGTTTTTCCTCTATTTGATCTGTATTGCCAACTACAAACGCAGGGCACTTCTACATCAAAAGGTGAAGAACACAGCCTTCTTAACGGCGGCCAAGGTATTCTTTCTGTAGGATAGCATACAGGCTTCAAACTGATTGATCCATTAAGTGTTTGCACATAGTTCAAGAGAAACAAAACAGGAAAAGAAAGCTCTTGTTTTACTCAAAATTATGCCATGTAAAGTGCATAAAGACTTCACAAACTTTAAAGACACTTAAATACTAGCTGGTAAGCTTCCGCACTTCCTAATCTCTATTGCTATGATGGATCCCATCTGTTAACACATCACTAATTTATTTAGTGCTCTGACTTCTAAGGAAATGGAATAACAGTAAAGGTAAATTAGACCATAAAAAGTTTTAAAACACTTTCGACCATTAAGACAAGAAGGAAAAACTCAACGTAGCCTGTAAACAATACCTCAGGGTTTATGAAAAGTCAACAATAGGTAATTTATGATCAGAAATAAAAGAAATTCCACTTTCCTTTGTACCCTTTGAGAAAATGCCTATGGGATGAGGTAGCATCTAACAAAACCTAGATAAAGCAGACAGGTCTAAGCTTACTTTGTGTGAGCTTGTATGGTCCTTGAGGTCAATTAAGAAAAGTAAACCTAATCACAGGGTTTTTCTCATGGGAGCTAGGTGAATGGACATACATCTTTACCAGAAGAAATTTGATTTTCTTGAGAACATTAACAATATCCCTTCCCTGAAACCTTACCCGCAAAAGCTTGGCTAGATATGTAGAAATGCAAAATAGTCTTGCTTATTTCTACAGACAGAACAATGATTTAGTGTATTTACCAAAATGTATGTGTCATATTACTATAAATCACTGTTTCATATTCCTCTGAACTTGCAGGATATAAAATAATACTAATGTCAAAAATAACACTTAAATAGTCCTTTATCATCTGCAAAGAGCTTTCATATGTGTTCTCACTTATCTATAAATAATCACATCTCATCAAAAAGTTCCACATATTTCTTCACGTTCATTTATGTTATGTAATATAATTAATTATTGATGTCTCCCTTTTGTATCAATTCCATTCAAACAATATTGATTATGAGCTTACTCAATGTGAGGCACCACGCATTGGGAAGGTGTGTTGATGATACTGATAACTGTGATCCTGTATTGATGACTGTGATGATCATAAAGACAGTAATGCTGATTGCTATCATTTATTAAACAGTGTCCATGTGCTGTGTTTTCATATATTCTAGAGTCTAGCTCTAGATCCTCTAGTTTGTTTCACTGTCTTATTTTTCTGTTTCAATGTCAATAATGTGTTGATTTAGAGACACCATAATATGTTGTGATATCTGATAAGGAAGTTTCTGTTCACTATTTTATTTTCCAAAATTTCTTGATGATTTCTAGGCATGCAGTCTTCCATATAAGCTATAAGGGTTTGTTGTTGTTGTTTCTACCAGTTTATCTCAAACTTCTTTTTTTCCTTCCCCAGAAATCAAGCTCTATTGGGATTCTACTAGAATTATATTAGCATTTACTCATGAATTTTGAACTACTAGCATATTAATGATAAGGCTTTCTGTTCAAGAATATGATATGATTTTAATTGGCTTATTGTGTTCTATGTCATTCAATAAGATTTTATACATATAGATCCCATACACTTACTGTTAAATTCATTCATGTGCATTTTATAATTTTTGTAGCTAATATGAATGAAAAACTATTTTGCTTCCTTCTTTTGCTGAAAGTTCATTACTAACTTAGAAATTGGTTCCTTACTTAGAAACTTCAATTCCTGATTTTTATTAAATGTTCAAGCAATTTGTCATCTTTTTTTATTATTATTATACTTTAAGTTTTAGGGTGCATGTGCACAACGTGCAGGTTTGTTACATATGTATAATGTGCCATGTTGGTGTGCTGTACCCATTAACTCGTTATTTAGCATTCGGTATATCTTATTCTATCAGTTTATCTTTTGACAAGAGTATTTTGGTTTTGTATATATAGAATATCATCCACAAGAGTCTTATTTATTTTATATTTTAAAAATATTATTTTATTTCTTAATTGCAGTTTCTATAAGCTCTGAGGCAATATTGGATAATAATGGTGATGATGGGCACCCCTGGATCATTTTTGAATTTAAATAAAAAGGTTTTGGTGTCTCTATCTGTGGTAATAATTGTTGTTTTAGTAAAGTCTTTGTTATATTTAAATAATTTTATTCTTCTTCAATTTGATTATAATTTTAATTAGAAGTTCCAAAAAATTATATATGTGTTCAACATGTATTCATATATTTGGTTCATATCTATTGGTATAGTTAGTTCAATAGATGTTGGTTCAACATCTATTGGTATACATGTTCAACATCTATTGGTATATAGCAGCAAAAATTGACATATGAGATCTAATTAAACTAAAGAGCTTCTGTAGAGAAAAACAAACAAAACAAAACAAAAACAGAGACAAAACAAAACAAAAAGCTATCACAGAGTAAACAAATACTTACATAATGGGAGAAAATTTTTGCAAACTATGCATCCAACAAAAGTCTAATATCCAGAATCTATGAGGAAGTTAAACAAATTTACAAGAAACAAAACCAAACAACCTCATTAGAAAGTGGGTAAAGGACATGAACAGACAGTTTTCAAAAGAAGGCATACATGAGGCCAACAATTTTATGAAAAAAAAGGTCAACACCACTGTTCATCAGAGAAGTGCAAATCAAAACTACAATGAAATACAATCTCACACCAGTCAGAATGGCTATCACTGAAAAGTCAAAAAATAACAGATGCTGGTGAGGTTGCAGAGAAAAAGAACACTTATACACTGTTGGTGAGAGTGTAAATTAGTTCAACCATTGTGGAAGACAGTGTGGGAATTACTCAAAGACCTAAGGACATAATACCATTAGACCCAGCAATCCCATTACTGGGTATATACCCAAAGGAATAGAAATTGTTCCATTATAAAAACACGTGCATGTGTATGTTCATTGCAGCACTATTCACAATAGCAAAGACATGGAATCAACCTACAAGCCCATCAATGACAGATTGGATAAAGAAAATGTGGTACATATATACCATGTAATACTGTACAGTCATATAAAAAAGAACAAGATCACGTCCTTTTCAGGGAATGAATGGAGCTGGAGGCCATTATCCTTAGCAAACTAACACAGGAACAGAATACCAAGTGTATTAGTCTGTTCTCACACTGCTATTAAAGAGATACCTGAGACTGGGTAATTTATAAAGGAAAGAGATTTAATTGACTCACAGTTCAACATGGCTGTGGAGGCCTCAGAAAACTTATAATCATGGCAGAAGGGGAAGCAAAAACATCCTTTTTCGCATAGCAGCAGGAAGAAGTGCCAAGCATAAGAAGGAAAAGTGCCTTATAAAATAATCAGATCTTGTGAGAACTCACTCACTATCATGAGAACCGAAGCATGGGGGTAACTGTCCCCATAATTCAATTACCTTACATCAGGTCCCTCCATGACACATGGGAATTATAGGAACTACAATTCAAGATAAGATTTGAGTGGGGATACAGCCAAAGCATATCATCCAGTATTAGACGTACTCACTCATACATGGGAGCTAAATGATGAGAACACATGGACTCATGGTCGGGAACAACATGTGCTGGGGCCTGTCAGAGGGTGAGGGCTGGGAGAGGATCAGATAAAATAACTAATGAATACTAGGCTTAATACCTGGTGATTAAATAATTTGTACAACAAACCCCATGACACAAATTTACCTATGTAACAAAACTACACATGTACTCCTGAGCTTAAAATAAAAGTTAAACAAAAAAGAAAATGTAGAGAGATTTGACAAATAGTAGCTAATACTTACACAGCACTTTGGATAGGCACTGTTCTAAACACTTTACGTATAGAATTTGATTTAATCCATACAGCATCTTTGTAAACATGTTTGATGTCCACATTCTGTAAGTGAGAGATGGAAAGCAGAGGGAGATTAATTTTTCTCAGTGCTACACAATTATTAAGTGAAGGAGGTAGGATTTGAATACAGTCTTGTGGCTCTTATTCCTCTCTGTGACAGTAGAAGAGGCCAGGAATGTTTGAGGAGATCTTTCCTCATGGAACTAGGAGAAAAGGGTCACCCTGGTTTTTGCTCCAATAAATGCATGGGGTTTGATAAAATGGGGGCCTATCATCCCTCAAGGAAAGTGATTAGCAGTGTGCTGTATTTGGACAGTCTCTCATTTTCAAGATGTCACTCTGACGTACTAACCACTGCTCTTTTGAGCATTTTCTTGGGATCAGGTGTGGACAATATAGAGCTTACCTCCAAAGTTCTGAAATGGATTAAAATCATGTATTAATTAAACCCAATCTAAGGCCATTCAGTAACTAAGGCCCAAGTTCACTGCATAATCTATTTCTATTCAAGATTTTGTCCAGCCTATGACATAATATATTAGAGATTCTGTAGTGAGATTAAATGACATTAAGATGCCAATGTCAAGATGCTAATTTTTGTATGCAAACTTGATCCTATTATTAACTTCTCAGAGAGAAACTGAAGTCTAAATATATTAGCCACTTTCACAGTCCAAAAAATCAAGTTCTGTTACTCTTTTAATCAAAACTCAAAGAAATAAAAGTACAATATTGAATATCTTCAGCTTCTTCAGTTCGGTCCCAGCCAGAATTATTCTTCATGCTGGAGTAGAACTGATTTCTACCAGCAGCTACATTGTTTTTCTCTAGTGTAAGTAGAAAAGGTTTAATGGTCTGAAGAGTATTTGTAGGGCCTCTCTTTGTAGAGTTCAAAGAGTTAATAAGAAACAAAAATTATTATATCTTTTCAGTTATGGTAAGAAGTGAATCCTTATTTATAAAGCAGTTATTCCAGGAAAAAAATGTTTGCAAAACTAAGTGTTTAATGATGCCAAAGACCAGAGATGAAATTCCTTTTGACTGGAGAAGATAATTTTTTTGGTTATAGTCTTGCCAGGATGCCACTCGGGACTGTTCCAGGTGTTCTAAATCCATGACTTGTGAATTTAAACTCAATTGGGAAAACTCTCCTAGCAAGAAGTTAATTTTGGTGCCCTGCAATCACATTTCTGAAGGGGTAATCCATTTATGCACTGGCCTCTTGTTTTCAAAAGTGACATGCAATCTACTTACAAAGTTTAGAAGTTTTCAAGGGTGGCAGCTCAGTTGCCAGGTGCATACTCTTGTAAGTACATATTTTCAGTCTTACGCCAGTATGGTTATTTCCAGTGCCTCTTGCCAAGAAACCTGCTCCTAACAAAATTTCCTCCTCAATCTGGAAATGTCCAATCCAGTGCCACCCTAAAACCATGAAATGGCAAATTGTTTTTTGAGTTTATGGACATTCCTCATGATATGCCTTCCTACTGTTATTTTCTTGGCCCTACTTGCAGAATGGAATTTGGAGCATCTGGTCTAGAGATGTCTGTCAATAACAACTTAAATCTAAAACATCTCTAGTACTCAGAGACATATGTGGGACTTCACTACCCAGCAATTTAAAAGCAGCAAAGACTGTTTTGTCTGCTATGATCTAAGAGGCCTATTCCTTGCAATGGAACATTTGCCTCAGCCATAACTCCTTAGAAAAAGCTGCACCTGAAAAAGGGTCTGCAGCATCCCGAATCTGGATCCCTATTCTTGCTAAGGCCCTGGAGCTTTGACTCTTTGTGATAGTCTGCCTCTGCTGAGAGCTGAGTGGCCTCGTTGATCCTAGCTGAGGATCCCATCTTCTGTTCCCCATTTCAAATCATCTCTCATTGGTATCTCCCCTTGAAGTCTTTCCTTAGGTCCAGGGGCCTTTGTTTATATCTCAATAGTCTTTTCTTTTGGACAAAAACACCACAAGTTGCAATCATCTACCACAGTCAAAATACCATGGGATGGGGTTGAAATATTTCAATTTGTTCAATGCCAGGGTCTTAAAACCCATCTGCACCTAAAATTAACCTCTGCAGATTACCAACATGAGAACACCAAGGACCAAACCACTCTTCTTTAAGCTACTGATTGCTTCTCCAAGTGTATGTTTTGCTACCCCAAATTCTACTCTTTGGTTTTATTTTTTAATATTTCTGGCCTATGTATTTAGGGTTTAGGGTCAATAAAGCCACCTAAAATTATTCTTTCAACCCCTCACCCCTGGTAAAAACTGAACAAGTTAAGAGGAAAAAATCAAAATGGAAGCCAAAATAATGTCAGAGACCAGGTTGGCAATTGTACCTCTAGGTTGGTTAGCCAAGTGCACTACTTGGCAATTCAGAATCTGAGAAACAGACTTATCCTCTCCCATTCATGGGTAGCATAGAGAAAAGAAGAAAATGTATTCTCTTTGAAAATAGACTTATTAACCAAAGAAAAAAGTGAAAATAAGCCAAGCATTTATAGTTATTCTTCCCCAAGTTACCCATCAGTTTTTACTTCACTCCCACTGGGGTAGAAGAAATGAAGGAGTGAGGAAAGTCTAGAAGTATGCTTTCCAAATTTCTGATCTTGGGTGCCTGGAGTGAGAAATGGCATTTTCCTTTAATAAGTAAGGGTTAAATTAATAACTATTACTACTACTACTAGGTAATATTATTAATGCTTAAACTTTCAACTTAAGGGCATAACTGTGCTACATGGAAAATAAAATGTTACACACAGGAATACTTTTATTTATTTATGCAAAGGTATATTTGCAGAAATACATTCTTTTGCTCCAGTTTCTGTATATTTCTAGCACAGACAAATCCTTTGATCAATGCATGCGACATATTGGGAACAATATCTAAATGATGTATGCATGACACTCTCACAGTTCCTCAAGTGTGGAGATAATGTATGCCCCTTTTTACTTCTGAATCTCATTTATTTACCAGCAAAAACTAAACTAGTATTTTTTTTAAACTCTTGTTTATTATATCCATTACGAGACTAAAAAATTGAAAAACATTTTAAGGATGGTAGAAATTTGCCAATATTGGTAGAATACCTACTTTGTGCCAGGGACATTACATATCATAGCCCATGTTACTCTCATGTTGACATTATTGATTAGTATTATTTTCTCTATTTTGTGGAAAATGCATTTGAGGCCAGAAAGGTCAAATAACATGTCCAATGTCATATAACACATGAAAGGAAACGATTTGAATCCACGGATGTCTGGTTCTCATGCTGTTTTCACAGTAGCCCACCATCTTTGTCTGTTTGCAACTTAACAACTCAGTCCTGTGCCTTATTGGAATTATTAGATTTGTTGCCACAGTTATGATGTTACATTGTAAATATAAAATTATATTTACTTATATCTCAAGAAATACCTTGCTAAGTTTCCTTTTTTTCCTATAATTGTGTGCTCTGAGGCCACTGGCAGATTTTGAGTTTAAAGGCAGCATTATGCATTTAATTATTTTATTATATGTTTTGTTCATTTGATTGACTAGGGATTAAGATAAATTTCCTGGGCTATGGGCAACATGCTGGGGCTTCTTCAAATGATTAAAGTTATTTCAAATTCCAGTATCTCTTATTCAAGAGTTATTTTAGGAGTCACTTATCCTGAGTTTTCAAAATCATGTCAACTTTAAATTTAAAAAATACAGAACTAATATATTGGTCTTATATCCATCTTGTTGAAACCTCACTTTATCCTATGAGATAAGTAATATTGTTCTCTTTGGCAGAGGTGAAACTAAAGCTAAAAGATGGTAAATGGCATTTCCAGGGTCATACACCTAAGAAATGACATTTTAAGGCTTGAACTGAGTTTATTATGACTTCTAGCTTAGTGTTTGTCTCACGACATAGGCTTCCTCCATGCCGCAGGCACAATAGATACCTATGGACTAACAGTCTGACAATATCAACTTCTGCTTCAGGAGAGAACACACTAGCTGGTATTGGACTTAGCCTGTTGATGTAAATAACCATACAACTGCACATAATATATAAAGCTTCTGTTTTCAGACACTGGGTAACAGGTGACACCAGAATGAAACCCTTGAGAGAAGGAAAACACATGGCATGAGTTCCATGTTATCCTTGGTTTTGTCCTGGGACGCTTTCCAGAACATGGCACAGGGATGTGAAGCACCATGAAGATCGGCAGTCTCTCTGGGCAGTAGAGATAGAGCTTCCAGTTTGAAGATGTTAAAACAATTGGAATTTGCAGGGCAGAGTGCAGAAGAGGAAGAAGACCCAGAAATGAATAAGCGGAAATCTGCATGGAGGTTATCCTTGGGTTCTAGCTGAGGTCTGTGTTGTGTACACTCAAAGGGTAGAATCCATGAAGCACAGCAGAAAGCAACTGTTAGAGCATCTGAAAGCCAAACAGAGGTTTAAAAAGACTTGATAGACTTGATTAATGCCTACTTCTGACTAAGATGAAATGTGTCCTCATGTAACGTGTTTCTCAGAGTTCTCTGGAAAGACAGACTATTTAAGTGGTGGTTCAACATTCTCACAAAGGTTCATTAATACATCTGGAATTATTTTTCTTCTAGATTTATCAGACTGGCAATGCATTACTTCAACTTATTTTCATAAATTTCATATTACTTCATTAACATAACCAAAGGAACCTAGGAAGGTAATAGGTTCTTCTTGAAGACCAAAAAAAAAAGTAGCATCTATTTTCTGGAGCTCTTCTGTCAAAGACCTTCCCATGGTGATGTGACTACAGATTTTAGTGTACATAATAATTACTAAAAATATTTAGTTAGTAGAATATTAAAGAATCATTTGCATAATTGGTAGTAGATAAACTTTTCTTTTGGCTCCTTTCTCATTTTCAGGTTTGCTTGAAGAAAGAGAAGAAATTATTAAATATATTAAAATCCAACTCAAAATGCATTTATATTTTAAAACCCCATACTTTGAGCTATATTTTTCATAGGTGAATATAACACTTATTTCTTGAAGTATTTATCATGGGAAACTAGGGTCTTGAGTTCAATTCTCACTCAACATTCATGAAAAAACCTGTGAAGTCAAGTCACAGCACTTCATTTCTTTGGGCCCTGGTTTGCTAATTTATGACATGGAGTTAGGAGTAGTCATTTGATGCACTCATATGTCTCTTCCATGATTCATATATGGAGTACTGCTGCTGTACTTGCTATCTCAAATTCACACTCTAGAATCATGGAGATTGTCATCCATCTATGATTGTTGCCTTTTTTAATTTATGCCATGTACAAGGCAGAATTGCAACTATGGCTTAACCTGAATACTGGAGAAAAAGATAATGGCCATCCATTTTCTCAAGAGTCCTTGAAAACAAGATGAAAGAATGATGGGGATCTTTCAATTATTCATGTGAAAAAAAGGACTTACAGATGTAGAAAAATTGCATTCCCTAAACTACTGTCCAATAGAGCTGAAGACAAGAAGATTGTGCCCTTTAGAGAGAGAGGAAGGTGCTCTTGAAAGGGACTTAGATCTGATGGTATTGAATATGCTTCTGTTGCTCATCATCTTTGATGCTTGGCCTCTAAAGATTTTTTGTTTGTCTTATGTAAGGAAATAATAATGCCATTTTTTTGGGATGTGATCAGCAGTTTTTTTCCCCTCAAACTTATTTGTGGGAAGGCCCTAAGAAAGCCTGAGAGTTTTAAAATTTCTAGAGCCCAGAAGAAAGGAATCAGAGGTATAATTATCATATTGCCATCTTTTATTTCCGTCTTCTGATTCTACTATTTATTATCTCTATGATGTCTTTTCTCTTTTCTCAATCAAAGAGTAATGAATGAGCAATGAGTAAGTCTGAGACTACAGAATAGAAAGTGAAAAAAACAAGTGAAGAAAATGTTGATGGGGACAAGCAAAGCTAAAATGCCTAGAAAAAAGGAAAATCTGTATGCAGAAAAATTATAAATCAGATAGGTCAATGCAAAGTATTAAAATAGTCCCATGAAAAATATGGCATGATTACCCCTAGTTGCCACATTGACATCCATAAAAATAACTAGAAATGATAATGATGTGAGCACATTATTTTATATTTATACTTGTAGTGTCAGTGATGTCAACAAACACCCCTCTATTTAACCTTCGTGTTGTTGCTGAACACCAAAAGGATGAGAAGGGTCATCATTTTCTGCTTGGTGTTGGCTGGTCTCACTCAGGCTTATTCAGCATATCTTTATCCTCTCAGGAGACAGGTTATATACCTGGCCTGAATTAGAAAAGTTAGCAAGTGAAATGAGATTTCCCCTAAGCCCCTAACAGTGTTCTTTGGAATATATTTTAAAGCTTATCCTTTAATATAGTAATATTCCTTTCTCTACAGCTTTATTACATTTACTTTTCAATTGAATGAAATCCCCACAGTCAGCACAGAGGCACATAATGAAATAGTATCTGATTACCTCATGAAGAAACCTATTGGTGCTCACACACACATGCACACACACACACACACACACACACAAACACACACAAGCAAACATGCATTCTCTCTCTCTCCTCACCACCCTCCCCACCACCATCTTCTCTCATATACATACAAATACTCTCTATATATTGCCAAGGATTCACCTGGGAAACAGAGGAAAGAAGAATCGGATCCAAGCCTAGAATTCTGGCAGAATTAGACCTGAGTTGCATATACCCTATTATTCTTAATGAAGTTCAGCTTACAAAACATTTATGCATCCACCATTATTCATAGATTTCCTTCAACTGAAACAACCCTCTTCACTTTCTCAATCCTATCCATCTTCAGAGACTAAGATTATTTTGTAACCCCTGCAAGTTCTAGACCATTCCAGACATAAAGATATATATCCTTTCTAAATTTATAACACTTCTAATCGAAATTGATCATTTGCAAATATACCAGGCACTTCTGAAATGCTGTTCTAGTTCATTTAATTTTATAAATTGGGACTTATTTGGTTCTTTCTGTGTATATTAGTATTTGAATACGACCCACTGCTATAAACCAACCATCATGTCATGAGTAATAGCTCCAGAAAAGCGGTTTCTAATGCTTCATGTGGTTATGAACTTTTATATTTTTCACTAAGGCAACAAACAGAAAAAAAGAAGATATTAATAATGCAGGAAAAGGGACTGAGGCAAAGAATAAAGGTATGCTCTAGAAAAAATTCAAACATCATGTAAAGGTAGAACTCAGGAAAGCAGAGCTCTGAGTTGAGAATGTATGAAGGCAACAGAATTAATAATGAGTTCCAGAGAGAGAAATTGAGCCTTAGTGAGAACCTAGCAGGGAAACAGGGATGCAAGTGCACAATAGCTCTGAAAGCAGGGCTGGGACTAAAAAGTGTCTCTGCCTACCAGAGATGGCAGGTGATGGGATATGTAAAACATAGATATGTAAAACATTGAGAGTTAGCAAAATGTTCAGTTTACAACAGGTAATCTCTTGAGTTGATGTTTGGGACTTTTTTCCCCTACTAATCTTTCTTCCACACAATGTTAAGACCATTTGCAAAAAGGATTTTTTTTTTTTTTTTTTTTTTTACTCAAATGGCATATTTCCCAGATATACATAGTGCAAACTCTGGCTTACACAGTGGGATTTTCCTCAGATAGCTAATTTGAGTTTTTAGCATGGAAGTATATGTATTTGAAAGTTATGGTTCCATAGAGTTATGCCTTGTCTACAACTTGATGGTGAAATCCTTGAAGTCAGCAACTGTTTTCAGTCACCTTTGTATTCTCACAAAGTCTATTACAATATTTTCCGTAGAGTAGATATTCAACTACTGATTAATTTGTCCTTCTTAATCATGCTTGTTTACTATATAATGTTATGAATATTCAAATACTCTTCTAAATGATGTAACCTTGTCCAGTTAATAAAAAAATCATTAAAAACACATTCACATCATTAATGTATCTTGGGTTCTATGAAAAGTCAGGTGGGCAGAACTGACAATACATTAAAAACTCCTTTTTCACCATTATTTCACAGTTTTGAGCTATGTATGGAGCTGCCTTTGAAAACATTTGTACTTCTCATTTAGATGAGCTATGTGACATGCAGAGAAAGATGAAAAACAATCTCTGTGTGAAGTCGCATATGAGGGGTTAGTTCTAAATTTACCAGCCACTAATTTTCCTTTGAGCGATCATATTTGTTCTTTGATTACACATAACCTTACTGATTTCAAAGCAAAAGAGCAGGAGGAGATGAAAATACTTGAATCACACAACAGCCTCAGGTGGTGCCTTTGGAACTGAAGAGCTGACATTCCATTTCCAAGTCTCAAAATATAAGAGACATAACTAGACTGAGCAAATGTAATGCAACAGCAAAAGCCCTTGGCAGAGCAGAGCCAAATATCAAGCAGAGGACACTATTCGCTATTGGTGTGTATAGTAACCCATGCAACCCAGACAAGGAGCATTAAGCGATGAACTAGTAGCTCCTTGACTTACTCTTTCCTTGGGAAAGTTTGGTAGTGTTGCACAGGAAGTACCATGGTGGCAATGCCTCCAAGCCATGAAAAGCTCTTTCTCAAACAAGAGGAAACTATTCTTTCAAAAGGGGGATTATAAATCTTGCCTCTTATTGACTTAATAAAGAATTATATTCCCACAGAGTGGCTGGTGATAGACACAGAGCACTCTAACAAAAGACAGAAAGTTGCAGAGGACACTAGAGAAAACAAAGTCTCCCTTTGGAATTAACAAATAAAGATTAAATACTTAATGTCTGATATGGAGAAAGTACATAAGCTTAATATATTAAATTATTTTATCCTATAAGTATATTATTCCTTTTTGGCTCTTACACTAATTTACATTTATTGAGTGATTACTGTATGCCAAGTACAGAGTTGAATATTTCACAATCTTATTGCTTTTACGCCTCATAATAAGGATGATCATAAAAAATATGTACAGTTAACAATCTCATTTTTTTAAAAGGTGATTTGGGTCTTGGAGAATTTAGGTAAGTCACTCAATATAACATAACTAGTGATTTCAAGACTGGGACTTGGAGCCAATCCTAACTGCAAATCGTATACTTGCAATTATTAATCTGAAAGATTCCTGAAGGAAGAAGAAGACATTTTAGCATAGACAGCCGATGTCTGTAGCCAAACTATGCACTAAGAAGAAAATTCAGAGAGGACAACATTTGTTTCTTGATACTGTTGGATTAGAGACCATTGTTAGGAATCAGAAATTATTTTTTACCCCCTTTTCACTAATTATATGTACATACAGTGTGTCTCAATTAGACACACCCAATTCTAAGGAGTCTCAATTTAGTTTTAGTTATTCTCAAAAAATTAATTATAGATTCGTGAGTTAAAAGAGACCTACCAGATGTCGAATAGGAATACTTAGGCTAGGGGATAAAGATTTGAGTACCCAGAGAAGATAAAATTAATTAACAGTTAACAACAATCTGTGCAGAATGCTACATTCTTAACAAGGCTTTTTTATTTTCTTTCCCCTGGGAGTACTCTGAGCTATACCTAGAAATGTGAGCAGTCAGCCAATAGCATTGTAAACAATGGCTTCTGTGTTTTCTAGTTCACAGAAATTTAATTAATAAGTAATTCCACATCTTTGCCCCTTTGTGTAAACAAATTGCCTTCACTTTGCTAAACTGAAGCCTGGTGCACCCAGAGTGTAAAAGTGTCTTGACATTGGTAAATTGTATTAAAGTTTTCCAGTCTTTTTCCCAATCCTTTGCTGAAAACATTGCATTCATGCATTAACTCATGTATTCATTCATTTAGTCATTTCACAAGAATATATAGAATGCCTACTCTATGCCAGGCGTATTTTACATGCTAACAAAGAAATGACGCGCACGCAGGTAAATTTCTTGTGTTATGTGCAAATACATAAACAAAAATATGCAACATAATGTCAGTAATAAGCTGAGTAAGAAGAGAGAGGGTACCTGGTAGGTGAGGGTGGAATTTAAAATAGGGTGTTCAGATAAGGCTTTGCTGGGGAGGTGCCACTTGAGCAACACCACGATTAAAACAATGGTGCAGGGGAACACATTTGTGAGGTAAGAACATTTCAGACTAAGTAAAAAGGGGAGGCACCCTGGAGTGGAGGCCTGCTAAGTATGTTTAAGCAAGGTTCATGGAGGAATCTAGAGGTCTGGAACAAAGTGAGAAACAAGGAATGAAGTCAGAATAACAACTAGGGGCCAGATCATATGAAGTCTTCCATGCTGTGGCTTTTGTTCCTAGTGACAAGTCACTGGGAGTTTTCAGTAGGCTATGGCAAGATCTGAATTGTGTTTTAAAATTTACATTTTTATTATGTACAACAGATTGTACTTCCTATAGATAAGGTCACACAACTCTGAAGTTAGAAAAAACAAACAAAAAAAACCTTATAGAAATATCACTTGCCCTTTAGAAGAGTGTTAGTGTAATTCTTGAGTAGAATTATATTATTGTCATTTGCTTCATTGTCAACTTGTTTTCTTTCAATTTTTATTGAATGCAACATCTATAAAGAAAAATGCATAAGTTAGAAATACACAGCTTAATGAATTATCACAAGGTGAAAAATCTGCATAGTGATGATCTAAGTCAGGAAACAGAGTTGTGACCTGTCTTGTGTTATACACCTTCCCTCCTGCCATATGGACCATTAACTTGCTTCTGAAATTTTAGATTAGATGTGTCTAAATTTCCCTTTTTAATAGGTACTTCAGTCATATTGAATTAGGGGTCCACTCTACTCCAATGTGATTTCATCTTAACCTACTTAATTATATCTGCAACAATCCTATTTTCAAGTTTGCATTTTGAGGTACTAAAGTTAGGACTTCAACGTATGAACTTTTGAAGGACACAATTCAACCCATAACATACCAGATAAAAAGTTGGATTACTTTTCTGAAGCACTTCCGTTAGCATTTATTACATATACAACCTACTGGTGATGAAATATCTCACCTATAATGAATCCAAAAATACCTTTGTTTCACTCTCATTGTTGAAGTATGTAGAATCTTTCTTGATGCCTTCCTTCTTTTGTGGTTCAGCAATTTAAAAATGACCTTCCATTATGTTTTGGTCTTCATCGTTATGATGAGAAATCAGCCTTTTTTTCTAGTCATGGTTTTCCTGAATATAACATGCCTTTATTTTTTTCTTCTGGATACTTTTTAGATTTTTGATTTGTTATTGCTTTCCAGTAGAATAGCCACAATGTTCCCAGGTGTTGTTCCCCTTATATGCATTCATTTTAGCATTTGTTGTACTACTTGGATTTGTGCATTGATGTTTTTCACCACATGCATATGCTTTTCTCTCTTTGCACTTTTGACTTTCTGCCATAGGATTTGTCAGCACAAAGACCCTCACCAGATGTGGGTCCCTTTCTTTCTGGGGAATTTCAGAAGCAATAAGGAAACTAAAACAGAACCAAATGTAAGACATGGAAATAAAAAATATGAATAAATAAAAATGTGAAAATATAAATAAAAAGTTATTTCATATTAACTTTGACAGTACATTATTAATAAGAGAGGAAAATATCAGTGAAATTAAGTCAATTTGAAAATAAATAATTCACACTGAAGCATAAGGAGAAAACTGATTTCAAAAAATGAACAGTCTCAGCGAGCTATAAGCAGTATCAAGCAGTTTAACATCTGATTTTTTTACAAGTTCAATAACTTTTGATTGTATGCTGGACATTGTTAATGATACATTTTAAGGAGTCTATGTTATATTGTGTTATTTTAAAGATTTTTGAGTTTTGTATGACAATCAATTAAATTCTTTTGATCCTGTTTGGCTTGATTTTAGGTTTTATTAGGGTAAACATAATTCTAAATTGTAGCTTTAATTCTAGGATATGGCTCTTTCACCTAAATCATGACGTTTTTGAGGTTCAACTGCATGTGCAAGGTGGTCAGTGCAGACTTTCACTCTGGGTTGAATAGAACTCCAGTGTTTCCAGGCATTGTGAACTCCGATGTTTTCAGACACTATATGACCTTTGTAAACCTCTGTTTGGCTTTCAGATGCTCTAACAGTTGCTTTCTGCTATACCTCATGGTTTCTACCCTTTGCGTATACACAACCCACACCTCAGCTAGAACCCAAGGATAACTTACTCTTTGTGGATTTCTGCTTATGCCTTTCTGGGGCTGCTTCCTATTCTGCACTCTGCCCTGCAAATTCCAGTTGCTTTAACATCTCCAAACTGGAAGCCCTACCTCTACTGCCCAGAAAAACTGCCAGTCTTCATGGTGCTTCTTTTCCCTGTGCCAGGTTCTGGAAAGTGTCCCAGGACAAAACCAAGGATAACATGGAACTCACACCATGTGTTTTCCTTCCCTCAAGGGTCTGATTCTGCTGTTGCCTGTTACCCAGTGTCTGAAAACACAAGCCTTATACATTATGTGCAGTTGTATAGCTATTTACATCAACAGACTAAGTCCAATACCAGCTAATGTGTTCTTTCCCAAAGCATAAGTTGATATTGTCAGACTGTTAATTTTGGCAATTCTGGTTTATGTGTAGTGGTTTCCATTATTGTTTCAGTAGTGTTTCTCTTATTGATGTTATAATGCTTATTTCCCATTTTGATAATCAAGTCACTCTTTATTATTTTTATTGAGGTGTCTGAAATTTTCTTCTTGATTTATGGAAGTTCTCTATCATTTATTCTGTGGCAAATATTTTCTCCAACAATATAGCAGCCCTTTCATTCTTTCCATTCTCTCATTTTTTGTTGCTAACTTCTTACTTAGAATTCATGACATCTATTCTCTTTCTTACTTTTCAGGTTCTTGTCTTGTTTTAGATTAACATTATGATGGATTCATTAAATAAGTTGATAGTTATTTTCTTTTCTTCTATTCTCTGGGAGAATTTATGTATATAAATCAATGTTTATTACTTCTAAAACATTTGATAGAATTTTCTGGTAAAACTATCTGGGCCTGAAGTTTTCTTTGCAGAAGAGTTTTAAATTATATATTTGACTTTTATTTTGTAGTACTTAGGGGACTATTCAGATTTTTCTTTTTTTGCATATTATGGTAATTTTATACACGAATATGTTAATTTCACCTACATTTTCCAATTCATTTTTCTTAATATCATCTTTTGACCTTTTAAGTGTCTACAGAATCTATAGTGTTGCATCATTTTTATTCTTAATATTATTTGTGTTAAGTCTCTATTTGTCTTGATAAATCTCACTAGATATTTAGCAGCATATTTATCTTTTCAAAGAACCTCAGTTTTGGCATTGTAGACACATCTCCATTGTATTTTTATTTTCCATTTTATTAATTTATCTTCCTATCGTTATTACTATCTTTTTTCTACATTCTTTTCAGTTTGTTTGTTTGTCTGTTTGTTTGTTTTTGAGACAGAGTTTCACTCTGTCGCCCACGCTAGAGTGCAGTGGCGCGATCTCGGCTCACTGCAAGCTCCGCCCCCGGGGTTGACGCCATTCTCCTGCCTCAGCCTCCCAAGTAGCTGGGACTACAGGCACCCGGCTAATTTTTTGTATTTTTAGTAGAGACAGGGTTTCACCGTGTTAGCCAGGATGGTCTCGATCTCCTGACCTCGTGATCCACCCGCCTTGGCCTCCTAAAGTGCTGGGATTACAGGCGTGAGCCACCGCACCCGGCCCATTCTTTTAAGTTTTAATGTCCAATGCTGTATTTTCTTTTCCCTCTTATTCTAGAGATAAAGTACTTTTTGGTCCTGAATCCGAACTTAAGATGTTTACCACAGCCTCTGATTCTTAGTGGGTGCTGGACTACAGTTTTTGACTTTGCTGTACATGAATCTGTCAAATGCTTTGTTTGGCTTCTCAGCTTCTCAGTAATCTGTGTAATTGGCATTTGCCTTTAGGAATAATATGGCCTCAACTTCACAATTTCCTTCCATAGTCTTCCCTTCTCTCCCAGACCTTGACCTTGTAATTCCTCTCTGCCTTGAGAGTTCTTTGGTATCACAAAACAGATTTGTTTTTTGTTCCAGATTTTTCTAGTTTTTCTCAGCAAGAATATGGAAATAAACAAATGGATGTACTGTTATGAAAAAAATTTTGATAAAGTTTTGACCAGTTTTTAAGAAAGCTAATATTCTAAATGTCTTGAATATACTGTAACTGTTATTACCAATTAAAATTTTATGGATTATTTTCAAGTGGAACCTCCTTTACTCACAATAACTTAGCTTTTCATAATACTTAAAAACTTGATAATTAATTGCAAAGACTTATTTTCACTAATATAATTCTGAAAAACTTTCAAAATATTACATTTAGGATTTCTAAATGCTGATTTTAAAATTGTTTCTTTGAAAAGAAACTTAGACTCTTACCATAATTTCTGCAAAAATATTTTAATAATTCAGAAATAAATGCTCACTTTGGCAACACATATACTATAATTGGATAATACAGGGAAGATTAGCATGGCCCCTCTCCAAGGATGACAAGCAAATTCATGAGGCATTTCATGTTTTTTAAGTCCTCAAAGCAATGGCAGCGAAAACAAAAAGTGAGACAAGTGAGACCTAATTAAACTTAACTTCTGCACAGCAAAAGAAATTATCAACAGAGTAAACAGACAACTTACAGATGGGAGAAAATATTTTAAAAACTATGTATTCAACAACGATCTAATAGCCAGAATCTATAAGAAACTTAAACAAATTAACAAACAAAAAACAAATAACCTCATTAAAAATAGGCAAAAAACATGGACAGACCCACAACAAACATATGAAAAAATGCTAAACTTCACTAACCATCAGAAAAATGCAAATCAAAACCAAAATGAGACACCATCTCACACCAGTCAAAAGGGTTATTACTAAAAAGCCAAGAAACAACAGTTGCTGGTGAGGTTGCTAAGAAAAGGGAATGCTTATATACTGTTGGTAGGAATGTAAATTATTTCAGCTACCCTGGAAAGCAGTTTGGAAATTTCTCAAAGAATTTCAAGCAGAACTACTGATACAGTTAAACTTTGTGTCCCCACCCAAATCTCATCTTGAATTGTAATCCCCATAATCCCCAAATGTCAAGGGCAGGACCTTGTGGGAAGTGATTGAATCATGGGGGTGGTTTCTCCCATGCTGTTCTCATGATAGTTGGTGAGTTCTCACAAAATCTGATGGTTTATTATTATTTTTTGAGATGGAGTTTCACTCAGTTGCCAGTTAGAGTGCAGTGGCATGATCTCGGCTCACTGCAGCTTCTGCCTTCCAGGTTCAAACAATTCTCCTGCCTCAGCCTCCTAAGTAGCTGGGATTACAGGCATGTGCCACCACGCCCTGCTAATTTTTGTATTTTTAGTAGAGATAGGGTTTCACCATGTTGACCAGACTGGTCTTGAACCCCTTTCCTCAAGTGATCCACCTGCCTCAGCCTCCCAAAGCACTGGCATGACAGGCATGAGCCACTGTGCCCAGCCAATCTGATAGTTTTATAAGGGGCTCTTCCCCCTTTGTTTATTCACCCATCTTCCTGCTGCCATGTGAAGAAGTTCCATGACTGCTTACCCTTCCACCCTGATTGTAAGTTTTTTGAGGCCTCCCCAGCAATGCAGAACTGTGAGTCAATTAAACCTCCGTTCTTTATAAATTACCAAGTCTCAGGCAGTTCTTCATAGAAGTATGAAAACGGACAAATACAACTACCATTTGAACCAGCAATCTCATTACTGGGTATATACCCAAAGGAATATAAATTATTCTACCATAAAGACATGCACGTATGTTCATTGCAGCACTAGTCACAATAACAAAGACAAGGAGTCATGGTGGATTGGATAAAGGAAATGTGGTACATATATACCAGGAAATACTACACAGCCATAAAAAAGAATGCAATCCTGTTATTTGCAAGCAAAATGAATGAAGCTAGAGGCCATTTTCCTAAGTAAATTAGCACAGAAACAAAAAACTAAATACCACACATTCTCACTTATAAATGGAAGCCAAACATTGAGTACTCATGGATATAAGATGGCACCAACAGATGCTGAAGACTACTAGATGGAACAGGGAAGTGTGAGTGGTAATCACTGAAAAATTACCTATTGAGCACTATGCTCACTATCTGGGTGATGGGATGCATCATACCCTCAACCTCAGCATCATGCAATATGCCCATGTAAAAAACCTGCATGTGTACCCTCTGAATCTAAAATAGAATTTAAAAGTATTTTTAAAAAGAAAGAAATATGTACTATAAATAAATATAACTTGATGAAGACTAAATTCTTCTATACCAATTTACCTGAGAAAATATTTTAGAGAGATCACTTATACAGAGATGAAATTAATTTTTAAGACTATTTCACTTTTATTATCATTTTTTTCTAACTTCAAAACTGAGATTAAGAGAGAATAAGTGATTTCCATATTTCACACGGCAAATAAATAACAGAGGTGAAATATGCCTCTCTTGACTTCTTCAAACATTCTCAACTGTCTCATTACCTTCCCCACACCTTTAATGCTATGTTCCTGGCTAGTCACTATGCTTTCCCATCCTTGTAGTTGATAATGACATTTGTTGAAAAGGAAAGCAATGCTTATTTTCTTCACTTCTTCACCGCCTGACTTCACAGTCTGATCTGGTAAGCATCATTCGTATTTCAGGTTTTTGGAATTTTGTCAAAATCAAACAGACAAACAAATAACAAATAGCTTAAATCAATAAGTCAATATATTAAAATTAGAGAATGGACTCTTGCTTTGGCTGAAATGCTGAACAAATTATTTCAGAATTACATTCCAAGTTCAATACTGTGTAATAACTCTCTTCAAATTGTTCAATTTAAAAACAATTTAAAAATAATTTAAAACTATTCTATGTGATTTTTATTCAAAAATATGTAGTATTAATGTGCAAAGTACATTTATACCTTTTTTTAAATTTGTGTAAGCACACCATAAAGCTTTATGACTGTCTTTTCTTTCTAGTTGCCACTTACTTTTCTTTTGTTAAATACGTATAATTTGTTTTGCTATAAATGGTCTATCTTTTGAGCCCAGCCAATATGGTAACTGATTATGGCTCTGACATCAATCATCAGTGCACTTCTCTGAAGGAAGTGGTGTAGTCTATGTGTAATTCATATTTCCTTTGTGGTGCATGAGTGCCTATACAGTAATTAAAGCAAGCAGCTAGTGAAATCATGGGTTATTAGGAGGAAATGCTTGTGATTAGAATAAAAGATGATTGTTGCATTAATATTTCAGATGGCAGAGTCTGTACGAAAGGAAGCTGTTTCTGAAAGGACTTGGGGATTCTGCCCTTTGGGTGCATGTGCTAATTCCAAACCCCATAACTAAAAACCTAACTACATTAATCCAAATGGGCCTGACTACTTGAGATTCACTGGATGTACAGAGAAGTAAATTGTAGAGTATAATACTGGAAGAGGACAGTGAAATCAATAAATATTGAGCACTTCCATCTATATGTAAAGCAACATGCTAGTTGCTATGGATTGTAGATGTAGAATTCTCTGCCTGACCTCAGAGAGCCTGTATTAGCTGGGGAACAAGACCATGTACATGGTTGTAATTGAATATCACAATATAATACTGTATTAATTTTCTATTGCTGCTGTAACAAGTTACCAACAACACATTGGCTTACAACAACTCAAATGATGATCTTATAGTTACATAGCTTTGAAGCCTCACACAGTTCTCACCAGGCTAAAATCAAGATGTCTGTAAGGCTGCATGTCTTTTTGGAAGCTCTAGGGGAGAACTTATTCCCTTGCCTTTCCCAGTTTCCACAAGCTGTCCACATTATTTTCCTAGAGTTTCCTTCTTCTAACTTCAAAGACAGCAGTATCAAATTTCTATCTGACCTGTCTTTTATCATCTTATCTCCATCTGAAGCCAAAAGGAAATGGTTATCCACTTTAAAGGGCTCATATGATGACATTGGGTCCACCTGGATACTTCAAGATAATCTCTCTACCTGAGTGTTCTTAAACTTACTCATATCTAAAGAGTCCCTTTTGACATGTAAGGTAGTCTATTCACAAGTTCTGGAAATTAGGCCATGGATATTTTGTAGGGAGGGCATTATTCAGCCTACCATAAATATTGAAAGGATAGCTTAAAAATAAAGTTTAAATTAAGATTTAGAGAAAGGGAGAAAGACATCATTGTGAGCAAAATGCTAGGATAAAGGTTTATCAAGATAAGTTCATCTTTGAAAAGTAAACTATTTGCTTCTTGATATTTTCTTCTCCTTTTGAATCAATTTTACTTTTAGAAAATCAATTATTTCAAGATTTTATAAGCTATTACCATGAGTAACAATATTATTTATATTATCTCAATTTATCCTCAAAATAACACTATTAGAGACATATTAGTGTTATCCCTGTTTATGTAGATGAGGAAAAACTAGGTTAAGTAAATTGCCTCAAATCACATACGTTGTATATATAGAAATTAGAATTCAACCTCACATAATTGACACCTGTGCTCACAAACTTAACCACCATAATCTATACTTCATATTTTACATTTTCCTTCAAATTTCTAATATTTTTTAATCAGGTTTTTCTAATAGGTGTATATTGCATTTAACACTTTATATTTTGCCACTTTTATATGTTATTTTTCAAATATACTGATTTCTCCTTTCATGTTTATAATATTCTTATTAATTTTTTTTCAAAATTTATTTTTCTTTTAATATTTGATCTTGGATCCTTCATTATTTTCTTCAAAAACCTATAAGGTATGAAGTTAATTTCTGAGTTAATTATGATTTGACCAAATCTCACAAATATTCAAAGGCAGTGTTTATATTTTAATTATTTTAAGATAGTTTGTAATTGAATTTATGAAGTTTTCCCTCATGATTATTCATGATTACTACAGGAAAATAAAAATCAAGAAAGCAAAAATAAAATAAACAATCTTATATCTGGATATCTAGAGATCTTAAAACAGTTTGGCTAGTTGTTTGAATAGCAGCTTTTAGGATTTTGTGGGGAAGAGGATGTATATTTACAAAAATAAGATCATATTGAAACTTTTTAACATTTGACTTTTCTTGCAGAAATATATGAAGGATATGTTACTATGTTAACAAAACTATCTTTTTGAATCATCATTTTTGCTAATTGTATAATAGGCCTTTGATGTGGATGTTATTTTTAACTAATTCTCTATAGTGAGACTATGTTTTTCCAACTTTGTATTGCTATAAACAACAAAGTAATGAACATTTATATACTTGTAGCTCTATCAATCTATTAATCCATCATCTATTCATTCTCTCCTTGTATCTATTATTATTTGTCTTTCTGTTTGATTACATAATTTGCAAAGTAACATAGTGTATTGTTAAGCATGTGAGTTTTGGCCTCAGTTTTCCTGGAATTGAATCTCTTCTCCAGCACTCACTCAAAAGGTGAGTTCTAGTTAATCATTTAACCCTTCTGTGTCTCGATTTCCTCATATATAGGTAAGTAATAGTATTGATTTATCAACCTCATGGCATTGTGGTAAAGATTAAATATATTTACCACATATAACATATTCACATTATATGGTAATATGGGACTGCTAACATTATATGATTTCAACTCAGAAGATGTTTAAAAGATGACTTCTACTAAAATAAACTTCTCATTAAAAAAAAACAGCATTAGAGTTCAAGGTATTTTTTTTTCTTTCATGATTTTAGACATTGAATCAGAAGACCAGTTCTAAGGCAATATTTTGTATAACATAGAAGGAAGAGATGGAATATTTTACCACATTGGAAATAACAGAAAAAGCAGTAAAATGAAAATCTAGACATAGCTCATTAATATTCAATATATCTCTCTAATTTTTCTGTTGTTTTCAACCCAGTTAGTGCCCATATTATACTACGTGTATAACGTCATCGTATGGAGTCATTTCAACTCTCTCTGTACAAGCATGAGGAAAAGTTTAATTAAAATTAAAGCTGTACTTCAATTAATAAAATCATTGCATTAATAAAGGTGGCTTGTATTAAAGAAGGGCAAAAATAACATCTGTCTTTATTTTGTTAATACTATTAATACACTCAGCCATTGAATAGAGTCCAAGTGAATATTGTCTGCTGGCTAGCTCTCCTCTCAAGAACAGTTATAAAATTTCTGTAGATAGAATATGTTTTGGAGAAATCACCTATAATGAGAAGTTTATGCCATGAGTCCCACCTAGTAATCTGAATAAACATTTATTGAATTGAATATAATTTATTGCCAAGTGGTTGACTGGTCTATTGTTGTGGGTGAACTGTGGACAACTTCTGGAGACAGAGTGATTCACTGACATTGGTCAGGCTGTGAATCTAAACATGGTTATATTCATATGTAGTTCTCATCAATTTCAGCATCAGCTAACAAAGTGCAAAGCCTTTGTGGCTGAGCTATTCTCTAATTTAATTTTACTTAATGAACTAAACTTAAAAAAGAAAAATGCTGTGAAATGAAAGACATTTAAGGAGAAAGAGGATAAGCAAAGAGTATAAAAGGAAATCCCAGGTTTGTTTCCTAAATAATACAGCTGAGCCTTGAGTATAGACCTAATGCTTTTCTGTGTCATCATCTTTCTTGTGTTAACTTTGGACCAGTGAGGTACATCTATTTTATTTCTTAGTTGTGATGTTTAATATTGAGTGTCAACTGACTGGATTGAAGAATGCAAAGTGTTGATCCTGGGTGTGTGTGTGAGGGTGTTGCCAAAAGAGGTTAACGTTTGAGTCAGTGGAGTGAGAAAGGCAGACCCACTCCCAATCTGGGTGGGTACCAACTAATAAATCAGCTGTCAGCATGGCCAGAATAAAAGCAGGCCGTGGAAAGATTAGACTGACTAAGTCTTCTGGCCTCCATCTTTCCCCCATGCTGGATGCTTCCTGCACTTGAACATCGGACTCCAAGTTCTTCAGCTTTTGGACTCTTGGACCTACACTAGTGGTTTGCCAGGGGCTCTTGGGCCTTTGGCCACAGACTGAAGGCTGCACTGTCGGCTTCCCTTCTTTTCTGGTTTTGGGTCTCAGACTGGCTTCCTTGCTCCTCAGCTTGTAGACAGCCTATTGTGGGACTTCACCTTGTGATCCTGTGAATCAATACTCCTTAATAAACTTCCTTTCATATATACATTTATCCTATTAGTCCTGTCCCTCTAGAGAACCCTGATTAATATAAATTTTGGTGCCAGGATTGGCTCTAGGGGAACAGAATTTTAAGGATGGAGATTTTTAGTTGTTTTGGGGGTTTCTGGAGTTGGCTGCTTAATATGATTAGACCCCAAAATGCTAAGGACTCTACTTCTAATAGCATGGAGAACACTGATAGTTCTTGGGGTGAACTGGTTACAGAGTTATACAAAATAAATGCATTTGATACTCCTGATTCACCGCTCGTGAGAGACAATGAGTTTAGCGACTTTATACATACCTTTGACCATATGCAGAGAACAAAGGAATATAATGAAGTTGTTTGGTTGCTCCTAAGTTCAGCGGACAAAGGGATGAAAGAAAATGATGAACTTAGAGATTCTGTCTTTCAGCTCCAGAAGCACATACTGAGCCTCAAATCTTCTAAGACTGCCCTGAGTAAGAGTCTTATCTCCCGAAGAGAAAGGGCTGAAACGGTGGAAAATCAGACACAAGCTCTTATTGTGTAAGTGGCTGATCTGCAACAAAAGATGTACATATAGCTTCGCCATGTGTCCACTGCTAAAGTGAGAGCATTGATTAGTAAGATTGGGACCCTGCAACCTGGAATGGGGCCCTGTGAGAGGACCCTGATGAGGCTGGGGGCACCGAGGTCCTAAATTCTGATAGACTTTTTTGCCAGAGGAAACAGCCTCCCCACACCCAGTGGTAGAACATCGCCTTCATCACCCATGCTGCCATCAGCTTTCCCACCTTTGTCTGAGGAGATTAACCATGTACTGCCTAGGGCAACAGTGATGGCCTCCCCTGAGGCACTTGATAGGCAAGACAATGCCGAATCTCCTCAGGAACCACCCCCAACACCTCTGTCTGCTTCTAGACCTATAACTAGACTCAAGTCCCAGCAGGCCACTAGAGGTAAGGCTCAGAGTGTGTCCCACAAGGAGGTGCACTATACTCTGAAAGAATGTTTGAGTTTACTAATTTATATAAGCAGAAATCTGGAGGGCAGGCATTGGAATGGATATTAAGGGTGTGGGATAATGGTGGAAGGAACATAAAGTTGGATCAGGCTGAATTTATTGATATGGCCCCACTAAGTAGGGACTCTGCATTAAATGTTGCAGTTTGGGGAGTTAAAAAGGTTATAATAGTTTATTTGCTTGGTTAGCTCGAATATGGATTAAAAGCTCACTTCACTGTGAGTGAGCTGGAAATGCCTGACCTCCATTGGTTTAATGCAGAGGAAGGGATCCAAAGGCTTACGGAGATTTGGATGCTGGAGTGGATTACTTACTTTAGACTTACTCATCCCAGCTGGGAGGGTCCAGAAGACATACCCTTCAACAATATCTTATGAAATAGATTTGAGAGGGCAGCATCTGCATCCTCGAAGAGCTCTGTGATGGCTCTTTTCTGTATGCCAGTTCTTACAGTGGGAACTGCAGTCACTCAACTACGAAATTTAAATGTAAGGGGAATAATTGGATCCCAAGGTATCAGGGGCCAAGTGGTGGCACTCAACCCTCAAAGGCAAAGTGGGCATAGCTACCATAATGGACAGCAGAGACAAAGCAGCAATCAGAATAGTCTGACTCATGCACAGCTCTGGTATTGGCTAATTAATAATGGTGTTTCTAGAAGTGAAATTGGTAGGAAGCTTACTGCATTCTTACTTAAATTATATAAGTAAAAAACTTCCAGGCTGAGTGGACAAAATACTAATTTGAATTATAAAAACAGAGAATCTTGGGCCCCTCAATCAATTTCCAGACTCGAGCCAGTTTACAGACACAGAATGCCTCGAATGAAGGGGAGATCATGCCTCTTTGAGGAAGGAGCCCACTACACTGCCAACAATTCATGCAGTGATCTTTCTGCCATCTTTCCCCAAGGAGACCTCTGGCCTTTTACCACAGTAACATTCCCCTTGGATAAAGGGGAATTATCAGACTTTTGGGGGACTACTGGATGCTGACCATGAGCTGACGCTGATTCCAGGGACTCCAAAATGTCACTGTGCTCCTCCAGTTAAAGTAGGGGCTTATGGAGGTCAGGGAATTAATGGGGTTTTAGCTCAGGTCCAACAGACAGTAGGTCTGATGGGTCCCTGGACTCATCTTGTAGCCATTTCCCCAGTGCCAGAATGCAGAGTTGGCATAGATGTGCTTAGCAGCTGGCAGAACCCCACACTGGCTCTCTAACTGGTAGGATGAAGACTATTATGGTGGGAAATGTCAAATAAAAGCCATTAGAGCTGTCTCTACGTAGAAAACTAGTAAGGCAAAAACAAGGTCACATCCCTAGAGGGACTGTGGAGATTAGTGCCACCATCGAGGACTTGAAAGATACGGGGTGGTGCTTCCCATCACATCCCTTTCAATTCTCCTATTTGGTCATTGCAGAAGACAGATGGATCTTGGAAATTGACCATGGATTATCCTAAGTTTAACTAAGTGATGATTCCAATTGCAGCTGCTGTATCAGATGTGGTTTCATTGCTTAAGCAAATTAACACATCTCCTGGCACCTGGTATGCAGCCATTGATTTGGCAAATCATTTTTTCTCCATTCCTGTCCATAAGGTCCCCCAGAAGCAATTTGCCAATTTGCCTTCAGCTGGCAAAGCCAGTAATATACAATCACTGTCCACCTCAGGGGTATATCAACTCTCCAGTTCAGTGTCATAATCTAGTTAGCAGAGATCTTGACCTCTTTTCCCTCCCACAAGATATCACACTGGTCCATTACATTGATGACATTATGCTGATTGGATAGAGTGAGCAAGAAGTAGCAACACACTGAACTTACCAGTGAGACATCTGCGCGTGAGAGGATGGGAAATAAATCTGACTAAAATTCACGGAACTTCTACCTCAGTAAAATGTCTCGGGGTTCAGTGGTATGGGGCTTGTCAAGATATTCCTTCTAAGGTGAAGGATAAGTTGCTGCATTTGGCCCCTCCTACAACCAAGGAAGAGACATAACATTGGCTGGGCGCTGTGGCTCACCCCTGTAATCCCAGCACTTTGGGAAGCAGAGGCAGGTGGATCATGAGGTTAGGCGATTGAGACCAGCCTGGCCAACAGAGTGAAACCCCATCTCTACTTAAAAAACAAAAAACAAAAAACAAACAAACAAAAACACAAAAATTAGCCAGGTGTGGTGCCACACACCTGTAGTCCCAGCTACTCAGCAGGCTGAGGCAGAAGAATTGCTTGAACCTGGGAGGCAGAGGTTGCAGTGAGCTGAGACCATGCCAATGGTGACAGCCTGGGTGACAGAGTGAGACTCCATCTCAAAAAAAGAAAAAAAAAAGAGGCGTAACGTCTAGTGAGCCTATTTAGATTTTGGAGGAAACACAATCCTCATTTGGGTCTGTTACTGGCACATTTATTCAGTGACCCTAAAAGCTGCCAATTTTGAGTTGGGTCCAGAATAGAAGACTCTGCAACAGGTCCAGGTTACTGTTCAAATTTCTCTGCAACTTGGGCCATATGACTAAGTAGATCCAATGTGTTTGAGGTGTCAATGGCAGATAGGGATGCTGTTTGGTAGGCCCCCGTAGGTGAATCACAGTGGAGGCCTTTAGAATTTTGGAGCAAGGCCCTGCCATCTTCTGCAAATAACAACTCTTCTTTTGAAATACAGCTCTTGGCCTGTTACTGGGCTGTGGTAGATGCTGAACATTTGACGATCAGGTCATCAAGTCTCCATGTGACCTGAACTGCCTATCATGAACTGAGTGCTTTCTGAACTGTCTAGCCATAAAGTAGGTGTATACAGCAGCATTCCTTTATCAAATGGAAGTGGTATGATCAGGCTTGAGCTGTTCCTGAGGGCACAAGTAAGTTACATAAGAAAGTGGCTCAAATGCCCATGGTCTCCACTCCTACCACTCTGCCTTCTCTCCCTAAGCCTGCACCAGTGGCCTCATGGGGAGTTTCCTATGATCAGCTGACAAAGCAAGAGAAGGCTAGGGCCTGTTTCACAGATGGTCTGCATAATATGCAGGCATAACCAGAAATTGGACAGCTACAGCACTACAGGCCTTTTCTAGGACATCCCTGAAAGACAGTGGCAAAAGGAAATTTTTACAATGGGCAGAACTTCAAGCACTGCATCTGTTTTTGCACTTTGCTTGCAAGGAGAAATGGCCACATGTGTGATTATGTACTGATTCTTGGGCTGTAGCCAATGGTTTGACTGGATGGTCAGGGACTTGAAAGAAGCATGATTGAAAAATTGGCGACAAAGAAATTTGGGGAAGAGGTACGTGGATGGAACTCTCTAAGTGGTCAACTCTGTAGATATTTGTATCTCATGTGTGTGCTCACCAAAGGGTGACCTCCACAGAAGAGGATTTTAATAATCAAGTGGATAGGATGACTTATTCTGTGAACACTACTCAGCCTCTTTCCCCAGCCACCCCTGTCGCCATTGCTTAATGGGCCCATGAACAAAGTGGCCATGGTGGCAATGACAGAGGTTACACGTGGGATCAGCAACATGGACTTCCACTCACCAAGGCTGACTTTGCTATGGCCACTGCTGAGTGCCCAATGGCAGCAGCAGAGACAAACACTGAGCCTTCGATATGGCACCATTCCTTCGGGTGATTAGAAAGCTGCTTGGTGACAGGTTGATTATGTTGGGCCTGTTCATCATAGAAAGGGCAGTGGTTTGTCCTCACTGGAATAGACACTTACTCCAGATATGGGTTTGCCTATCCTGCACACAATGCTTCTGCCAAGACTACAATCTGTGGATTCACAGAATGCCTTATCCACTGTCATGGTATTCCACACAGCATTGCCTCTGACCAAGGCACTCACTTTATGGCTAAAGAAGTGTGGCGGTGGGCTCATGCTCATGGAATTCACTGGTCTTACCATGTTCCCCATCACCCTGAAGCAAATGGTTTGATAGAAAGGTGGAATGGCCTTTTGAAATCACAATTACCAAACCAACTAGGTGACAATACTTTGCAGGGCTGGCGCGAAGTTCTCCAAAAGGCCATGTATGCTCTGAATCAGCGTCAAATATATGGTGCTGTTTCCCTCACAGTCGGAATTCACAGGTCCAGGAATCAAGGGGTGAAATTGGAAATGGCACCATTTAACATCACCTTTAGTGACCCACTAGCAAAATTTTTGCTGCCTGTTCTGACAACATTATGTTCTGCTGGCCTAGTTCCAGAGGGAAGAATGCTGCCACCAGTAGACACAATGATTCCATTAAACTGGAAATTACAATTGCCACCTGGACATGTTGGGCTTCTCCTATCTCTAAGTCAACAGGCTAAGAAGAGAGTTACAGTGTTGGCTGGGGTGACTGACCTGAACTATGAAGATGAAATCAGTCTACTACTCCACAGTGGAGGTAAGGAAGAGTATGCATGGAATACAGGAGATCCATTAAGGCATCTCTTAGTATTACCATGCTCTGTGATTAAGGTCAATGGAAAACTGCAACAGCCCAATCCAAGCAGGACTACAAATGGCCCAGACCCTTCAGGAATGAAGGTTTGGGTCCCTCCATCAGGTAGAAAACCACAACCAGCTGAGGTGCTTTTTGAAGGCAAAGGGAATACAGAATGGGTAGTAGAAGATGGTAGTTATCAATACCAGCTATGACCATGTGACCAGTTGCAGAAACAATGACTGTAATTGTCATGAGTATTTCCTTTTTCTTTTGTTAAGAACATATTTGTGCATTTATACACCTGTAATAAGAAAATATCTTCATTTTATTTCCTTTATCATGTGACATAAGATTTATTGACTTCATATCAGCATTTAAAGTGTTGATAACTTTATGTAATAGCATTTAGGTTAAGGATTAGTGTGCTTCCAGTTGTGCGAAGGATAGCTGTATTACGTTAGGCATAATTAGGAGCTTATTATTGTCTTTATTTGAGGATTATGTATTATTTCAGGACATTCATATGGGTTCAAGTTGAACAGATGAACTTGTGATGGTTAATATTGAGTGTCAACTTGATTGGATTGAAGGATGCAAAGTATTGTTCCTGAGTGTGTCTGTGAGGGTGTTGCTAAAGGAGATTAACATTTGATTCACTGGGCTGGGAGAGGCAAGCCCACCCTCATTCTGATTAGACGGTGTACACCATCTAATCAGCTGCCAGCGTGGCTAGAATAAAGCAAGCAGGAGAAGATAGAAGAGCAGAATTAGAGTCTTCCAGTCTTCATCTTTCTCTTTTTCTAGATGCTTCCTGCCCTCACACATCAGACTCCCAGTTCTTTAGTTTTTGGACTCTTAGGCTTAGACTCGTGGTTTGCCAGGGGCTCTCCTGCCTTTGGCCACAGACTGAAGGCTGTACTATTGGCTTTCCTACTTTTGAGGTTCTGGGACTCAGACTGATCCACCACTGGCTTTCTTGCTCCTCAGCTTGCAGACAGCCTATCATGGGACTTTACCTTGTGATCATGTGAGTGAATTCTCCTTAATAAACTCCCTTTCATATATACACTTATACATACATTCTATTAGTTATGTCCCTCTAGAACCCTGAGTGATACAGAAGTGTAGTCACTGTATTTAAACTTAGTTTTATTATTAACACTGAATATTCTTTTATGATCATTAAAAAAATACTAAATATGGGAATTATACCTTCACACAAAATGATATCATGATATGTCCCACTAAGGACTGATAGTATAAAATGTGCTTTGGAAGAATTATCTTTTCATCTGGCACGCTGAAGCAAGAGGACACTGAAGTAGACCATGTCATATAGCGGCAACATCAGAGTTTATCACACTAAATTAACATTTTACAGTAAAACAATCAATTGGGCTTATAGCTTTCTTTTTACTGAAGTGTAAAGCTTTTTAAAGTTATATAACAGCAATAAACTAATGGGTTTAGAGCTAGTTTTCTATTTGTATGTATCAAAGAAATAATTTAACCAAGTCAACACTAAATTTATTTTATTCAAAAAGAGTCCAAACATCAATTAACTTAGAAACTAACAAGACCATTGTATTACACGTAAAAGAAATTCCTAATAGATTCTGTGGCTCCAAATGATGTCTGGGAACTTTAGACGAGACACTTCAACTCAAAGTGTGAAAAACTATATCTAATCTGTGTTTTTTAGTAATTTCCTTTTTTTCCCCTTCATTAATATACAATTGTTCTGTGTCCCATTTGCTTTGGGTTTCTATGCTACCTAACATAATAAATTTATCCTTGCCAGAAATTTCAGTCCAATAACTGCAGGGAATGGAGATTTTAGAAAGACCTCTTGTTACCATTACTAGAAGCATGCTTTCTAGTTCATGTATTTCACTGATACCATATCAGTACAAAGGTGTACAGAATCAGCTTATATCCATCAACTGCAAGGAAAAGAAAACAACCATAGGTGGGTTAAATGAAAAGATGATATATCAGGAGTCTATGAGATGACAATAAGCCAAACTTCTGGTTTTAGAATGAAAAAACTAAAAAAAAAAAAAAAAAAAAAAAATAGAGAGACCAAAAGAACCATATCAGGTATCTAGGCGGGGAATGAGAACAATAACTTCAGAATATCACAATTGAACTGAATGCATTCTTTTTAACCATGTTCTGGTTATTGTGTCTTCATTTAAAACCCCAATACTTAGCAGCTTACATTTTTGTTTCGTTTTGTTTTTGAGATGGAGTCTTCTCTCTTGTCGCCCAGGCTAGAGTGCAAAGGCATGGTCTCGGCTCACTGCAACCTCAGACTCCCAAGTTCAAGCAATTCTCCTGCCTCAGCCTCCCCAGTAGCTGGGATTACAGGTGCCTGTCAACACGCCTGGCTAATTTTTGTATTTTTAGTAGAGACAGAGTTTCATCATGTTGGCCAGGCTGGTCTTGAACTCCAGACCTCAGGTGTTCCACCTGCCTGGGCCACCCAAAGTACTGAGATTACAGGCATGAGCCACTGCAGCCAGCCACAAATTTTTTTTAATCATCTCATGAAGTCTGTATGTCATTAAATCAAACTAAGAAAATCATTTTTCTCTGCCCCTCTCCCCTCATGTTGAGACCTTAGCTGGAAAGACTCATCAGCGAGGTGGGGTGAGTTCTCTATGGCTGGATGCCGAAAGTATCTGGAGACATCTTCCCTCTCAACAGACAGTTGATGCTAGCTATAGGCTCAGACCTCAGCTGGGCTTTTCATCTGGATCATCTTCATAAGGCCTCTCTATGTGGCCTGGACTTCCTCATAGCATCGTGTGGCCTCAAGATAGTCAGATATTTTAAGTGGCCTCTGAAGATGCAGTACAAAATGTCCAAAGAGAAAAGGCAGAAGATTTTCTGTTTTTAATAACCTAGTCTGAAATGTCGCATAATGTCATCTCTACAATATTGTATTAAAAGAGTTAGTCACAATCCCTTCTAGATTCAGTGGGAAAAGACATAGTCATCACTTTTCAAAGACTTGTTGCCATGATCACATAGCATGTAGAAGACCATGAGGAATGAGAGATGTTGTCATGGTCACCTGTGGAAAATATCACCTGCCAACAACTTTTTTTATCTATATACTAGCACATATTTTATTCTAGTGGGCATATGAATGGACATGTTTTATCTCTATGTGTTTCTCTTCAGGATCCCACCTTTTTTTTCAACCAGGAAGAAGGTGCTTTGTGGAGAAGTGGGTCTGCAGAGTTAGAGAAAGGAATGCATCAAAGGGAAATGGAAACTGGAGGAAACACTGAGAAAAGACTTGGAATCCAATGTGCCTTTATGTATAGAAGTCACAGCAGCAAGGACTACAGACCATGCACAGTGAAACTATAAACTTTGTAAGATTTCTTAAAACTCCAAATGCCCCTGTGTTTGTCCTTGTATTATCTTCTGACTGTTTCCCCAAAGGAATATGCAGTAAAAACTTGAAAACCAAAAGGATATATATTTGTTTTTGAATGCACCAAGAAAATTTTGAGCTGGAGAAAGGATAAACCACTGAGGAGGCAAATGTGGGAGGGAAAGGAGCCCCAAGGGAATGACTGTGTAGTGTCTATAGTTAAAGAGGAAGGAAAAGCAGACTGGGTCCATGGGGACCACACAAGGAAAAAGAAAAGAACGGAAAACTTGTCTTCACCTTAGATAAACCCTGGGGATTTTACCATCTGAAATCCCTAGTAGAATGGGATGGCTTAAAGCGAGCCTGTTGTAACTATAGCAGCTAAATAAACACTAGTTCCAATAAATGAAAAAAAAAAAAAAAAAAAGAAAAGTGTCAGGATGGAAACCAGGACTGTTTGCAGTGACCAATAAAGTATTGTGTTTTTTTTTTTTTCCTGGCCCTTTCATTAGTTCTACTTGTCTATTTTCTTGTTTCTCTCTCAGTTGTATATACTCCTTACTTTTATACTGTGCTTATTTTTGTCATGTTTAGTATTTGCTTCTTTTTTTACATTTAGTGAAAAAAATAAAGGAAAAGAAAAAAACTCAAAGATCATCTAATTCAACACTCTCATTTTAACCAAAAGAAAGCTCGAGGGAGATAGGAACATGATCAGTGTTAACAGGGATTATTGGTAGTAGCAGAGTTGGGGATGAACGTTGCTCTGCTGACTCTTCGTGTGTTTCCCACTATATAAGACTGCCTTTCAGCCTGCGCTGATGCTGAAATTTCAGTTAAGAACAATTGCAAAAGTATCAAAAGGTCCTTGTGTCAATTTGAGTTGTCAGGGAAGCTGATACCAAGATAGAATGAAAGGCATGAGATTTACTGGGGGAGGCACCAATGAAGAATAAAGGAGAGCAGAACAAAAACTCTTTTTTTCTGCTAAGAGAGAAATGACTTAGACCACAATGACTATCTGACACTAGGAATAAGACAGAGGGAATGAAGGAAGAGACTCGAACTGCTATGGAACTGTGAGAAAATCTCAGCCAGGTTCATAGGGAGTCCCAAAGAGGAGTCCCACATTAAGCAGAAATGTCTCTGCTTTAATATCATCAGTCATTGCTCAGACATTGGCTAGGAGTTCAAATGTGGGGAGCAGTGGGAACACTGAATGGATCCCCAGCTTCTGGGACCTGGTAGTTTTGGTTCACTATGCTCTGTACAGTAGTGTAATGAACCAAAACTCTGTGAACTTCATATTGCCTTAAGCCTACCCTGCTTAATAATTTTGCTTCTCTATCCCACTACCATGTCTTCAGAAGTTGAAGTCCACACTTGCAGATTCTGTCTTGTAGTAGATCTAACTCGTATACTCCTATGACTGCCTCGGTTCCCTCCTATACAACTTACTTTAAATGGGTCTCTAGTAAGATGAGTGAGTATATTTGCTGTCTATTGCTATCTAACAAATTACCACAAAAATAGTGGCTTAAAAAACTTGCATTTATTTCATAGTTTCTGTGCGTCAGGAATCTGAGTACAATTTACCTAGGCCCTCTGCAAGGCCACAATCTCTGTTGGCTGGGGCTGGTTTCTCATCTGAGTTTCCACTGGGGAAGGATTTTCCTCCAATATTGTATGGCTGCTGAGTGAATACAGGTCTTCACAGTTTGTGAGATTGAAAGCCTCAGTTTCTTGCTGGCTGTTAAGTTTTTTTTTTGTTTGTTTGTTCTGTTTTTTTTTTTTTTTGAGACTAAGTCTTGCTCTGTCACCCAGGTTGGAGTGCAGTGGCGAGATCTTGGCTCACTGCAACCCCTGCCTCCTGGGGTCAAGCAATCCTCTCGCCTCAGCCTCTCGAGTAGCTGAGATTACAGGCGCCTGCTACCCCACCTGGCCAATTTTTGTATTTTTAGTACAGACAGGGTTCACCATGTTGGCCAGGCTGGTATTGAACCCCTGACCTCAAGTGGTCCACTCGGCTCGGCCTCCCAAAGTGCTGGGATTATAGGCGTTAGCCACCATGCCTGGCCTTGGCTGTTGGTTATTGACTGTTCTCAGTTCCTTATCATGTAGCCTTTTTCTTATGGCAGCTGGCAACATGACAGCTTGCCTCTTCAAAGCTAGCAAAGAGACAGTTTTCTAGCAAGATAGACATTACTATCTTATGAAATATGATCATGTATATGTAATATTCTGTGCTGTATTCTGTTTGTTAGAAGCAAATCATAGGTCACACTCATACTGAAGGGGAGGGGAAGATAGCAAGGCCTGAGTACCAAGAGATGAAGATAGTTGGGGTCACTTTAGAATCTGTCTGCTACAGTGGGAAACTGTTTATTGGGCCAGAAGGACTGCTGAGCATTTGGGTTCACCCTTCTGAGACTAAAACCTTGAAGAAGATAATCATGAGTGTCCAGCAACTCAAATTATCTTGAACATTCTTGAAAAGGACTGTCCTACAAGATCAGTGCATTCATTTATTGTATGGTGTATACATTATCAGAGTGGATCTCATGGGGAATCTCATACTTAGGAGATGGTGATTATGTGAGTTTTCTGAGAACTGAAGACATTTATTCTTGTTCGTTATACTCCAGGCTCTCAAAATACTCTTTCTCCTGGATTCATGTAAACTTAAGCAAGGCATTTAACTTTCTTGAGACTCAGTTTCCACATTCTAACGTTCTCCTGCTCCCATCTTAGAGGTTTAAGCTAATTCTCTCATCTATGAATGTTCTCTGCAGATACATGCATGACTTTTCCATCCCTTTCTTCAGGTCATTGCACAAAAGACATTCTCTCAATGAAGTGTCGTCCATCCGTTTATTTAATATTGCAACCCACCCCTCCCTGCAGCACACTTGGTTTTCTTTACTCTGTTCAACTTTTGCTTTACTCTGTTCAACTTTTGCTTTTCCCACCATGCTTATTATTTTCTAGTACACGGTATATCATTACTGATTTATTAGGGTTCTTGTTTCTTCTTTGTCTGGCTATGATTTCTAGAATATAAGCTTCATGATTGCAAAGATCTTTTTACTTTTGCTTGTTTATGTATCTCAAGTACAACTAAAGAAAAATTACCTGTAGAGTCAGTTTAATCCTTTAAAAAACTCTCTGTAATAGATATTATCATTATTCCCTTCAGCCTACAGATGAAGAAACCTGTCAAACAGAGGTTAAACAGTTTACTCTGATGATTCAAGTAATAGTTGCATAGTCTAAGATCAGGTGCAGACAGTCTGACTACAGAATCTGAGCTCATAAAACCAGGCAATAGTGCCTTGCACTGAAAGAAAGGTAAACCTACATGCAAACCTTGAACTTTATTCTGCCTGTGAATATGAAACCAACCTTGCTTAATAATTTTGCTTCTTTACCCCATTACTATGTCTTCAGGGTTTAATTCTACGCTTTCAGAATTTGTAGAAAAATACAAATAACAGCAAATAATTCCTTCACAGAGATGTATATTTTGCTTTGTATTGTTGAATTTTCCCCTGGAAGAATATGAGCATTATCTCCTCCACCCCCAAGAATTCTATCATTTTTTTTCAGCGACTGAAAATATTAAAACTTGACAGGAAGCAAATACTATTAATAAGAATCTTTTGGTACATCTTCCTGGTTAACATGACACATTAGCATGGAGAATAACTGAACAGATTTAAGTAAATGACTGTTCAGAGGTTCTCAGATCTCTTTATAGATCTCTTTATTTGGTGTAGTTTATTATCCTCAATGGATTTTACTCTCTTTCACTAAGATACTCCTTTCGAGTTACGTTTCACATCAAAATCTGTGTCAAAATCATCTTATTGACCCTGAAAGAAGCTACAAAAATAAAATGATAATTGACATCATTAATCAGGAAATATCTAGACAAGTTTGTTGCTATTTAGGAAGCTTTCAGAAAAAAAAAATCACAAGATGCTTTTCCTAATACCCAACTACAAATCATGAAAGTTGCAATAGAAGAGTGCTGGGTTAGGGGACAGAGGACCCAAGCCTGACACTGTCTTATGGTGTGGCCTCCTGTCAGTAACTTTTCCTTTCTGTGCCTAGGATATTGCATCATTGAAGAGAGTTATAGTATGGCCTCTATTGTACCTTCTAAGCCTAGTAAGCTGTATGAGTCCCTGGATATGTTATGAACTCATAGTAACCAGAGACATTCACCTTCAATAATGAAGTACTATGAAACAGCATTCCTCACTGAGACTAATTTGGACAGTAAATTTGACTCTAGAATCTGAGTATGTCTTAAGAACCGATGAACAGATGGCTCCCAGTTGTCTATTTGGTTCGTTTTCTTTACATGGATGGTGGAAAGGACCTGAGGATGACAGTTGTGTGCATTTCTCCCATATGGTATCAGTTGGCCATGACCAACAATAACATTATGTAACAAACCACTCTAAAACTCAATGGCTTAGAACAAGAAGCATTGATTCACATGCTCAGGAGGCTGAATGCAGTTTGGCTAATCTAAGCTGGCTCCTCTGGGCAATCTACTTCAGACTGTGGGTCAGCTGGACCTGTCTCCAGGTAGGTTGGGTGTCAATTTACCCCACGAGTGTTTGTTATAGACACCAGGTTGATAGGGCATCAGTTACTAGGAGAAGCTCTTCTCACGGCAGATCCCTGGGACACAAGAAACAAGCCAAATCTTGTAAGGTCATTTAAGGCCTCTACCTCTGTCACATAGGCCAATATCCCCTGACCAAGGAAAGTCATATGGCCAAGCCTAATGTCAAGGATCAGGGAAGTATACTCTTCCATTCTGAGGTATAGTATGGATATTGGTGCAGAGTAATAAAGGAAAACAACAATGGTTCAATGCATCACAAGGGCAGGACGAGCCAGGAAAAAGATATTTCTGAAGCTGGCCTCATAGGCTGGGTCTGAGCCTTATAAAAGAACATTTTCCCCAATTTTGACAAATCTCCCAGAAGTCTTGTTCATGGGAAATCATTACAGTTTTGTGTTCGGTATGGAGGTGTCTGGGGGACAGCATTATGGGAAAGGAAGGAGTGCCATGTAGGGCAATGACAGCCGTGCCCCTGGTGGTCTGTAGCTCATAAATCCATCTTTAGATGTTGGTCCTCACTTAGGGAGCACGAGACCTGAGCAGATTTGATAATAAACAGATGCTTCATTTCCTTGGGGCTCTCCAAATTAAATGGGGAACATACCAGATGTTTGGCCTGAATTGTGTCACCCTTCCAAATTTATATGTTGAAGTCCTAATTCCTAGTACACCTCAGAATATGACTGTAATTGGATAGGGGTCTCCAAATACAGTCCGTATCTGTATTGGAAAATATTTTCAAAAACTAAATAAAAGGAAAACCAGTCAAATATGAAAATACCACTTAGAGGCTACTGTTAAAGTTCTTTTTTATTTCACATCAGCACATGAATAAAATTTATATTACTCTTTAAGTAAAATTGTATATTTTGTTGCTATTCTTAATATTATAGCATTTTTCCTAGGTAGTAAGCCCTAAATTATTTAAACAAATATGTGTGTGGCATTACGTTTATCGGTGTGCTAAAATTTACTTCACCATTTCTTCTTCTCTTCTCCTTCTCATCTTCATCCTCATCCTCTTTATTATTCATATACACTTAACATTTATCTGATTTTAAGTTTAATTTTTCTCCCATTGAAGTCACTCTTGGATATTTTAAGTTTTTGTGGTTGTCGTGAATAAGTTCTTGTCTCCAGTAAATTTTGTTTTCATAATTTTCATAAACTAAGTAGTCTATATAATTCACTGTAGAGACTTTTTTTAAAAATGCAGACAATTCTAAAGGATAAATAAAAATCATCCACAACGTGATCTCTTTTAATAAAGCATGGTTAATGTTTTCAGCATAATCTTCTGGATTTATGTCTATAGAAATAAAATACCACACTTTTATTAATTTTATTGAATTAGCACATTTTGTAATTATTTACTTGAATAAAATAGAGTATTGCATTTATTTATTTATTTTGAGATGGAGTCTCACTCTGTCACCCAGGATGGAGTGCAGTGGCCCCATGTCAGCTCACTGCAACCTCCGCCACGTGGGTTCAGCAATTCTGCTGTCTCAGCCTCCCTAGTAGCTGGGATTACAGGCGCTCACCACCGTGCCCCGCTAATTTTTGCACTTTTTAGTAGAGATGGGGTTTCACCATATTGGCCAGGCTGGTCTTGAACTCCTGACCTCAAGTGATCTGCCTGCTTTGGCCTCCCAAACTGCTGGGATTACAGGTGTGAGCCACCGCTCCTGGCTTGCATTTTTCTGTATGTAGCTTGCATATTCCATTACCTTAGTTACTGAGATTTTTACTTAAATGCCTTATTTTCATTTATTAAAATAATCATTTTATTCATAGTTCACCAACTGATGAACACCAAACTAGATTTATAGGTTTTCTGAAATAGCAATGTCCTTGAATTTCTAGGATAAAATGTGTATTCATGGTAAGGTATTCCTATTTAATTTGTGTAAATTTGCATAGATATTCAACAAACAGCTACAATTGCAAACTCCATATGCACTATATTTCAAAAGACTGTTCCTTTTTACTTACGAGAGAACCTTCTCGTAGAACCTAATAATTTCCCTATTTCTGTTTTTTTGTTTTGTTTTGTTTTGTTTTTGAGACGGAGTCTCGCTCTGTCACCCAGGCTGGAAGGCAGTGGTGCAATTTCGGCTCACTGCAAGCTCTACCTCGCGGGTTCCTGCCATTCTCCTGTCTCAGCCTCCCGAGTAGCTGGGACTACAGGAGCCTGCCACCACGCCTGGCTAATTTTTTGTGTTTTTAGTAGAGACGGGGTTTCACCGTGTTAGCCAGGATGGTCTCCATCTCCTGACCTCGTGATCCGCCCGCCTTGGCCTTCCAAAGTGCTGGGATTACAGGCATGAGCCACTGCGCCTGGCCTATTTCTGGTATTTTAATTCAAAGACCATGTCATTTTTTTTTTACCTTTCCACGTCTCACTCTAAAGTCAATTTATGTAAGATTATAAACATAATTTCATATTTTTAGCTATTTTAATAGTGGCACTGTATGGAATTTACTATTCCAACCAGTGGTGTACTGGTAAATGTTTAACAACTAGATCTTCAGAAAAACAAACAAATCCTTATTTTCCATGGTACACATACTACTAGTTTGGCTGGTTTTAAGCTACAAATGTGATATCATTGAACATGGATTTGGGAAGCAACACACCCAATTGCCTTTCATGAACTTACGAGATCCAGCTATGGTGCTACTAAAACTGATGATGCAAGAATTAGTCATTGAGATGGCTGAATATGAAAAAAGTTTTCATAGTCTTAATATCTGTAAATAGAAATGGCCTTATGTTGTAAGATAGGATTTTCCATATCCATATGAATAATTCAAGAAGCTTTTGAAAGCTTGCTCACTCAATGTATTGCGGTAAAAATGTACTGGAACAGGAGCAGGAGACCTAGACATCAGTTTGAACTTTACCATTGACTAGTAATTAATTACCTGAGCAAGTAGCATAGGTTTTCTGAGTTTCTGTGTAGTGTGTGTGTGTATTCTTAACTCTAAATTCTGTGAAACACAAACATATGCATTCCTTCATAAACTATACAAATTAAGCTTTTTTCCTCAGCTGTTCTTAGAAATTATAACTATGTTTCACAATCATATTCAAGTTCTTAAGTCCTTTATCAAGCCTTTCCTGACTGTATTTAATTTTCCTCCTCATTCACTTTCATTCTCTTTCTTTCCTATACATTCATTTTCTCTACCACACAATACACGTGAATAAGTATCATTTGAATTATGCACAGATTCATGGGTCTTAATCTTTACTTTTCAGATGGATTTAAACCCCATAATGGGTGAAATCATAATGCACTCAAATATTTAGCACACTGCCATGCATGTGGCAGTCGTTCAGTTAATAAATGCTCACAAAATATGAAAGTAGAATATAACACTGAATTTGGAAAAACAAGAAAACACAAACAAATCATTGTGCAATGTTAATTCAAACCCGTCTGTATTTTTGAACTTGAATTATTGCCATGTTTGTTGTTGATGGCTTAACCTAACAGCATGTGACAAATTATTATACATACTATTTATAAGGGGTTTACTACATGGCAACAATCCTACTGAAAACTTTCATCTTCTTTCATCTTTATAGTAGCTCCAATAGTGTAGTTCATTTCATCCTTTATTTTCTAAGCGAGGAAATAGTACCTGAGAGAGATTAACATGTTCAAGGTTATAAAGCTTAAATGATAGATCCAGGAATCAAATCCAGGTGTGTCAAATTCCAAATTCTGTCTTAAAATAATGTGCCACAAGGGGTTTTCGTTTGGCTAGCTAAAAGCATCTTCTGGAAATTCACATAGAAATTAAAAATATAATCAAACATAGGGAAAAGAGAAATAAAATGCTCTGGGTCTAAATAATACTAATGGTTGGCAATATAGGAAATAATAAGACAGCTACTTGAAGATAACCTCACCCTAGAAAGAACTCTAATTCTAGCCAGCAAAATTGAATCAACCATTAATAATGCAAGGTGACGTGCAGAGAAAGACTCAGCCCATAAAAGTGATTCATTTACCCTCTTTCCGGAAACAACATTCCATTGGGGCACATCAATGCCGCAAGCTGCTACTGAAGACACTATGTACATGAGCCAAAAATCATTGAGGTTCCCTTTTAGTCTTTGACTGTGATTCTAAAAGGTACTTGGCAAATGTTGCAGGATGTTCTGTACAAGGAGGCAAACGGTAATAATTGGAAAAAATTGAGTATTCTACATGAATGGACCTCTGAAGGATCCATGGCATTAAAGTTATTTTCAGACCCTTTTATATGTTTTAATTGAGGGTTAGCAATAAAACAGTTTTATGAAATTAAAGTGTTGTTTTAAATGCTAATCAAAGTTATCTGCTCAAAAGATAAAATGAATATTATAATAAAATACTTATAAAAAACAAAAACTTAAAACTTTGAAGATATACTAATGCTTATTTCTTTTGCATAAACCAAGATTCCTTTATACATAAGATAAGCATTGAGGTTTGCTAAATTTTGAGCTAACAGAAACGATGGGGAAAGGTTCACATTTTTAAGTCATTCAACTTACCTCACACATATTAGTTATTGAATAAATGTTTGCTAAATGAATAAATGAACCTCTGCATGTGAATATATATATGTGTGCATATATATGTATATATACATATGTACATATTTCTATACATGTATGTATTTGCACTGGAAGTGTTATAAACACATATATATTCATAGGCTGAGGACTATATATAGATGCATAAATATGTATGTATTAGAAATACACATATACATATGTAGGTATGTACGAGTATTTTTGAAATATAAGATGAGTCAGAAATATAAATCTCTAGCTATTGTTTGCTCTGTGGGAAGAACATAGATGTTAAGAATAAACACACTTGGATTTGAATTCTGTTTCTACCATAATCCACTCTCTAACCTTGGGTAATTTATCTGGTTTACAAGTCCCTGTCTTACTCTGTCAGTTCACAGTAATGTCTACTTTTTCAGATTTGTTGAGACAAATGCAGCAAATAATCCCAGAATTGTGCCTGATACAAAACAGCATTTTCCCTTTTTTCTTCTCTTCTTTCATTATATAAGAAAACTACTCAGTATAGTACTATTATATCTAGATTGATTGGCTTGGTAATCAAGTTCTTCAAAGGACTAGCTCACTTTATCCACTCCCATGAATGCATTAATACTTCCCAATATCATCTCTGTACTATACTACTGTATTATATGAACAAATCCTGCCTATTTTTATTATGGAGACAACATTTGTACCTTTCCCACTACCCAAAAAGTGGGTTCTTTCATACCTACCAGCCTAAATTTTCCACATTTTTCTCAGTCCATCTCAAAATTTATTTCAACTCTACATAATAAAACTTCTTTCTTTAAATCAGTCCTCTCAGCCTTTGTGTCTTAGTTCTACACAATCTTCCAGTATGTTTTGGTAGGCTTTAGAGCTGAATATTTTGTTATTAGTGTGTTTCGTTTCCCAACAAGACTATTATCCAAACTTTTCAAGGAGATGGATGTGACTTCAAACTTCTTTGGTATCCCTCAGAATGTAGTGGACTGCAGGAATATGTGCATAATAATAATAATGGTAATAATAATACTAATAAGCAAATGAACAAAACACCCTTTAGATAAGGACTGAGAACTTCTGAATTGCATAGAGCAGATTTGCTCAAGCCTCTACTTTATAATTTCTTGGATCCAGTCACCTTATTGATAACTGCTGTCTTGGAACATGTGACTCAACCATTAGCTATGTCTGCATCAACATACCTGGGGTTGGGATGAGGAAAGTCTCCACTGAGATTTTATTCTTACCATGAGAATAGGATCCTGACCACTTGAGAGTACATTTTGAAGACAATGTCTGTTGAGTGTCAGCAGAATACCTGGCATATAGGAAGAATTCAGTACATGTTAACAATTTTATTTTTGAATAAACCTTGATAAATATCTTACACTCAGCATTTACGCTTTCCTCTTGTCATGACAAAAGGATTTCAAATAAGAAATATTAAAGAATCCAGATGATCACAACATTTTAATGTTTTGTGGTCTTAAGTTATGAATTCACTTTTAAATAACATTTCAGCATTTCAACATAGCTATTTGGGGCTTCAGTTCCCATATCTGCTGTACCTTTCAAGAAGGATTGATTTGGTGTTGTGTGATTTATTCTATAATGATATTTTTAATGAAATAGAAAAAAGTATGTATTTTATTTATAAAACTTTATTCTTTAAATCAGTGCTGTCAGCCTTTGTGTCTCTATCTGGTTCTACACCAGCTGGAGAATAAAAAGGGAAACCTTGATGTTCATGTAGATCGATGTAAGGAAACTATTATCTTCACTTCAGTATAAATGATCACATTATGGGTTGGATGTATATTGTTTGCATCAAGATACAAAAGCTCAATTGCTTGGTTTTTGGTTTGCACACAACCTTGTAAGTTCAGATGTAATTTCTTTTTTAATACTTATACATTAATTACGTTGTTTTCTTGCAAGAGTTTAGGTTGCTTTACTTTATGATAGGGTGTGATTCCAGACATTCTATCAAATTAAATGGACTTGGAGAGATATCAAATGCATAATTCAATGGGGAAGCAAATCTTTAAAGATAATCTAATTAGCTCTTAAAATTTTACAAATAAGCAGCAGAAGTTTGGAACCAATAAATACATACTCTGATTCCCATTGTAGAATATTAAAAATAATATAGGAAAACCAACTAACCATATAAGTGGTTTCAATTGGGCAATAATAATTTTCTTTGCTCATCTCTTATTGTGAATAAAAGTAGGATTAACAAAACTCTGGTTCTCATTACATTTAATGAATCATTTCCAGCTGTATATATAATTTTCTTAAGATTTCTAATTCCAGAATAGTAGACTGCAATCTTCCCTACAACTGCCTAACTCAGAAACAATATACCAATTATAAAAATAAATGAATAAGTATATATCATGCTTGAAAATAAGAAAGGGAAATATCAATAAACAAGAAACAAATGAATCCCTCACGAAAAAAAAAAAAAAAAAAAGGAAACTAGCAGGGAGGTAGAATCCGTAATTCCATGACTACCATTGGAAAAAGACAGTACACGTAGCCTATGTCATCTGGTAAAGCCCACAGCTGCACAAGGAAACTTCAGTTCAGATTACGCAATACAAGTTCTAGAAATCTGCTGTGAAACACAGTGCCTATAATTAACAATACTGTATTGTACACTTATTTTTCAAAATGTATAATTTTTGACATATATTCTCATTAGTTTTGAAGAAACTTCACAGGAATGGTAGTAACTGGACTTCTTTTGTTGTTTCTTTTTGTTTTTAAAATTCCCATTTTTTGTCGTTTTGTTTTTCATTATTTCTTTTTTAGCTTTTTGTGGGGGGAGTCTGAAACAAAAACCCTTTTTATTTATTCATTAAGAGGTTTCATGAATTTGCATGATTGTCTTTGTGAGTTACAGATTTGGCTCTCACTGTTATTCTATATTCTAAATGTATAAACAAAGGCTAAATATAGCAAATTAGGCTCAAATTCTTTAGGTTGAAAATTCTTCTGCTTCTTATGATTACAATATGATGATCTAACTCTTTGATGTCAGCTTCAATGTTAATACTCATTACATTTCTTTATTCATTCCAACTTGCTCTCTTGTGAACACTGCTTCCTCTGCAATCCCCTTAAGCAATTTACAAAACAGACTCCACTTTCAGACTGGTTCTCACCTTTGAGTTTGTGAACTTCCTTTTTATTTCCCTGGCTATACTGCCTTCTGAATAGAATTAGCTTGTCTTGTGGAATCTGCTTCATTCCATGGAGCCTTTGGCGCCTGGTCCACAGACTTCATTTTTACTACACCTTGATGCAAATGACAACACAAATATCACACGTACATGTAATCACGCCCTCACACTGTTACACTGTGGGCCTTACAGTCAGCCAACTCCCCCATTTCCAAAATTATTATTGGAAAACCTCATTTATTGAAATATCCAAACTCAACTTTCTGCCTGTATGAAATGCTTGTTCAGCTATTTCCACAACTTTTCTTTCTTTGGCCTTGTTGGGAGTTTTAGCTCACTAATATCTAATCAGAAATTCAATCTTCAACCTCAGTGTTCACACTGTCCATTAGTTACTTCCTTTCTTCACTTTCTTCTGTATTCAGCTTGAACTACATATGCGGTTATCTCAGTCACTCTCCTCCAAACCTGAAATTTTTTCCCCCATCATGAATAGCCCAACCATTTTCCACATTTCTACCTGAGCAAGTGAGCATTGTTGAAGGAAATTATACAACCACATTGGAATGATACTGTCATCAACTTTGTGTTCACCAATATAAATGATGCTTAAACTTTAAATGACATTCTCTTTTTCTAGTTGGAAAATCACTAATCATTCTATGTTTCACAATAACTTTAGGCCTTTCCATTCTACCTAGACTCCTAGCCACTTCAACTTTATCATAATCAGCAGAATTTCAGAAGTCTCTTACTTCCCAAAGAAAATAGAAGTCAGCATTTTGGAACTGCTTTCTCTTCCCCACCACTAAACAAAAAAAAATACCTCTCTGAATCCTTAGCCATCCTCTTTTTTTTTTTCTTGTCAAAATAGAGGAAGCATTCTTTCTCAAAAGCTGCCAAGAGCTTCCATTTTTTAATACATTTCTTTACTCTTTAGTGAGGCTTTACCACTTCAATAAGACTATACTGCCAAAGGAAACTTATACAATCTTAATTTGTTAAATTATTTGATTTTTCAGCAGCATGACCGTTTGTTTCTTACTACTCTTTGCTTGTTTTTACTGTTCTTTACTACCCAGTCTTATTTTCTCACTCTTTTTTTTCAAGACCTTTAAATATAATAAATGGTAAGCGTTTACTTAGATTTTTCTCTTCTCACTCTAACTTCCTCACATGATCATATCTATTTGCAGGAATTCAATCAATATCAATGAACCAAACATTTTTATGTTTGTTTTTTTCAGACAAGCCTTTTTTTCTGAATTAGATACCCATGCAATTATTTGCGTAGTTAACATTTACACTTGTTTTCCAAAGCATTTCAAATTTTACACGCCAAAGCTAAATTGTGATTCTCTTTTTCCAATCCTTTTTGCTCTCCACAATCTCCTATCATTGCCAAACAAGTCCTCAAGTCAGAAATATGGGAGTTCTTCTTAACATGATACTTCAAACAAATTATTATGTCCTCTCCATTTTCCTTCATTTGTTACTGTTCTCCCAACTCCACTGTACTCACCTGTCATCTCTTGGACTACTGCCATAGCCTTAGAACTAGCCTACCTTTATTCAAATACTTATTCCATTACTGACTTGATAATTGAAGAAATGGATAAGTTGCTCCAGTTATCACTGTTGGAACTGTTTACTTGCTACCTGGAAACTAGCTCCTACTCTAAAATCTGTGACCAATTTATTTCTTTGGATCCATAAAAGACATTGCAGGTTTAAGCCCTCCTTTTCTTAGTATTATGTAGCTCTATAGTCCCTTTTTGAACTGATTCACGAAGCTCTCTTCTCTCTTAATTTCACATAGTCTGTATGCTGGGAGAGACAGATCTTGAAATCTCTGTAGTACCAGGACGGGGGCAGTCCGTGTTTGCCAAGGTCCACTGCTCTAAGCTTCAGCATGACTTCTTGCTACTAGAGAAATAAGAATTATATGACCAAGATTAGAAAATAGGTCCAGTGGAGATTGTACAAGTGGAGCAAATAATATCCTTTCACATAAGTTCCAGCTCTGCTCATCATTGCCAGTGTCTCTATGTAGGTATATGGAACTGAAGACTACTTGGTTTCTTGTCATTTCTATACAGATGCTAATACGCACAGTTAGAACATGATTTCTTCTCCATACTCAGCTCATATAATTATCTGATATTATTTTTTTCTTGGTGCTGTGTCCTTGATTCCTATTGGAGGCTTGGCACCAAGCACTTGCTGGGCTGCTTTTAGATTCCCTTGGACTGCCTAGTTTCTGAGCCACCATTTGCAGCTGAAAGGCTGCTCAGAGCTTTTCTCTGGTCCTAGTAAAATTAGTTTTCTTTATTTTACAACGGGGCCTAGGTTTCAAAATGCTAGGCCCATAGTATTTCGTGTTGTTTTATTTTATTCTTATTTAGATGAAAATACTTACCCAATATAGAAAATTTAGAACTTCTAGAAAAGCATTCAGTCACAAGTCATACAGCACAAATATATACATATACTCACAGTCACTTGTCAGAGCACTAGCACTGAATTGAGGTCTAAATCTTGGATTTTAGGAAGATTTTGAAGTCATCTGATACTTTGTAACACTTTGAATATGGTGACACACAGCCTGATACCTCATGATCTCTGATGTTTATTGACCAAATGAGATCAATATGGAAGTAATATAGTCAGCTGAGGGAAAAAGACTCACTTGGTAACATATTTCATTCATTGATTATAAAATTATGACAAATGTTTATATTTTGTTTTATTCAAATATTATTTTAAATTGACTTTTTTAGCTGACTAAAAAAACTATGTGTTACAAAGAGGATTCTATATATCAATACATTCCAAAATTTAAAATTTATATAGAATAATAAAATACAAAGTAAGATAATACAAGACAATATATAAAATACTAATTCTAATAATATAAAATTACATGAAAGATCCTAGTCAACAAGGATATTGTATTGTTACTTAAAGAATAGAAAGATATTTTAATTCAATTGTACAGTGGTATTTTAGGAAGAGATTTATATTAAAATGAAATATTTGGACATTAGGGTACTTGAAGAACCATGTATTTAAGGTTAAAATTGATTTATTAAAAGAATGTTGATTTTCCTATTGAATATTATCATATCTCTCAATTGGCATGGCATATAAGTTACTAATTCCTTACATTCTCTTATAGAGAATTCTCTTATATTTTCTTATAAGAAAATTTTCCCATTATATGTGATATTAAATATAAGAAAATATATTTCGCTTATATAAAAGAATAAGCATTCTCTTACATATTGTTTTTACATAGCTACATAACAAGCACATATCAAAGTTTGTTATGAAGATCTACTTCTCATGAAATTAGTACATATTTTAGCAACTTCCCTTATACTACATTTTCTTCCAAAATCCTGCTCACTCACTATGTTTCCTGGAGCACTTTACTACTATATCTGCTTTACCAATAAATGACTCACCTGTTTCTTGGGGTGAATTATATTGCCTTTTCTACTTCACAGTTGAAAATAACTAAACAGTACATAAAATAGTCCAACTGGAGCTTTCTATTTGAGCATTGCTTTGGAATTATGCCAGCACTTCCTGAGTATTAGCTGCTCTACTAATGATTGTCTAATTCTCCAAATTGCAGTTTGAATTCCAGCTATTTTAGAACTAGAGATAGAAGAATTTAGATTTTTTCACAGGGATTGGAGAATTGCTTTTCTGAGCCAATAGGGGTTACTATGTGCTAGAAGAGTAAATAAGTTTGATATTGCCTATGGTTTAATAAGGCCCAGAGAAAGCCAATGGGATGAATATTATTATATCTATACAGAAACTTCATTATAATGGTCTTTAAAACTGTAGTTTAATTCCTTAATTTTCCCAATAGTTTAATTTGCTTGTCTTGCTTCCACTCACCAAAAAGCAATATCTAATTCATTCATTGGAGTTTGTCTTTGGGAGCAGTTCCATGGTGGGGACAATATACTAGCCCTGTCATCATGGCAGCTTCATTTGAATTCAGTAATAGTTTCAAGTTCATTTTATTTTTTTAAAACATAGAGTAAACTATAAAATGAGGCCATCTTTTTCTCTCAATGGAATTTTTAATGAATAGTTTAAATATCACACTAATTTGTGTTTTCTTTCCATCCTCGGAGCAAAGACCTAAGAGCAATGACCTAACAATCTGTATCATGATGTCATTAATCCCTCTGGTTCCAGCAGCTCTGGAGAAGAGCTCATCATTGACCTCATCCTTTATGTTTCTTTCTTTTTTAGCTATCTGCTGATGCTTAGGAATAGAGAGGTGCCAGCACTTAATATGGTTTTAGACCTCATTTTCAATAATGGTGTAATTCTCTATTTTAAAAAGTAACTAAATTGATAGAAAAAATGCTGATTAGGACTTGTAGTATGTTCAACAAACTCTTAATTGATGTATGACAGACTATTAAAGATATTGAGTACATAACCTTACACATTTCCTTTTTTGTAACAGTAAGATCAACTTTAAAATTGACATAATATTCTCTTTTAAGAGAACTCAACGTGAATTTAATCTTTTGCTAGAAACTCCACACCTAGAAAGCCATTCTTCTACATATATATGTGGAACATCTAACATGACACATACTTAAGTTAGGTGACCATGTACTTTACTGCCCAAATAGGAAAACTTGAGAGAAAAATGGTATGCTGTATTAAACTAGCCATAAATGGGAATGTTCCAGGAAAATGGAGACATAAAATTACCCTAAAAATAAGGATACAGTAGGCCAAATATATTACTGAACTTGACTTTCGTGAAGTAAAACCTGAGTTCTGCCATGATTACTAGAATTCTCTAGAGATTCTCTTTTTATATATTTTTAGACTTACTTGAGTGAAATCCCAACTCTGCTATTACACACTTTTGACAAATGAAAATTTGCTAAGTTTGTCAAGAAATATACCATACTCCAAGAAATCTCTTGCTTGACTCTCATGGGTTTCTCTTTGTTCTTTTCTAGTTAGTTTGTTTGTTTTAAATTAGATTCATGGAAGTATAAGTTACATAGAGTAAAATCAATCATTTTTAGGTGTACAGTGGCATGAATTTTCCCATCATCATCAAGACATAGAACATATCCATCACCCTATGAAGTATCTTTATGGTCTTCAGTAGCCACTCAGACTCAGGAACTGGCGATTACTGACCCATCCCTTTTCAGAATGTGATATAAATAAAATTATATAGTACATATGTTTTTGAGTCTGGCTTCTTTCACTGTGTGAAATGCATTTAAGATTTCTGTTATCACATAAACCTGTAGTTGGTTGCTTTTTATTGCTTTTTTTGTAAAGTAGTTTTCCACTGTTTCTCTATTTACCGGTTATATTTGTGTTGCTTTCTGTTTGGGTAATTATGATTACAACTACTGCAACTTTCATATACAGACCTTTGAGCAGACATTTGCTTTTATTATCTTAAGTAAACAGGATTGTTGTGTTGTGTGATAAGCATATGCTTAATTTTATAAAGAACTACAAATTTGTTTTCTAAAGTGACTGTACTATTTTTCGTTCCACCCATCCCCCACAGTGTATGAGAATTATAGCTGTGCTGCATCCTCATTAGCAAACGTATTGCCATTAAAATTATTTTTTATCCATAATTGTAAGAGTGTAGTAGTATCTCAATGTAATTTTAATATTTATTTTCCTATTGGGAGTAATGTTGAGATATGCTTATTTATCATTTGTATACCTTCTTTGGTGAAACATCTGTCAAACTGTTTACCTATTTTTAATTTTTGCCTTGTTTTCTTTTTATTGAATTGAGATTTTTTATATATTTTAGAAATCAAACCTTTTTTGTGTTTTGCAAATATTTTCTCAGTCTATGGCTTGTTTTCATAGTTTCTTAGGTGCCTTTTAAAAACAAAAATATTAACTTTGATAAAGTTTATCAGTAATTTTATTTATTATTAATACTTTTTGTGTCCCACCTAGGAAATCTTTGCTTGTCCAAGCTTGTAAAAACTTTCTCTTGTATTTTCTTCAAGGAAACTTAGATTTTGTATTTTACACTTATGTGTATTATCTATTTCGTATCTTTTTTTTCCTTATGAATGTCCAATTGTTCCAGCACCAACATTTTAAATTTCATCAATTTGCTTATTGTTGATATGTGTCAGTTTCCTTCTTATGCCCTTGCCAATTTTTCTTTTCCTTTAATCCAACAAGGATGTAAATGTACCACTTAAATTCCTATCTTGCTAGATAGTGAAACCAGAAATTTCCAGCCTATTTTTCTTGATTACTCTGAAAAACGTAAATAAAAACCTAAGAGAAAAAGAAAAAAATATAGATACTTTGTTCTTTATTTCTACCTTAAATTACAGGATTTGCCTTGCCAAAACAATTAAAAAGTAACTATGATTTTCTTTACTTCTTACCATGATTTTTCTCTTCTTCTCTTTAGACATTTTGCCTGAAAAAGGGACATTGATCTTTTTCCTCCGAGTTTTGTTTTCCTGAATAAATTTGCTGATCTACCCCTGTTTGGTATTGTGTCATATCATGTCCACTTCTACTGATAGACTGCAGATAAACTGTTACCTTGCTGTGCTCCCCTTGGTTTTTAAATTGTGTTCTTTACACTGCTAAATGAAATGCACCGTAATTTGGGGAGCAAAATCTGGAGACATTAGCCTTTGGAATTAAAAGAAAATTAAGCATCACCATGCATACTGTTGACCTGAAGCACTTATCAGAATAGTACCCTAAGAGATGAATTAATTAAAGTCGGATTCAGATCCTGTCTCTTTAAAAAAGAACCACTTCCACTGAAATAGCAATAAAAGTTAGCTATAATCTTGAATTCACCTTGGGAAAAAGTAATCAATTGTGTTCTAAATGCCAAATCTAACAAACCCTTTCTTACTGAAACTTCTTAATCACTAGGTACTGATAAAATTGTTTATCTGTATTTTTCTTTATTATTCATACTTTCTGTGTCCTACCTAGGAAATCTTTCCTTATTCAAAACTGAAAAATTTTTCTCTTATGTTTTCTTCAAGAAATCTTAGATTTCTACTTTTATATTTATGTGTATTATCTATGTGTTTTGTCTTTTTACTTTTGCTTATGGATGTCCAATTGTTCCAGCACCAACATTTTAAATTTACACCAATAAATTTATACAAATTTATACCAATGTATAAAAACTTTGCTCATTATTTTCTTTCTTTATAATTATTTTTCTATCATAGAAATGACCCTTGATAGTTTTATAAAACATGGAAAATGCACAAATATAAAAAAAGAGCACAATAAAGGAATTTGTTAAAAATCATCATTTAGATGTAATTAAATTTTTGTGCATGCACATGGCATACATTATATATATGCACACTCTATATGTGATATAATATTTATATAAAGCTATATATGACATATGATATAATAAATATTAAAGATTATACTAACATACATTATGCATTATATAATATATTAAACAGTTGTATATAAAGCAAATGATTTAAAGTGATAGGTATATATTAGTAATTGATTTGTATATCCAATATAGTGTTTTCAAGTGTTATTATAAAATTATAACAGAATTATTTTCATGGAGAAACTCTTTTTAATATATAATTATGTCCTTATAAGTATTTAAAAGTGGGAATATTAGGTTAAAGAACATATATGGTTTTAAGGCTGGGCATATTTTACCAAGATTACTTTCCCAAATAGTTGTACTTCTATATTCTTCCAACATCAGTGATAAGAATACATGTTTTACAGTACGTGGATTGTTTTGAATAATATCATGCTTTAAAATAAATGTTAGTAATGACACATAATTCTTGATTATCACTTTCGCTTAACATATCTTCCATTATTACTGAAAGTGAGTATTCTTTCATATGATTATTAGTCTTGTGGATTTTTTCTTCTGTGAATGGATTGTTTACGCCTTTTTTGTTTTTTTCCTTCCTGCTGAACACTATCTCCTTGAAATGTACTCCTACTTTCATTTCTATAAAATCATATTTTGACTTTCTCTCTAGATCTGAGAAGCTTACTTATCAAACTCAGCATGAGTTGACCTTCCTGGGAATCAGTAGTGAATCCTATTATTTTGCATGTGTGTATGTTAAATTTGAGGGAAGATACTTGAATACCAATCAAGATCTTCTCCCAAATTTACCTTCCATATTTGTATGTCATTGGAAAAGCATAGCAGTTTGAGTTGTAAGAAGTAGGCTTTTAGAATAGGAGATGGTATGAGTTCTAAAGCCTTGCTTTGCTTGTCAAATATTAGCTCTTTAAGAATAGTAGTATGAAGTGTGTGCCATCAACAGTGAACAGGAAAGCAACAAGATAATTCTGCCCAGGCTACCTGAAATAGGATTAGAACAAGAGGGAAAGCCACTTGTATGTGACTTTGAGAAGAGGTACTGTGTCCTTCTTCCCTTCTATGGGAGTACACTAGAACACTCAACAAGACTGAAGAAACTTGAATAAATGCAATCTGGGACTAAAGTACCACTCACTTTCCAATATGTAGCCTGAGGATCTTAGTAAGCCTTGGAGAAAAGCCCCAGGTCAAATGAGACATTGTACTAGGAGAATACTGTATAGATGTTTGCCTGAAGCATTGAGTTGAAGGGCCTAGGGACAACCTCACAGAGTTCTGTTTACTTCAAAATTCTGGAATTTACAACAGAAATAGCCCCTACCCTGGAAAAGAGTACAGACACAAATAGGGAGAGAAAGAAATTGAAAGCATACAGTAGGCCACCTGTATTGGTGCTATAGCCACTCCTGCCTGGAAAGGCGTTTCCAATGTCACCAACCCCCTTCTATATCAACACTTAGATACTATATTTTGGAATTTTATTTCAATTATTGTTCTCATTTTCTGGTCTTAGGTAAATTCTAAGCTCATTAAGAGCAAAAGCTAAATTCCATTCACTTCTTAAACAATCTCTCATGACTTAAATCTTATCTGTAACATAGTAGGTATTCAAATATGAAATACCTTAAACTTAATGTAGTCTTTTTGGGCAAACTTTTAAGGGGAAGAAACATCTGATTTGGCTGTGTCTTCATTCCATCAACTGCTTTCAAGGCTCCACTCTGACTTCATGATGAAGACAGATTAGAAGGCAGGAAATAGAATATATGCTAATGTTTTTAAAACTTAACTACTACTATTATAGCCCAGTGAATATCTTAGGTCTCTCATCATCTGAATTGCCAACTTCTATCCTAGAAGAGAAGCAGGAAAGGAATAGGCAGATATAGGACTAGTGGGAGAAGGCACAGAAATATTATTTCCCCTCTGGATATTATTATTCCTATTTAATAGCTTAGAAAGCAGAAGATAGAATATTGTCATTTTATCACAATCACAGAGCTATGACATAGCAAAGTCAAAATGCAAAGCCTGATTTATCTGGCCTCAAACAACATACTCTTGCCCCTACATGAGGACTTCTCAGTAAGTGTAGGAACAAATAATAGGTGGAATGTTATGCTGATTTGATTCTTTCAGCCCTAAGATCAACTAGACAAAGCCTAGGGCTGTTGGAATCCTTGGCTTATTGTCTCTGACATGAGCTGTCTCATCAAATAACCCCAGAGTATACAAATATTATATTTTTCTGTCTATTTTGATGTAAAAATTGCTGAAAGTCATCACATACTATCATACTGCATTTCCAATAAGTTTTTAGGTAAGTATAAGGAGCTGAAGAAGCAAAACCTGGCTACAAAGTGTATACTAAAAGATAAACAGAGAAAAGATGGAACTTTAGACAGAATACTATCAGAACAGGTGTATTTTTCTGAGATACACAGTAGGTGAATGGCAGGCTACCAGTTTGCAACATGTATAAATTGAGTGAGCAGAAAGCAGTGGAACTTTAGCTAGGCAAGTCTAAAATTAAAAGGAAGTGAGAAGTCTGGGAAAAATATTTACAAAAGGATCAGATATTACAATTAGTAATAATGTTTGAAGGGTCAGGAATAAGGTTTTTGCCAACTTGTGACTAATATCAGGATCCCTACTTTCTATGGATATATTACTCTTCTAATGTTAAATATCCTCATTGGAATCTTATTTATACTATAAATTTTCTCTGCAGAGTTTTCACCATATATGTATAAAATTCAAAAACTTCAGATTTTAAATGCCACACATTTCAGATGATGATAGCTAAGCAAATGAAATGTAAATTTCCCTAATTTTTCTAATGCCATACTTTATTTTTTATGTCACTTAGGCATCTGGGGACATACAAAGAAGGCAGTCTGGTTCACAGACCTCCAAGGAATGGTATGTATTCCATGGATAGTGGAGGCTTCTGAGGACAGACTGGCCCAGGATTCAGGTATTGTTAGAGTAGATAGCTAAGCAGACATAAGCAGGGAGGAGAGGGTCCTCACCACCCAGGAATGTCAGGTGATCATCGGGTCATAGTCAGGTTGCAGCTGGTGCCAGGGAGAGACAGTGTCCCTGTAGATAAAAAACACCTGGAGCTGATGATCAGCAGCTTCTCTGTAAGATCTCAGGAGGTGGGCAAGTGGGCTCAAGCATGCATATCTAGGCAAGATGATAGAGTTTAACTGGTATATGACCTTTCTCTAGGGACACTTGACTGGTGGGGGAAAAATGCCTCAAATGAGCATGTGCACAACTTCAGTAAACACACTGTGCATGCAGCCCCTCCCAAGAGCTGGCAGGCTAACGTGCGTGACAGCCTGCCCCAAGGGAAAAATCAAGGGAGGAGAAATACAAATCCCAGAACCATGTCACTGTATAAAACTCCAAGTAAAGAGTTGAGCAGGGCACTTGGATATCTGAAGAGACCCACCTGGCCTTCTTCCTAGGGTACTTTGCTTCCTTTTGTTCCTGCTCTAAAATTTTTAATAAACTTTCACTCCTGCTCGAAAACTTGCCTCAGTCTCTCACTCTGCCTCATGTCCTTCAGCCAAATTCTTTCCTCTAAGGAGGCAGGGATGGAGTTTGTTGCAGATGTGCCAGATTCACCACTGGTAATGTTGTGATTTGGAGAAGGAGATTTTCATTAAGATGATGGCAATGAGCTTCAGCCCACCACTACGATATTGTATCCAGATTCCCAGCAGTTACTTTGTCCCTGTTTCTAAAATAATTCTCATCTCTTGGAAAGTTTTACATAGTGGACAAGAACACTGGAAATAAAACCAAATTGCTTAGATTCGATCCTGGATGAATAACACTGGCAGATAACTTAATCCTTCTGTGCTTCAATTTATATCCAAATGGAAATAATTATTATAGTACAGCTAATTGAAAAACAAAACTCTGTAAAATATTGTAAAGAGGTTTATTCTGAGCCAATATGAGTGACCCTGTCCTGGGGAACAGTTTCAAGAAGTCACGTGAAAGTGTGCTCAAAGTGGTTGGGTTACAATTTGGTTTTACACATTTTGGGGGGATAGGAATTACATGCAAAGATATCAATCAATACATGAAAGCTATACCTTGGTTCAGCCCCAAAAGGCAGGACATCTCTTGATGGTGGGGGTGGGCGTGAGATGGGTGGGGAGGATTACACGTTATAGGTGGATTTTGGGGATTCTTTAGTTGACAATTGGTTGAGAGAGTTATGCTTGAAGTCAGTAGAAAGGAATGGTTGGGAGTTGTGGGGAGCCAAGGCTCTTGTTATGTAGATGAAGCTTCATAGGTAGCTGCCCTCAGATAGAATAGATGGTAAATGATTCTTTTCAGACTTCATAGTTGTCAGACTCTCAATTAATCTTTACTACACCTGGGAAAGTCTTAGTAAGGAAAAGCCTGGAAGCATTGATGGAGATTTAATGATGCAAGTTTTTCCCACAAAAGATGGCTTTGCAGGGTCATTTCAAAATGTGTTAAAAATACATTTTGGGGTAAAATATTTTGATTTCCTTCAGGGTCTGCTATCTTTCATGTGGTTTTATATGAGTCCGTTTGGAAAGTAAGCCACATTTTACTGGGTTAATTTAAAAGAAAAACATTTAATGAGATTTTATGGTTGGTAGGGCATGACTTAACCATTGCCTTGCAAGGTCTTAAGTCCTGTTCATAATTTAGTATCTTATTGCCACAAAGAGTCTGTTTTGTCAGACTTGTGATCTGTATTTTATCCTTAATTCTGGTCAGTTTTATCTAACTCCAAAAGGGAGTGAGTTTACAAGGCATATCCAACCTGTCTTCTTGTCATGGCCAGGAATTGAGACTTTGGGGTTTCTCTGGGGTCTCCTTGTACAAGAAGGGGTCTGTTGAGTTCGTTGCGGGGCTTAGGATTTTACTTTTGGTTTACAGTACATACCTCATCATGTTATTATAAGAATTAAATAAGTTAATACATGCAACATGCTGAGAACTATCCCTGACATATAGTAAACCTTTAACAAATGTTAACTATTTTTAATATCACCTTATGAAAAACTAGCTAGAGTCCTTAACCAAAATGCAGGCTTTAATGTTAAATTTTTGGGAAATACTGATTTTTTTATTAGCATTTCATGATCTAAAGTCTTAGCAATTAATTTACAATCTGCAATCCTCCCAAACTGCTTTGCATCCCATATTTTAAGAGCATATGTGTTCTCCAATAGTCACTGTACTAGTCAGGGTTCTCCAGAGGGACAGAACTAATAGGAGATATATATTGTTGTGTCTCCTGGTGGCAGTGTTCCTTCCTCTGGAACTAAGACCTCTAGGCCAGCAGAATGTAATGTCGCAGTAACAGGAAGCAAAAATTTTGTTAGTGGATCACTAGGGGTGATGGTGAGTGGTGCCACTTCCACATCCACCCCTTGATTCCTGGACCCATGAATCCTGGCTATGGGAGAAAAAATACCATGTATTGGATGCTGATTCTGAGCACACATGGCCTTCTAAAGAACTATGCTCCAGCTCTGCAAAGTATTGTCGCCTAGTTGGCCTTATTGTGATTTCAAAACACCAGTCCACTGTTCTATCAATCTAGCTGCTTCAGGATGATGAAGAACATGGTATGACCAGTAATTCCATGAGCATGAGCCCACTGCCACACTTCTTTAGCTGTGAAGTGAGTGCCTTGGTCAGAGGCAATGCTGCGTGGAATACCGTGATGGTGGATAAGACATTCTGTGAGTCCACAGACAGCAGTCTTGGCAGATTCATTGCGTGTGGGATAGGCAAACCTGTATCCGGAGTAAGTGTCTATTCCAGTGAGGACAATTCTCTCACCTTTCAATGATGGACAAGGTCCAATAAAATCAACCTGCCACTAGATAGTTGGCTGATCACCCCAAGAAATGGTGCCATATCAAAGGTTCAGTGTTGGTCTCTGTGGCTGGCAAATTGGGCACTCAGCAATGGCTGTAGCCAGGTCAGTCTTGGTGAGTGGAAGTCCATGTTGCTGAGCCCATGCATAACCTCCATCCCTGCCATCATGGCCACTTTGTTCATGGGCCCACTGAGTGATGATAGGAGTAGCTGAGGAAAGAGGCTGAGTGGTGTCCATAGAACATGTCATCGTATCCACTTGATTAGTAAAATCCTCTTCTGCTGACATCATCCGTTGGTGAGCACTCACATGGGATACAAATATCTTCACAGTTTTTTACCACTTAGAGAGGTCCAACCACATACCTTTTCCCCAATTTTGTCACCAATTTTCCAGTCATGCTTCTTCCAAGTCCCTGACCATCCAGCCAAACCATTGGCTACAGCCCATGAATCAGTATATAATTGCACATCTGGCCATTTCACCTTTCATGAAAAGTGCACAGCCCAGTGCACTGCTTGAAATTCTGCCAACTGGGAAGATTTCCCTTCACTGCTGTCCTTCAGTTCCAAGAAAGTGGCTATAGTGCTGCAGCTGTCCACTTTCTGGTTATGCCTGCTTATCGTGCAGAACCATCTGTGAGCCAGGCCCTAGTCTTCTCTTCCTCTGTCAACTGATCATAGGGAACTCCCCATGAGGCCACTGGTGCAGGCTGAGGAAGAGTAGGCAGGTAGGCAGGAGTGGAGAACATGGGCATTTGAGCCACTTCCTCATGTAACTTACTTGTGTCTTCAGGACCTGCTCGAGCCCGATCACATATATACCACTTCCATTTGATGATGGAATGCTGCTGTGCATGACCCACTTCATGGTTAGATGGGTCAGAAAGCACTCAGTTCATGATAGGCCGTTCAGGTCGCATGGTGACTTGGGTCGCATTTGACCCATTATCAAATGTTCAGTTTCTACCAGAGCCCAGTAACAGGCCAAGAGCTGCCTCTCAAAAGGAGGGCAGTTATCTGCAGAAGATGGCAGGGCCTTGCTCCAAAATCCTAGAGGCCTCTGGTGTGATTCACCTTTGGGGGCCTGCCAAAGGCTCCAAACAGCAGCCTTGTCTGCCACTGACACCTCAAGCATCATTGGATCTGTTGGGTCATATGCCTCAGGTGGCAGAGCAGCTCACACAGCAGCCTGGACCTGTTGCAGAGCCTTCTCCTGTCCTGGATGCCACCCAAAACTGGCAGCCTTTCGGGTCACTGGATAAATGGGCTGGAGTAACACACCCAAATGAGGAATATGTTGCCTCCAAAATCCAAATTGGTCCACTAAGTGTTGTCCCTCTTTCTTGGTTGTAGGAGAGGCCAAATGCAGCAACTTATCCTTCACCTTACAAGGAATATCTAGACAGGGCCCACACCACTGGACCCCTAGAAATTTTACTGAGGTTGACGGTTCCCTGAAGTTTAGTCAGATGTATTTCCCCTCCTCTGGCATGAAAATATCTGACCAATAAGTTCAGTGTGTTTACTACTTCTTCCTCAAGGATTCCTTCCAATCAGCATAATGTCATCAATGTTATAGACCAGTGTTATATATTGCAGAAGCAAAAAGCGATCAAGTTCTCTCCAAATAAGATTATGGCACAAAGCTGAAGAGTTGATATACTCCTGAGGTAGAACAGTAAATGTATATTGCTGACCCTACCAGCTGAATGCAAGTTGCTTCTGGTGGCCTTATGGATAGGAATGGAGAAAATGCATTTGCCAAGACAATGGCTACATACCAGGTATCAGGAGATGTGTTAATTTGTTCAAGCAATGAAACCGCAACTGGTACAGCAGCTGCAACTGGAGTCACTACTTGGTTAAGCTTATGATAATCCACTGTCCTTCTCCAAGATTCATCTGTCTTCTGCACAGGTCAAATGGGAGAGATGAATGGGGATGTGGTAATCACTACCCCTGCATCTTTCAAGTCCTTGGTGGTGGCAGTAATCTTTGCAATCCTTCCAGGGATGGAATATTGGTTTTGTTTACTATTTTTCTAGGTAGAGGCAGCTCTAATGGCTTCCATTTGCCCTTTCCCACTATAATAGCCCTCACCTTACCCGTCAGGAAGCCAATGTGGGGGTTCTCTCAGGTGCTAAGTATGTCTATGCCAATTATGCATTCTGGCACTGGAGAAATGACCACAGGATGAGTCCAGAGACCTACTGTAAGCCAGACCTGAGCTAAAACTCCATTAATTCCCTGATTTCCATAAGCCCCTACTTTAACTAGAGGACCACAATGACATTTTGGCTCCCCTTTAATCAACATCAGCTCAGAGCCAGTGTCAAGTAGTCCCTGAAATATCTGACAATTTCCCTTTCCCCAATGCACACTTACCCTGCTAAAAGGCCAGAGGTCTCCTTGGGGAAGGATGGGAGAAAGATTCACTGCATGAATTGTTGGTGGTGTAGTGGGGTCCTTCCTCAAGGGGACCCAGCATCCCCTTCATTCAAGGGGTTTTGGGTCTGTAAACTTGCTCAAGTCTGGAAATCGATTGAGGGACGGTGATTCTGTTTTTGTAATCAAATTAGTCTTGTATCCATTCGACCTAGAAGTTTTCTGCTTGTATAAATTAACTAAGAATGCAGTAGGCTTCCTATCAATTTCACTTCTAGGAACACAGTGTCTAATTAGCCAATGCCAGAGCTCTACACAAGTCAGATTATTCTGATTGCCGCTTTGCCTCTGCTGTCTATTACAGTAGATATGCCCACCTTGTCTTTCACAGTTGAGTGCTGCCACTTGGTCCCTGCCACCTCAGGATCCAATTATTCCTATTGTATTTAAATTTTGTAGTTGAGTTACTGCAGTTCCCACTGTTAGGTCTGATATACAGAGAAGAGCAATTACAGGGTTCTTAAAAGATGCAGGTGCTGCTCTCGCAAATCTATTTTGCAAGGCATTGGTGAAGGGTATATCTTCTGGACCCTCCCGGCTGGGACGAGTAGGTCTAAGATGACTAATCGACTCCACCATCCCAATCTCCCTAAGCCTTTAAATCCCTTCCTCTGCATTAAACCAAGAGAGATCAGGCATTTCCAGCTCCCTCACAGTGGGCCATCTTTTAATCCATATTTCAGCGAACCAAGCAAATAAACTATTAGAAACATTTTTAACTACCTGAGCTGCAACATTAAAAGCAGAGTCCCTACTTAGTGGGCCCAAATCAATAAATTCAGCCTGATCCAACTCTATGTTCCTTCCACCATTATCCCATACCCTTAATATCCTTTCCCATGCCTGTTCTCTTGATTTCTGCTTATATAGAGAACTCAAACAGTTCTTTTTGACTGTAGTGCACCTTCTCATGGGTCACACTCTCAACTTACCTCTAGGGGCCTACTAGGACTTTAGTCCAGTTATAGATCTAGAAGCAAACAGGGATGTTGGGGGTGGTTCCTGAGGAGAATCAACATTATCTTACCTGGCAACTGCCTCAGGAAAGGCCAGCACTATTGCCTCAGGAAGCACAGGGTTTATCTCCTCAGACAAAGATAGAAAAGCTGATGGCAGCATGGGTCGGTGGGGTGGGGGGATGGGGGGATGTTGCCACTACTGGTAATGGGGAAGCTGCTCCTTCTGGCAAAAAAAGTTCATCAGTTTACAAACTCAGTGTCCCCAGCTTCATTAGGGTCCTCTCACACATCTCCATTCCAAGTTGCAGGGTCCCATTCTTTTCCAATCGATGCCCTCACTTTAACAGTAGACACCTGATTAGGCTGTGCATGCATCTTTCATTGCAGGTCAGCCACTTGCATGGTAAGAACTTGGGTCTGTTTTTCCACAGTTTCAGGGCTTTCTTCACAGGAGATAAGACTCTCACTCAGGGCAATCTTAGCAGACTTGAGGCTCAGTATCTGCTTCTGAACCAGGGAGACAGAATCCCTGATTTCATCATTTTCTTTGATCACTTTGTTCACTGAACTTAGCAGTATACAACCGGCTGCATTATGTTCCTTGTTTCTCCACATATGATCAAATGTATTATATATGGAGTCACTAAACTCTTTGCCTGGTACCACTCCTGGTACTAAACCACTTCTGGTACCAAAATCTGTATCACTCAGGGTTCTCTAGAGGGACAGGACTGATAGGATATATAAAGGGTAGTTTATTAAGTATTAACTTACCTGATCACAAGGTCCCACAATAGGCTGTCTGCAAGTTAAGGAGCAAGGAGAGCCAGTCCAACTTCCAAAACTGAAGAACTTGGAGTCTGATTTTTGAGGTCAGGAAGCATCTAGCATGGGAGAAAGATGTAGGCGGCGAGGCTAGGCCTGTCTTATCTTGTCACGTTTTTCTGCTTGCTTTATATTCGCTGACAGCTGATTAGATTATGCCCACCAGATTAAGGGTGAATCTGCCTTCCTCAGACCACTGACTCACATTTTAATCTCTTTTGGCAACATCCACACAGACACACCCAGATCAATACTTTGTATCCTTCAATCCAATCAAGCTGACACTCGGTATTAACCATCATAGCCACACATCAAAACTTTTCATTTAGAGACAAACTTGAGAACTTTCTTGTTTCTATCCCTTACTTAGATAAGGTGCTAAAGTACAAAGTCCATAAACTGTCTCTTAAAATGTGAAAATTTCCTGAATATAGTGGAGGGCATTGCAATGCACTATACAGAATAAAACCAAGGAAGGTCATTAAGAAATAGCAAAGTCGTGGAAAATATAAAACCTTATGAAGATTCCAAGTTAGAATGAAGAAAAACAGGGAGAAAGTTGAGATTCACAAGCTATCTTCTTTGCAGAGCACTTCACTCTAAAGTCTGTTGAATAGTATCATGCCCATTTTTAATATTGGTTCTTTGCAGTATAAACAACTCTTAACCATCTTTCTCACATGATTGTGTGGGGAGATATTTTTCTATGCTGTATAAATGGCAGAACACATTTTTTGGCAGTATTCCTGAGTGAGTCACAAATAGCCCATTGTCCAAAAGCATCTCCCCACCTACACAATCAAAGATAATTATTTCTACAGTATGTTATCTTTTCTAACTTTATATAAGTGAAATGAGAGACAGAATAACTTAAAGACAGACTTGTTACTTCACAGCCTGATCTAGGCCTGACTTTCATAATTACAGTGAAATTTTCTTTACTTTGAAAGACTCAAAAGAGTTGATCATGTCACCTCAAGTAGTCTCTCTGGGAATGCTGAAGGGCAGAGCATATCTTTCTTGATCTAAAATGGAGGACTGGATAAAGTTATTACTATTTTCACAGTCACCTTATAAGCTGAGAGTAAGGCACACATTAGGACGACTGTGCGCTGGTGTTTTACTGAATGCTCCGAGGACTGCTCTGTGCAAATAATATTTCCGTAATGAAAACGTAAACAAAACCTAAGCCTAATAAACAAACTATTTACTTTAAAAGATGCAGGAAATCAAGGGTAATGTCAATACAGGCATGGCTATGCTGAAGAAACTGTGAACTTCAACCTATCAGAGTAACTTGGCACCATTTTGAGGCAGGAAAATAGGGTCTGGAGGCCAGGAACAGAAGGCCGATTCACACTTCAGCTATGACAAGAAATAACCTTTCTATAGGGCATACACTGAGTAAATGACTTTGGAACTTTACTTCATCCTCTTCATTTACATAGGTGTACCCCAAGTAAAGGGCATTTAAACTCCCAAGAATTCTGTAGCAGGGCTATTGAGCCCTTATGCTTGGGCCTGCTCCTACACTGTGGAATGTACTTTCATTGTCAATAAATCCCTTCATTCCTTCTTTGCTTTGTTTGTGCGTTTTGTCCAATTCTTTGTTCAAGATGCCAAGAACCTGGACACCCTCCACTGTTAACACTTCATTACATACAATATCCTTATAAAGTTGTTACTGAAACCCTATATGGGGAACTAGCTTATCCTTACACAGGTTCAGAGAAGATTAGTTCTTCTGACAAATGTACAAGTTGTTTGGAGAAATAATATTAATGTACATAAAATATTATCAGAATGTCTAAATTAAATGTATGCAACTTGATAACACCTATTAGTGCTCCATAAATTCATGAAAGAGGAATATCATTAAGCCACAGAGAAGATGATGGAAAAAAGTAGACTAAGTAACTAGTTTGAAGGAGGCATGCTACCTAGGCAAGAGGAGTGTTCCTTAATCAAACACTCCTCTCGCCGGGGTGGCATGCCTCATCACTTCCCCAGGAAAGTGTAAGAATTTCTATCTACCCATAACTGCTGTACATGGCCTATTCTTCTCCTTTACAAATGTGAATATTTATTGATACTATCCCATTTCTGTACTACAGTTGTCTATTGGGGATGTCATGGGCATACAATTAACATTAACTTTTTAATTAACAAATGTGTAAATCAAGAGCAGTCATATCCTGATATGATATCAATACAGAATATCATATGAACAGAGACTTTGAACTTGGGCATTTTCTCTCTTGGAGATGGAGTGAGTCTATTTTGTCAGCAGAAGGAAGGAAAGTCCTTATTTGTGACAAAGAGAGTAGACTGTAGTAGACTAATAATATTCAAAATATTAGCTGTTTTTCTTTATGGAAGTATTGTACATTCCAGTTCCTTCAACATAAGGTTTAGCTGTCGGATTTGCTGTGCCTCTCCATTGAGGAAAAGATACATCCCCATCCTACTAATATTAGGTTTCACCACTGATTTGTCTTGTCTATTGAAATGTAAAGAGATGTGAAATGTGCTAATTCCAAGCAAAAGCTTTAACAGCCCCTACCAAAGTGCTCTCCTCCCTGACACCCCCAAAAAACAAGAATGTCAATGTCCCAAGGGAAACTATTCTATCAGTCTGGGTACTAGAATGGCGGTTACGTAGAGAGATCCACAGAGAGTTGAGATTACCACGGCATGAGTTAGAAGTAAACATTTTTTGTTGTGGACCACTAAGAACCACGGATTGTTTATTATTGTACCTTAAATTAACAAGGTGCCTGATATAGGGTGGTAGGCTTGGCCTTGGTGGAAGGGAAGACCATCCTAATATAGCAGGCAGGCATGAGTAAAGGAAAAACACAAGACATTTTTAAGGAGCAATGAAGAAGTAAGGCTGAATAGAACAGAAGTGTTACAAAGAAGTGAGGCGTGAACATTTGTGTGTGTCATTTTTAGGCAATGAGAAATCTGCAAACTAGGCAAGGGGGTTTATACTTCATACTGTAACATTTATGAACATTCAGACTTCTAGGCAGGGGCTCACAAAATGAAAATACATGTCATAATAATTAATTTGGCTGTTGTAAGCCAGAAAGAATGATTGGGTGAGAAAGCAACAGGAATTCTGGAAAAGCCAAAGAGCTGTTAACAGTAGTTCAATTATGGGTGAAATAATAAGACCCATATTTAAATGTTGTCAGTGGAGACAGAAAGGAGGTAAAGAACAAAGTAATTATTTCAAGCAGAACTATGGAATTCCTGGCCATGAATAGAATATAGAGAATAAAAAAAAAGGAATGAGTCAAAGATGATTTATAGTCATATCTAAGGGGCTGGGAAAATGGAAACACCATGAATAGAGGTGGGTAAATTAGAAGGACTAATTTTAAGTAAAAATGCTGTGTGCTTGGAGTGGATATGTTTCCTTTTTATATTTGAAATGAACCATCCAGTGGAAAACTGGAGAGCTCTACTGCCAGGATCAGAGATCAGGCCCCATGGTGAAAATCTGTGAGTCATCTACACAAGGGTTATCACTAAAGCCAAGAAAATAGATGAGTCTTCTGAGAAAAAAACGAGCAAAAGTAAAGAAGCTTAAATGAGAAGCAACAGCTGGATGTCACAGGGAGCCAGAGAAGTTATAGTATCAAAGAAGTTAGATATGCATATACACTAGACATATATAATGTCAGATTTATTTTTTACAAAATATAGTTTCTTTAGGATTGTCTGAAGCATGAGATAGAACAAGAATAGAGAGGATAAAAAAGAGTCCTTTGGATACGACAATTCTTATTTTTTGTTTAAAGTGTCATTTAGTGATGAAGAGAATTGAGAAGGCTCTTGAAGTTTAAACATGGCATACCATAACCATTGGAAATCAAAGATACTGAAGAAAAGATGGAAGAGGATAAGTGTGAAAGAAGTAAAATTTTTTGTCTACCAAGAATGAATGCACTTAGGGACACAGGTGGAAGGAATAGTTAAGTGGATAGTGTCTCCACTTTATTTGACTCTGCGGGTCTGTGTGAAAATATTAAAAATAGCCAACATATATTGAGTCCTTACTATGTGTGAAGCATTGAATGGAGCACTTGACATATATTTAGTTATTTTAATCATGTAAATAACCTTATTGGTTAAGTATCTTTATTATGATCCCCCACTTAGAAAAAACCCAAGGCAGTTAAAAGTAAAAATTAACATACATTACCAGTAAGTGGAAGAATTGGGAGTCAAATCCATGAGTTAGGATTCAGAACTACTACCCTAACTCACTATTTTAGGATGAAAATAATTGCTGTTGAATTTGAAACTAGGAAAAGTCAGTGAGGCCATTAAAACAAGCAAATTGAGGGGACTAGCAGGTTTTTAATCAAACTCTAACTAAATGCATGTATCTGTTCTAGTACCTCCCATTTTAAATACTAGAAATTTCATAATAAAAGAAACATATCTTTTTTATGTAGTAATTGATGGAGCACAGTTCTTCATAATTTATGATTTACCTCTACTATATCATTTGACATGATCTTTATAGCAAATTATGTAAAGTACAATATTGCAAATCTTTTTTTTCTTTGCAGATGAGAAAAATCTGAAGAGGGGGAAGAGCTTAAGTTTGCCAAAGGTGCTCTGTTAGAATGTGACAGAGCTGGAACTCAGAGTTACTTTGCTAACTAATCTTCTACCAAGCACCTCATTCAACTGAAATTAGCAGAAGATATACGTATATAGCTTTTCACAAACTCCTCTAGCTTTTTCTATTTATTCCTGAAGAAAACATTGTATAGAAATTGGAGAAATCTAACTCTCTAAAAGATGCACTTCCACTCTGGACTGACTTACTGCCTTCTCTTTACTTTGGACAAAGTCCAGTTACTGCATTTAACCCAGAAATGTAGATTTAACCCAGAAATATAGATAATTCATTTATAGAGAATTCTTCAGAATTATTTCTCCCATTACTTTTGAGAACAACTTCCTTGAGGCAGTAATGAAGCTCTGTGTATCCCTTTCATCATGCCATCCATGACGTAGAGTATTACTTTTAGCTTTGAAATTGAACATCACTAGGGCTGGAAAGGCATAATTTGTCCCATGTTCCTATGAGTCACATATTTTAACAAAGCCCAACTTGTAATCTTTTGTCACAATGTTGTAAAAGCTTTTCTTTGGTATTATTCTTGCTCCTGCTTAAGTTATTAGCAATAATCTAAGCTATAATTAAAAATAACATTTCAGCCTCCATTTTCCAAGTAGGCACTTTACAAATTATTGTTATTTACTTAAGTCCAGTACTGTGAAATTACCAGCAGATGTTAGGGATTTGGTGAAAACAAAATAAATTATTTACTCACTACACTATCCAGAAAAATTAGGTTCATTGCCATTTTCTCTATTTTTCCTCCATAAGATTAGCTAAATGAAATTTAGCTTCAAGTACTACCATTCTTCACTTTGGAAAAAAAGGTTCCACATAATTTGTTTGTTTACTTGAGCTTAGATGTTTTAGGTTTCATGATTAACAGTATGTAAACAGTGAGCATCCATGAACAGATATTGCTCAGTGACTTGTGTGGAGGTTTGCTGACAGTGCAGTGGTCCAGATTCTGGCTCCTTCCCAAGAGATGGCATAGGAAACTCTGGCAGTAGTATCCTATTAAAACAGTGAATTCAGCTGGAATTACCTTACTATGTCCAGGGCTAACTATGAAGAGAAAACGTGGTGCATATGGTTATCTCAGATATTAGATCAATAAATAGGGAGTCTGTGGAAAGATGAACCATTTCACTTCTGCAAGGTAGAAGAAGTCTATCCAAAAATAGCTCTTTCTCCTAAGAGTAAGATCATACTAACTGAAACTCTATTTCCAGGTTAATTTGGACTAGTGTGTCATCTATGTGTTAAAATGCACATAGCCTGGACTAATTAAGGGGTCAATAACCTAGTGGCAAAAAACTTTGAATCAGATAACTATTTTCCCCAACACAAAACAAAATTCATCCATTCTGAGGACAGTCAAAAACCAGGCTTCCAGCCGGGTGCGGTGCCTCACACCCATATTCCCAGCACTTTGGGATGCCCAGCTGGGTGGATCACCTGAGGTCAGGAGTTTGAGACAAGCGTGGCCAACATGGTGAAATCCCATCTCTACTAAAAACTACAAAAATTAGCCTGGAGTGGTTGTGGGCACTTGTAATCCCAGCTACTCGGGAGGCTGAGACATGAGAATTGCTAGAACCCGGGGGGCAGAGGTTGCAGTTAGGCAAGATTGTGCCACTGCAGTCCAGCCTGGGAAAAAGAGCGAGACTTTGTCTAAAACAAAACAAAACTAAACAAAAAAAACCCCAAAAAACAAAAACATAAACAAACAAACAAAAAAGGCTTCTGAGGATCTTACAAAGCAAACAGTCTTTGTATTTGATAGGTTAAGCAATAGTGAACCACCTGTTTCCTGTGTAGGACTAAAAAATAATGTTTAAGAAAAACTAGTCAATGAGGTATACGGGATATGGATTAGTTCATTACAAAATAATAGACAAACGTGATCTCAGGCTCATGAGTCAGTGTCTCTGCTTTGTCATAAACCTACTGTATTATTATGGACAATCACCTTATTTTTCTTAGTCTCAGTTTTATTACCTCTAAAATTATGGTGTCAAGCTAGGTTATTTTAAGGTTTCTTCTAGCCCAAATTAAAAATCAAAATAATCATCATAGTGGAATCAAAAAACCATAAACACTTAAAATTAGAGCATACCTCAGCGATCACCTCCTACCAAATTCAGGAATTCTTTAATTTCATTGAGTAAGTAATCTCTAGATGAAGACCAACCCTGAGAAGCAGCTCTCCATTATCTATAGCAACAGTTCTCAACCTTTTTAACACCAAGAACTGATTTCATGGGAGATAATTTTTCCACGGACGGGGATGGGGGGCTGGAGGAATGGTTTCAGGATGAAACTGTTCCACCTCAGATCATCAGGCATTGGATTCTTATAAGGAGAGCTCACCCAGATCCCTCACATGTGCAGTTCACAATAGGGTTTGCATTCTTTTTTTTTTTTTTTTTTTTTTTTTTTTTACTTTAAATTCTGGGGTACATGTGCAGAACGTGCAGGTTCATTACATAGCTATACATGTGCCATGGTGGCTTGCTGCACCCATCAACCTGTCATCTACATTAGGTATTCCTCCTAATGCTATCCCTCCCCTAGCCCGCCCACCCTCCAACAGGCCCTGGTGTGTGATGTTCCCTTCCCTGTGTCCATGTGTTCTCATTGTTCAACTCCCACTTATGAGTGAGAACATGCGGTGTTTGGTTTTCTGTTCTCATGTTAGTTTGCTGAGAATGATGGTTTCCAGCTTCATCCATGTCCCTGCAAAGGACACGAACTCATCCTTTTTATGGCTGCATAGTATTCCATGTGCCACATTTTCTTTATCCACTATATCATTGATGGGCATTTGGGTAGGTTCCAAGTCTTTGCTATTGTGAATAGTGCTGCAATAAACATATGTGTGCATGTGTCTTTATAGTAGAGTGCTTTATAATCCTTTGGATGTATACCCAGTAATAGGATTGCTGGGTCAAACGGTATTTCTAGTTCTAGATCCTTGAGGAATCACCGCAATGTTTCCCCCAATGGTTGAACTAATTTACACTCCCACCAACAGTGTAAAGGGGTTCCTATTTCTCCACATCCTCTCCAGCATCTGTTGTCTATTATTGCTGTATAGGAATGCTTGTGAGTTTTGCACATTGATTTTGTATCCTGAGACTTTGCTGAAGTTGCTCATCAGCTAAAGGAGATTTTGGACTGAGACGATGGGGTTTTCTAAATGTACAATCATGCCATCTGCAAACAGAGAAAATTTGACATACTCTCTTCCTATTTGAAAGCCCTTTATTTCTTTCTCTTGCGTGACTGCCTTGGCCAGAACTTTTTTTTTTTCTTTCTTTTTTTTTTTTTATTATACTTTAAGTTTTAGGGTACATGCTTGTGCGCTGCACCCACTAACTCGTCATCTAGCCTTAGGTATATCTCCCAATGCTATCCCTCCCCGCTCCCCCCACCCCACCACAGTCCCCAGAGTGTGATATTCCCCTTCATGTGTCCATGTGATCTCATTGTTCAATTCCCACCTATGAGTGAGAATATGCGGTGTTTGGTTTTTTGTTCTTGCGATAGTTTACTGAGAATGATGACTAATACTATGTTGAATAGGAGTGGCGAGAGAGGGCCTCCTTGCTTGTGCCGGTTTTCAAGGGGAATGCTTCCAGCTTTTGCCATTCAGTATGATACTGGCTGTGGGTAGATGCAGAAAAGGTCTTTGATAAAATTCAACACCCCTTCATGCTAAAAACTCTCAATAAACTAGGTATTGATGGGTTTGCATTCCTGTGAGAATCTAATCCCACCGCTGATTGGGCAGGAGGTGGAGTTCAGGCAGTCATGCTCACTGGCCTACTGCTCACCTCCTGCTGTGTGGCCTGGTTCCTAACCAGCAATGGGTGGTGCAGGTCTGCGGCATAGGGGTTGGGGACCTCTGATCTACCGCAGCTTCTTCTAAGAAAGAGGGAGGAAAGCACATGGTTAACAGCTTGAGCTTGGGAGTTAAATCCAAAAGTTTGAATACCTGCTCACTAGCTGAGTGATCTTTGGAAGATCAGTTAACCTCTGTAAACCTTAGTTCCTTCGTTTGTTAAAAAAGATATTATTATTACTATTACTCTTGTGCCAACTTTCCCCTTGGCCAAACTTTAGTCAGGCTCCTCTGAGCACTCTTCTTGACTGTGTTAGCCCTTGCTGAATCCAATTTTAGCAAGAATCCTGTTAACGTTTGTTTAGCGAGAATCCCCCCATTCTGTCCTCCCTTCAACAGGAATCTCGTTACCTTAGTTAGGCCACAGTCACCCTACCCTCGATGTGTCTCAGTAATTTTCCATGCATTGACTCCCCTTACTCTGCTCATTGGCAGTGGCACCACTTTTGGCACACAAATACTGATAGACATCTGAGTTTTCTTTCACCTTGAATTTTTGCAGGTGGTTATTTTTTAACAAACTAATTGCAGTATTTAATAATAGGATGGGATTATTCAAACTAAGTTTCCAAAAAGATCATTTCCAGCTGTCTCATTAAATACTGATGGACATGTGTCTTGTGAACTGAGGCATGAAAGAGATAATGGACACTATAATGATGAAGACTGAGTATTTTTAATGGCATGATGGAATAAATAAATGCATGGAGATAGGAATTAGCAAATAGCTTGTGGGTAATAAGGAAGCAAAGAAGTGAGTAATGTTAAATCAGCTTTTAGCTGAGACGTTACTTCTTTTGAGAAATGTTACACCCCCTCCCCCAAGATTGAGAGGTTTGTCTCCAGTGCACCCAGGACCTTGAATATGCCTGTTTTTGAACTGTAAATTTTCAACATGTGTTATTTGTTATTTTCCTGGAATATAAAAAGCAATTCATTACAGAGGATTTTGAAAGGGCAGAAAAGCATATTTGATCTCAATTTTATATCTATCTGTATCTATATATTCCATTGTGACATAAATAATAAAAATTTCTCTTCCTTCTTAACAATTCCATTTCCCTCAGATAACGATCGCCATTTACTTGTCTGGGTTCATTCCCCTTTTAGGCTGTAAACTCCTTGAATATGTAAAGTGAGTTATCTTCAGGATTGTTAATCCCATGATTAAAGAAGTCTGTATGGAGATGAGATCCTGAAGGTATTAAATCCTACCAGGTAACATTTTAAAATGCAGTCAGTATTATATGTGATGCAGAAATAATACTAAGGGGAGAAAGAGAATTCTCCCTAATAAGGAAAAAGATGACTCATGACACACGAAAGATTGGTAAGGCAGGTTTTATTCAGGACTACTATAATAGGTATAAGGGCTACAGCAATGGGATTTTGTAGTAGGGGAGAGAGATTGGGGTTAACTTCAGATACAACAAGAAAAAATGGGGATTTGTAGCCAAGGATCAGGGTAGGGGGTTGGTGGGTGGAAAATTACTAAGAGGAAACATCAGGTATGAGAGGAGATTTTGTACCTAACAGTATTCTTGCTGATAACAGATCAGGCACCATGTGGGGGATGGTGGAGGATGAGGACTCTGATTAGATATCCACAACGATCAGTTATCAAGGATGAGGGATTCTGGCTAAATGGAATTTTTACTAAAACTGGACTCTTGAGGACATGTTCGGGTATGGGGCACAGTTGAAAAAGAGCTCGGAAGAGCCTGAATGAAGTTTGGTCAAGGAGAGAATCTTTGTCATCCTCCATAGCACAACCACCAGACAAATGAGAATATATTTTTATTTGGCAAAAGCTTGGCTGGCACAAACTAAGAAATTCTGAAGCCATTTAGTTTTTAAAAAATTATTATGGGAAATAAGCTTAAGTTTCACCATGATAGAAGAATTTTGCCTGAAGACCCAGTGTTGTTAGCCTTTTGTGTCTCTCACCATCATACGACAGCACTAAAAATGAAAATTAGATTTAACTACAGCAATAAACTTCATCACGTAGAGTACATAGAACAAAAGTAACCAGGAGAACAAGCTTTAGAGATGATAAAAGCACAGTATCTTGGCAACCTTTTGTGTTGGGTTATTTTTAAAAAATGGATAATATTGTGCTCTAGTTCTCATTTATTCAGCTACTTGCTGAGTGATAGCAACATTACAACTACAGAACCTGTATGTCATCTTGACATTGTAAGTATTTCTTAAATACGGTAATACTTGTTTTATTTTTTCTTATTGAATTTTACTGTGGTGGGAAGAAACCCTTCAAGCCATACGTAACTTGATTATGTCAACTATGGCGCCTTGGTGACAAGTTACTATTATATCCAATTTTTTCTTTCTTTAATTTTGATAATTATTTCTTGCATTTACTGTTTCTATTAGAGAAAGATTTGAGAAAATATGACTTTAGTGTCCCTGTGTCAGCAAAAAATATCTTTATAAACACATTCTGGGATTGAATTTATTAGTCTAGAAGTGTCTGTGAAATATACTTACTATGGCAGAAAGGCATAAGTAAATAAAGGGTTACTAAAACACGGGCAAATACTTAAAAAATAGTTAAGTTGTATAAATATTAAATGCCATTACTATGTTGGGCACTGTGCTGGGTGCTGGCTGTATATGCACAGATGGATATTAAAAAGCCTAGTCCCTGTGTGGCCAGTAATAAGTAATAATTCCTTATAATTTTCATGATTTAGATATTTTATATCTACCATGAAGTGAACAGTTTACAGTTTATTGATGTATGATTTATAACTAGTTCTTTGTTAAGCGCACATATTTCTGCTTCTTCGCCTCCACCCAGGGCTCCAAACTGTGGATGAACAAAGCAGCTGAAGGGCAAATCAGAGGCCTGAGTGAAATGTCTCCCTTCCTTTTTTTTTCCCACAACCTCAACTTATAAGTTGAGTCAGAACATGTATACCCTTCCCGCAAATGTATGAAAATTGGATCAGCCATTCTTGCAGCAGGCTGTAACAGACATGTAGTGCCCTGATTTTCCTTATATAGATTTTTATCTTGCCTTAATCATCATCAAGCATATTATAACTTAACATAATGCAAACAAATATGTGTCGTACCTTTCCCTTTTGTTTTGCGTGATTTCTTTTCCCATTTATTTATTCTTTTATCTCACAATGCTTAGCTTAGTAAATATGTGTTAAATTTATAAATGAATGAATTAATATTTCACTCTTTCTGCTATCTCAGAGAGCATTTGCCACCTTTGTTTGCTCTTTTTAAAATTTTCTTTTAATAATGTCCCATAAACACTATAATTGCAACTGGAAGTTCCATCCTATGTCACATCCCCTCCGTAACCAAGTGGATTAAAATGTTTTCTGTTATGTCCCTTTGTCTCTTCTTCTCAAATCTCTCATGCTTGGGAGGTAGTTTTTTGTTTTGTTTTGTTTTGTTTTTGTTTATTTGTGTGTGAAACATTCTGTGGATAATAATATCTAACAGCTACATAGAGACATTTCTGAAGCCCTGAACCTCAGATTCTTCAGTTTGCTTTATTATTTCAATGTGTCTTCCTCCCTGTTTCTGACCATTTACAATTTAAAATGCTACTTAACCTAAAATCTACAAAAATATTTAAGCACCAGTGTGTGTATATGATACACCATAACCTTAGGAGGGGTATATATATATATATATGTGTATATATATATGTGTATATATATATGTGTGTGTGTATATATAACATATATACACACACGCATATATATGTGTGTATATATATACACACACACATATATGTATATATATGGAATATATATGTGTGTAATATATATATTATACATGCATACATAATTATGCATATATATATATGTATATATATATATGCATGCTAATGCTATCCTCTTTTTATGCATGAGAAGAAAACAGAGATTCCAGTTGGGTAAGGAGCTGGCCTAGGCTTACAGATGGTGATTTCAGCCTGATTTCAAAGGGGCTCTGTGATTTCCAAAGTTGGTGCTTTCCTATAGTGGCTCAATATCTCTGCCAGCCTTTGCCACTTTCTGCCTTCATACATTTGAAAGACAAAAATATTAACTGATAAAATACTTGGACATTGACCATTCCATCTTTTCATGAGAGCTACAGAGCCTCCTATTCAGTGTTCTTGCCTTGTTGTTCCATGAGAACTTTAAAATGACTCATTAATGAGGGAGCTGCGTGCAGTTGTGGAGAGCTGTAACGTGCAAATATAAATTGGCACTAAGCAATGCTTAATTATACATACCCTGCTTCCTAATAATTTTTAAATCTGCTATGTCTATTTTCATCTTCTGATCTCTAATTTTCATTGCACTAATGTCATTTGCATCTTCTTTCCAAAGCAAGTCAAACATTGCCAGTGGCCCAGTCTGCACTTTGATATCATCAATATGATCAGATCTGCCTGTTTCTCATTTTATAGACCTGTGTTTTGCTGCCTCTCACTGCAGCTTTCCTGGAGTCCTCTTTATAGACTTTAAATATTCTCATATTTTGGCTTGTATGCTATTGTCAAAATGATGTTAGGTACCTGGGTTTATTAACCTATGATAGCATAACTTTTTTTAATTGTGTTCATTTGTCTTCTCTCAGATCTGTTATTTATTTCTTTTGACACAATCTACAGAGAACACATGAAAATAAAGGACTATGAACTAAATGGGATAGACTTGCCTCACTCTCCATCTTACATGAATTTATTTCTTCCTGCACCCATTGACTATTAGAAGGCAGGTCACTTTGATACATAACATCCTCACTTATTTCAATAGCTTATCTGGCAATACTAGATCCACTATTTTGGATCCAGATTTAAGGAAAGAAAATTATTTATGTTTAGTTATCAAAGCCATATTTTTAAATAAACTAGTTAATAATTCTCTCACCTCTCCATTTTGGCCTGTTTCAGATTGCCTCCGAAATTCACAATCAGCTATTTTTGGCTCTCTGGCATGTCATTTGCCCTGTGTGTCATGCCTTCTGCAAAGCTTGTCAACCTTTTCAGAGAGATGCCTGCATAACTATTGTGATCAGTGTTCATGTTAGTGGTCTCCAGATTCTAGTAATTTTTCTCTCTCCTTTTTAATTATTATCAGTCAGTTTCCTGGTTCTAACATTTGACCTTTTGTCTATATACTTTTAATTCAAAGGCTCCCTCATCAGAAAACCATCAAATACCAAACCCTCCAAACAGCACCAAATTTTACCTTAATCGATCTGCTCAATTTTTGAGATGACGTATCTGCTATAGAACAATTTTTAACCTTTTGATTAATTCCTTGCCATTGCTACTCATTACTTCTGTTTTATATGACATATAATTTTATTCCTTAGAGGACCTTTTCTTTATTTATAATTTCTCTTTTTCTGTGACATTTTATTGTCTATTTTTGAAGCCTAAATCTACTCTTCACCTTCCCATCTCTGAAATATTCTGTTTTCTGTCTTTTTCTTGTCTAACATTTTCCTTACACTTTTTACCTTGATGATATAGCAGATACTCTCCCTTGTACTTTGATTTTTGCTATTTTAGCTGCAATTTCCTCCCATTTGTTTTTCTGCCTTTGCTCTCTCCACAAAATGTTTCTGCTGCCTTATAAAATATTGACATTCTTATGAAAACCTTGCCTTTACTCAGTCACTTTTAAAATCATTCTTCATATCACTTTTAACTTTTTCAGTCATTCTCCAACATCTTGAAAGGGTATCTGAGCTTCATTCCCTCAATCCTAAATTTTTCCTGTTCTAACACCTCATCCTCCATTTACCATTATAATTTAATTCATTTGGCTCTAAAATTGGCCTACAAATTTCTTCACGAGTGTTTTCAAAGTACAGATTATCTGCTATTGACTATAAGAGAAAGCAAGCAAGATAATTTTCCAGAAGTTAAAAAACTGAGACTAAGATATAGGTTTTCCATTAAATCTGCTTGGCACTCTGGAATGAATGTTTCTGTCTGGCAAAAAATAGTCAATTCAAATATGCTTGTACTTTTTCTTACAAGTGGGGCTTTGAAAGCAAGTCAGACATCACCTTGTTGGAAAGAATTGTAAGGGAAGGACTGAGTCTGCAGTTTTAGCAACTTGACTCTAAGAATGAGTTTTCTTAAATAACTGAGCGCATGCTCATCATGTCTCTCTTACAGGTTTAGTGAACTTTATTTCCTTTCTCAAATGGACCTGATCTTCTCTTCCCTCACCCTGGTGTCCTCACGCTCTATCCACTTCCTGAAACATTTTGATTTTCCACCTCAGTATCTCACTAGCTCCACTTTATACTACAGGCTTCAGTTTAGGGGTGCTCTGATTTCCTGAGTGGGATACTTTTCTTATATGTCCCCACACCACTTTATATTTACCCCACAATTGGTTAGTCCCACTTTTTTGTAACTATCAGGTTCTTTATGCCAGTTTCTATAAGTTTCTGAGAGCACAAGATCATCTCAGAGACATCATCAGCATGGCGGCTAATGGCACAGGTTGGAGTCATGCCATCTGTGACCTTTATTAATGTGTAGTCTTGAAAGAGTTGCTCACCCCCTGTGCCTCATTTATCCATTTGTAAATTCAGGATATTATTAGCTTTTGCCTTATAATTTTTTGTTTGTGAGATTTAAATACTTAGAGCAATTCCAAGTCATACTCACAGTAAATACTTTGTAAAATTTGCTAGAAAGTTTGCTGTAATTATTAGAATAATAATTATTATTATTAGTCACAGACACATTTCTAGGATCTCTGACACAGTATCTGTCATACAGTAGTACTCAATCAATGCTTGTTGAATAAATGAACTAATGAAAGAATAAATGATGTTGAAAATAATATATTCAGATAATCTAGCAACACAAAAGAATCTATATAAACTGGAATATGTATAAATGGGAACTTCCCAGATGCTGGATAGCTCTCTTTTTTCCTTTCTGACTGGCAGATATATCTAGAAAGGAGCAAACCTTCCAAAGGAAATTTCATGTAAAAATAGCTGGGCACTGATAATTAGTGTGCGCTTCAGAGATATCCTTTGTTATCTCCAGAAACTTCTTTTCTGGTCTCTTTCTAAATTATACTCCTGCCAAATTTCTCAGCTTTTGAGAAATTTCTGCTCTTGCCATAGCATTATAAAAAAAGGGAACTTCTTTCATATTTCACAAGCTAAATTATTTCTTACACACAAATCCTATACATTCTTCTATCACATCTCCTTTTTACTTAATTTGTTGCAGAGCATTAACATAGGTGTAAAGTGAACATTCTATGATCCTATGGTCTTTCTCGTTGTTTCTAGCTATTTGCTTGTGTAGCTCATTTATTATTGCTGTAATTGTTTTTGGTCCTATCACCTTTATGGTAAGGTAGCCAAAATCTGCTCAAGTGGTTGGATGCAGAGAAAAAACAGGGTGTTTGTTCATTCCTTCTTTCTTCTTTCTTTTGAAGAAGATATACATTCATGCCTAATCACACATCAAATTGCTCCTGGAATGACTCCATACTAAAATACTAAATTTTCACCATTCATTTTTGTGTTTTTCCCTCACTGACTTCGTATCTATTGAAAACTTACAATGGGGTATAAGGAAGGCATAGGAAATAGGTCTTTTTTTAAAAAGTATAGTATAGTATAATATAGTATAGTCTTTTTGTAATGTTTAATAATTTGATAGTGTTTTGCATACAAGATTAATAATAATTCTAGTAAAAACTAATATTTATTTAGCACTTCCTATGTGTCAGGTATTCTTCCAAGGATTTTATACACATAAACTCATTTACTTTTCACAATAAGTCTAGTAATACTATTGGTATTCCTACTCTACATATGAAAAAACAGAGCAGCAGATATCCAGAGATAACACAAAAATTATTGCACATATATTTGTTGAGCAAAATATGTAAATAATTTAAATTAAAAATTTAACAGTTATTATGAATCCAATGAGATAAAAAATTTGCTTTTTAATATGGAATCTATAGACATCCAGGAATGGAAAGAGCATGGTGATATGTGGTGGCTGGAAATAAGTTTTGAATTATCATTACTTTGGGCATTGAAGCGTAGATTGTGTAGATAAGATGTGAAATAGGCATGAAGAGAAAAGAATAAATAATCAAAGTTAAATGGGTGTGGTCATTGCATTTGACATTGTTCAAATATTTTACACTTATTATGTAGTTTAAGTCTCAAAGTATTCTTATAACATAGGTCCCATTATTATCTCTGTTTTATAGAAGAGGAAATCAAGGCTAAGAGATGATAAGTACAATTCTTAGAGTCACAGGTTGATTAAGTAATGGAGGAAGGTTCAAACCAGGCACTTCAATTAGAGAGATCCACTTGTCCACTGCACACAAGTTCTCTTGCTGAGGAAGAATATTTCCTTTTACTGGGGACCATAGCAAGAGAGGAATGGGCACACACACACACACAAGAAGCATGAAATAGAATGTAAAAATACCATGTTCAAATAGTCAGGATAGTTGAAATTTATAGACATTAAGACAATAGCAGTAACCTCTTTAATTTCCAATATTGTCTTCAGATATAATAAAATAATAAAATTGGGCTTTAAAATGTACTTATAGTATTGCCTGAATGTTTTTGCCTGATACTTCTAGATCCTTTTATAGTTAACCTTTGATAGAGATACATAGCTGGCAGTCAAACAGAAGGATGGTGAAAGAATTCTAGACAACCAGGTTACCCCCATAATGGCCTCAGTTGAGAGTACAGTCATGCACTGCATAATGACGTTTCAGTCATTATGGACCTCCTTTATGATGGTGGTCCTGTAAGATAATGCCATAATTTTACTGCACCCTGTCTATGTTTAGATGTGTTTATATATACAAATACTTAAATTGTAAAAATTGTAAATCATATTTAGTACAATTAACATGCTGTCCAGGTTTGTAGCCTAGGAGCAATAGGCTATCCCTACAGGTGAAGTAGGCTATACAATCTAGGTTTGTGTAAGTGCACATTGTGATGTTTGCACAATGATGAAATTGGCTAATGAGGCATTTCTCTGAACATATTCCTGTCATTAAGCAACACATGACTGTACTTTATCTTGAAATGGATTTGAACTTAACTGGCTGGGGTCACCTAAGTATCTTTTCTTTTTCTCTATTAAATATTACTACATTTAAAGTGCATAAACCAGACTAACTGGGCTGCTGGGTATAGATATCCCAGAACCTCAAAATTTTTATCATTATTATTACTAAAATTATACCCTTCACAAGTCACTCAAGGCTTCTTAGGATGTTTTTCGTTCTCCAGATGCTATATGCTATTATAAGCTTATTGGTTATTTTTCTAGCTCTTATAAAAATAAATCTCATTTTACATCTAAAAAAATAATTTCCAAGGGGATTAAATAGTATTAATTTCCTATTGCTGCTGTAACTAAGTACCACATACTTAGTGGCTTAAAACGACACAAATTTATTATCTTATAGTTCTGAATGTTATAAGTTCAAAATGGGTCTTACAAGGCCATTCAAGGTGTTGGCAGAGCTACATTCCTTCTGAAGGCCCTGAACCTTGCTTTTTCCAGCTTCTAGAGGCTGCTTGAATGCCTTGGCTAGTGGTTGCATCATGCTCGCCTCTTCTTCCACCATCACATCTCTTTATCTGAGTTTGAACCTTCTACCTCCCTCTTATAGGGACACCTATAATTACATTAGACACATGTTGATAATCCAGGATAATTTCCCCATTTTAATATCCTTAATTTATTCACATCCGCAAAGTATCCTTTGTCAGGTGAGGTATCATATTCATAGATCCTGTGAATTAAGATGCAGACACATTTGGGAGGCCATAATTCTGCCTACTAGAAATACCAAAAATATGCTGATAAAAGAACAAAAGTAAAAGATTAGCAAATATGAATCTGTCTTGAGATGGGAAAGAATACTGTGCAAATGGAAGTAATCATAAGGAAAAGAAAGATAGACTTAAAACAAGTTTAAAAATCTACATATGTGGAAAAAGTATAACACAGTAAGCAAAATAACAGCCAAACGAAATCTAGAATAGTAAATGCAGCAGATAGGGCAAAGGGTAAATAAAGGACATTCATAATTTTTTTAAAAAGATAATTTTATCAACAAGGAAGTAATAGATGAATATGCTAATAAAAGAATGAGTGAAGTATGTAAACAAAATACTAATTTAAAAAGGGAAATTCAAGAGGCCAAGAAAAATGTAAAAAATATTCAACCTTACTAGGTAAAAAATGCAAATAATTACAAAAAAGTATCATTTTCCATATCACATCAAACAAAGTTAAAAAAATAGTGACTAATGTTAATGAAATGGTTTTGGAACATGTATGGCCAGCAAGAGTTTCAAATGTCACAAATTTTAGGATAAATAGGGAATACACATCAATAATCCTTAAAGTATTTAACACTTTATCCCAATGACTACATTTCCAGAATTCATAATACATAGATGAAAATAAAATATTGATGTTTCCAATATTTTCATACAGCTGAACTTATATAGAACAAAATTGGAGAATAACTCATCTGAAAACTAATTACATCATTGGTTAAATACATTATAGTGGATCCTTATAGAATGAAAAGTTATATTGTCATAAAGATGCCATTTCCAAGAATGATTTTCAGAATATATTATTAAGGGTAAATACCAAATACAAATATTGTATTAGTAAAAGTAGGTTCTCCTCAGTAACAAACATCAAAATTTCAGAGGCTTAAAAATAAAGATTCACTTATTGTTCATGCAAACTATACTGTGGATTCAGCAGCGCTCCGTGCCAAATGGTGGCTCAGGGCCTCAGTCTGCTTCCACGCCATGTCCCTGCCAGCTCAACCTGAGACTACAGGGTTCACTCCCTCTCTTTAATGTCTTGAACCAGTAATCTCAACTAGCCATATGGTTCTGGATAACTGCAAAAGTGGTAGAAAATTATCTTTTCTTGTGCCTGGAATAAGACAAATGTTAGTGAGAATTAGAAGTGTCTGAAACTTTGGAAGGCTGAGGCAGGCGGATCACCTGAGGTTGGGAGTTCGAGACCAGCCTGACCAACATGGAGAAATCCTGTCTCTACTGAAAATACAAAATTATCAGGGCATGGTGGCGCATGCCTGTAATTCCAGCTACTAGGGAGGCTGAGACAGGAGAATCACTTGAACCTGGGAGGCAAAGGTTGCTGTGAGCCGAGATTGCGCCATTGCACTCCAGCCTGGGCAACAAGAGTGAAACTCTGTCTAAAAAACGGACGTATCTCAAAATAATAGAGCTATCTATGACAAATCCACAGCCAGTCTATGACAAACCCACAGCCAATATCATACTGAATGGGCAAAAACTGGAAGCATTCCCTTTGAAAACTGGCACAAGACAGGGATGCCCTCTCTCACCACTCCTATTCAACACAGTGTTGTAAGTTCTGGCCAGGGCAATCAGACAGGAGAAGGAAATAAAGGGTATTCAATTAGGAAAAGAGGAAGTCAAATTGTCCCTGTTTGCAGATGACATGACTGTATATTTAGAAAACCCCATTGTCTCAGCCCAAAATCTCCTTAAGCTGATAGGCAACTTCAGCAAAGTCTCAGGATACAAAATCAATGTGCAAAAATCACAAGCATTCTTACACACCAATAATAGACACACAGACAGTCAAATCATGAGTGAACTCCCATTCACAATTGCTTCAAAGAGAATAAAATACCTAGGAATCCAACTTACAAGGGATGTGAAGGACCTCTTTAAGGAGAACTACAAACCACTGTTCAATGAAATAAAAGAGGATACAAACAAATGGAAGAACATTCCATGCTCATGGGTAGGAAGAATCAATATCATGAAAATGGTCATACTGCCCAAGGTAATTTATAGACTCAATGCCATCCCCAACAAGCTACCAATGACTTTCTTCACAGAATTGGAAAAAACTACTTTAAAGATCATATGGAACCAAAAAAGAGCCCACATTGCCAAGTCAATCCTAAGCCAAAAGAACGAAGCTGGAGGCATCACGCTACCTGACTTCAAACTATACTACAAGGCTACAGTAACCAAAACAGCATGGTACTGGTACCAAAACAGAGATATTGACCAATGGAACAGAACAGAGCCCTCAGAAATAATGCCGCATATCTACAACTATCTTATCTTTGACAAACCTGACAAAAACAAGAAATGGGGAAAAGATTCCCTATTTAATAAATGTTGCTGGGAAAACTGGCTAGCCATATGTAGAAAGCTGAAACTGCATCTCTTCCTTACACCTTATACAAAAATTAATTCAAGATGGATTAAAGACTTAAATGTTAGACCTATAACCATAAAAGACCTAGAAGAAAACCTAGGCAATACCATTCAGGACATAGGCATGGGCAAGGACTTCATGTCTAAAACACCAAAAGCAATGGCAACAAAAGCCAAAATTGACAAATGGGATCTAAATAAACTAAAGAGCTTCTGCACAGCAAAAGAAACCACAATCAGAGTGAACAGGCAACCTACAGAATGGGAGAAAAATTTTGCAATCTGCTTATCTGATGAAGGGCTAATATCCAGAATCTATAATGAACTCCAACAAATTTACATTGATGTAATATACATATAATGTACTCCATTAATGTAATACATATAATGAACTCCAACAAATTGTTGTTTGAAAAAAACAAACAACCCCAACAAAAAGTGGGCAAAGGATTTCAACAGACACTTCTCAAAACAAGACACTTATGCAGCCAAAAGATGCATGAAAAAATGCTCATCATCATTGGCCATCAGAGAAATGCAAATCAAAACTGCAATGAGATACCATCTCACACCAGTTAGAATGGCGATCATTAAAATGTCAGGAAACAACAGGAGCTGGAGAGGAGGTGGAGAAATAGGAACACTTTTATACTGTTGGTGGGACTGTAAACTAGTTCAACCATTGTGGAAGTCAGTGTGGCGATTCCTCAGGGATCTAGAACTAGAAATACCATTTGACCCAGCCATCCCATTACTGGGTATATACCCAAAGGATTATAAATCACGCTGCTATAAAGACACATGCACACGTATGTTTATTGCAGCACTATTCACAGCAGCAAAGACTTGAAACCAACCCAGATGTCTAACAATGATAGACTGGATTAAGAAAACGTGGCACATATACACCATGGAATACTATGCAGCCATAAAAAGTGATAAGTTCATGTCCTTTGCAGGGACATGGATGAAGCTGGAAACCATCATTCTCAGCAGACTATCGCAAGGACAAAAAAACCAAACACCGCATGTTCTCACTCATAGGTGGGGATTGAACAATGAGAAAACATGGACACAGGAAGGGGAACATCACACACTGGGGCCTGTTGTGGGGTGGGGGGAAGGGGGAGGGATAGCATTAGGAGATATACCTAATGTTAAATGTCCAGTTAATGGGTGCAGCCCACCAACATGGCACATGTATACATATGTAACAAACCTGCACATTGTGCACATGTACCCTAAAACTTAAAGTATAATTAAAAAAAAAAAAAAAAAGAAGTGTCTGAAACAGGTATGGCCCTGGTGAAATCTGGCCTGCTGCCTGTATTTGTACAACTCACTAGCTAAGAATGATCTTTAAAATCTTTAAATGGCTGAAATATATCAAAATAATAATATTCCATGGTACATTAAAATTAAATGAAATTCAGATTTCAGTATCTATAAATAAAGTCTTACTGGAAACACAGCCAAGACTCCTCATTTACACATTACTTATGGCTAATAACAAGGTACAAAGCAGAGCCGAGTAGTCCAGACAGAGATTATATGAATCATAAAGCCTAAAACATTTATTATTTAGGCCTTTACAGAAAGAATTTGCTCACCTCTGGTCTAAACACCTACGAAAAGTAGGCATTAAAGAAAAATTCTCATAATGGTTACTTGTAGGTTTGGGATTTTATTTTCATAAGTTTCTCTATTTACCAAAATTTCTACAAGGAATATATATTATAGCTATATTTGAGGAAAATTGCAAAAATTAATAAAAATAACTCATAGGTAGTCTCCTAGTAATATTCATACACCATTAGTTCCAGATAGCTGCTTTTTTTGAATAATACAACCTAGCACAAGAGACCAGGAAATTACTACTAAAGACAGGGCCCTTGCTTCCTTTACTATCTCTTCTAGCTCTTTTCCATCCATTTAATTTTCTAGCCCTACTCCCTTTCAGTTCTGCAAATAAAACAAACTCATTCTGTCATCGCAGTCTCTACATTTGCTTTTCCCTGGAGAGCCATTCCTCTAGATTTTCACGTGGCTGACAACTTTGTCACTAATATCTTAGCACAAATGTCACCTCATGAGTGATCTTTCCTGACTCCTCTGTGTTATGTTGTATACTGCCACAGTCAACCTCTATCACATTTATGTTTTATTTTCTCTATACACTTATCACTATATGCTTTATTTCATTTATTTGTTTATTTTCACTCTTACTGTCTAGTATTCCCATTAGAATTTAATAAGATCAATGAAAGCAGACTCCTTGTCAGTCTTCTGTTACTGTTATATCCTAGAACATTGAAAAGCCAATAGTAGACGATTGTTTTAAAAACATTGGCTAAATGAAAAATAATCATGTCAAGTCAGTACCACTAATATATACATACATTAACATCTTAGGGAAGCTCAATGAAACGCCAAGTATGTGGAGTGGAAATCCTCTTAAGCAGAGCAAAATTCCTTTGTGTTAGTCACTTATTAATACTTGAATATAACTGTGCCAATGACAATTAAAATGTTAATGGTTCTTATATATTATACATGACATGCTGTTGATTAAAGAATAATACATAACTCCAAAAGAATTTAGTGGAAATCCTGAGAATAATTTCTTTGAAAAAATCATATAATTTGTGGATCCACTAATGTTTTATGATTTTCCTGACAATATTCTTGTATATGGGCAAAATGTATAAATGTATACATAAATCACATCAACAGCACATATTATATATCTGATTTGTGAAAGGATAAATGAGAAATGTTACTTTATTCAATAAGCATATAGAAAAATGAGGGAGACCTTTATAAAAGAACTATTATAAAAGTGAAAAACATTGTCAATATAAGTTTAAGATGCTATAAAACCAAATTTATGTTATGAGAATCATATTACCATTTTTTTCTTCCATTAGTTTTATTGGTACCAAACAATTATACTTTTTTGGGAGTTACTGTTTGTATTTTAATACATGCCCATACTGTGTAATGATTAAATCAGGGCAATTGAAATATCTATCAGCTCAACTACTTATTATATCTTTGTGTTGGAATATTCCAAATTTTCTTTTTTAGCTATTTTGAAATATATAATAAGTTATTGTTAATCATAACCACCCTATGATGACTAGAAAACTAGAACTTTATTCCTTTTATTTAATTGTATTTTTGTACCCATTAACCACCTTCTTTTCTCTCATGCTCCCCTCTCTTCTTCCCTGCCTCTGGTAACCATTATGCTACCCTCTCCCAACCGTGTTGCTGCAAATGACAGAATTTCCTTCTTTTTCATGGCTCAATATTATTCCATTGCATATATATACCACATTTTTCTTAAGTATTCATTCATTGATGGACACACGTTACTTTCATATCTTGGCTATTGTGAACGGTGCTACAATAAACATGAGTGCAGATATATATTCTATATACTGATTTCCTTTCTTGAGGATATATACTCAGCAGTGGGATTACTGAATCATATGGCTTACTTATTTTTAGTTGTTTGAGGAACCTTTATACTATTTTCCATATGGCTATATTAATTTACATTTCCACCAGAAGCATGCTAGTGTTCCCCTTTCTTCCCATCTTCACCAGCATTTGTTAGCTTTTTCTTTTTGAAATAGTCATTCTAACTGAGGTGAGATAATATATTATTGTTGTTTTGATTTTTATTTCCCTGATGATTAGTTATGTTGAGCATTTTCTTCATATACCTGTTGTCCATTTATATGTCATCTTTTGTGAAATGATTTTTCAGATCATTTGTCCATTTTTAGTAGGATGATTTGTGATTTTTGCTATTGAGTTATTTGAGTTCCTTATATATTCTGGTTATCAATCTGTCCTTAGATGGATAGTTTGCAGATATTTTATCCTATTCAATAGGTTGTACTTTCACCGTGATTATTTTCTTTGCTGTGCAGAAAGTTTTTAGCTTAATAAAATCCTATTTTGGTTTTGATGCCTGTGCTTTCGAGGTCTTATCCCAAAATATTTGCTCAGACCTGTGTCCTAACACATTTCCTCTGTGTTTTCTTCAACTATTTTCATTTCAAGTATTGCATTTAAGTCTTTAATCCATTTTGAGTTCACTTTTGTATATGGTGAGGGATGTAGGTCTAGTTTCATTCTTCTCTGTATGGATAGTCAGTTCTCCCATTACCATTAATTGAAGAGAGTGTCCTTTCCCTATTGTATTTGTTGGCACCTTCGTCAAAAATGAGTTGTCTGTAAATGCATAGATTTATTTCCAGATTCTATATTTTGTTCCATGGGTCTATGTGTGTGTCTTTATGCCTGAATCATGCTGTATTTGTTACTATAGCTTTGTAGTATATTTGAAATTTTGTAGTGTGATGCTTCCAGCTCTGTTCTTTCTGCTCCAGATTGCTTTGACTATTTGGGGTCTTTTGAGGTTCCATACAATTTTTAGTTGTTTTTTTTTTTCTATTTCTGAGAAAAAATGTCACTGGAATTTTGATAGGGATTGCAGTACATAGCACTTTCGGTAGTATGGACATTTTAACAATATTAATTCTTCCAATTCATAAGCGTAAATTATCTTCAATTTTTTGTGTGTCCTATTCAATTTCTTTCATCAGTGTTTTATAGTTTTTATTACAGAGATCTTTTACTTCTTTGGTTAAATATATTCTTAACAGAAAACCAAATACCACATATTTTCACTTACAAGTGGGAGCTAAATGATGAGAACACATGGACACAGAGAGGGGAACAACAGATGCTGGGGCCTGCCTGAGGGTGGAGGGAGGGGGTAGGGAGAGGATCAGAAACAATAATTGTTGGGTACTAGGCTTAGTACCTGGGTGATGAAATAATCTGTACAACAAACTCCCATGGGATGATTTTACCTGTATAACAAACCTTCACAGGTACCCCTGAACCTAAAAGTTAGCAAAATTCCTAGGTATTTAAATGGTTTTGTAGCCATTACAAATGGGACTATTTTCTTGATTTCTTTCTCAGATTGTTTTCTATTGACACATAGAAATGCTGCTTATTTTTGTATGTTGATTTTGTATCCTGAAATTTTACTGAATTCATTTATCAGTTCTAACAGTTTTTGGTAGAGTCTTTTAGTTTTTGTAAGTATAGGATCATGTCACCTGCAAAGAAGGATAATTTGGATGCCCTTTATCTTCTCCTTGCCTAATTGCTCTGACTGGATCTTCCAGTACCATGTTGAATAAATGTGGTGAAAGTGGATATTTTTGTCCTGTTCTAAATCTTAGAGGAAAGGCTTTGCATTTTTCCACATTCAGTTTGATGTTGGCTGTGGTCTTTATTGTTTTGAGTTATGTTCCTTCTATACCCAGTTTGTTGACAGTATTTATCATAAGTATGTTAAATTTTAACAATTTTTTCAGCATCTATTTAAATTATCATGTGGTTTTTATTCTTGATTCTGTTAATGTGATGTGTTATGTTTATTAATTTGCATATGCTGAGTCATCCTTGCATCCTTGGGATAAATTCTACTTGATCAAGATAAATGATTTTTTATCCCCTGTTATATTTGCTTTGCTAGTATTTGGTGGAGGATTTTTGCATTTATGTCCATGAGAGATATTGGTCTGTAATTTCTTTTGTGTGTCGTATCCTTGTCTAGTCTTGGTATCAGCATTATACTGACCTCATAGAATGAGTTTGTAATAGTCCTTTCTCTTTAGTTTTTTTCAATAGTTTGAGTAGAATTGGTATTAGTTCTTCTTGAAATATTTGGTGGAATTCAACAGTGAAGTCTGAAGCCCTAAGCTTTTCTTTCTTTCTTTTTCTTTCTTTTGTTTTATTTTTTTTTGAGACAGAGACTCGCTCTGTCACACAGGCTGGAGTGCAATGGCACAATCTTGGCTCACTGCAACCTCTGCCTCCCATGTTCAAGTGATTGTCCTGTCTCAGCCTCCTGAGTAGCTGGGATTGCAGGCGCATGCCACCACACCCAGCTAATTTTTATATTTTTAGTAGAGACGAGGTTTCATTATGTTGGCCAAGCTGCTCTCGAACTCCTGATCTCAAGCTATCCGCCCGCCTTAGCCTACCAAAGTGCTGGGATTACAGGCGTGAGCCACTGTGCCAGCCCCTAAGCTTTAATTTGATGAGAGACTTTTATTATTTCTTTGATCTCATTACTCAATTATTCATTGTTGGTCTGTTCAGGTTTTCTATTTCTTTGTAGTTCAATCTTGAATTCCATATGTTCAGAAATTTATCCATTTCTTATAAGCTATCTAATTTGTTGGTGTATACTTATTCATAATTGTCTCTAATGATCCTTTGTATTTCTGTATCACTTGTAATGTCTTCTTCATCTCTGATTTTATTTGGGTCTTCTCTCTTAGTCTAGCTAAATGTTTGTCAGTTTTATGTTTTCAAACCCACCTATTCCTTTCGTTCATCTTTTATTTTTTTTGGTCTCAATTTTATTTATTTTGGCTCTGATCTTCATTATTTCTTTCCTTTTATTTGTTTTGGGTTTTGTTTTTGCTTTTCTAGTTCTTTGAGCAACTAGAAATAGTTCTATTTATTTTAATTTTTTATTTTTTTGATGTAGGCTTTTATTGCTATAAACTTCCCTCTTAAAACTGCTTTTGCAGTATTCCATAGGTTTTGGAATATTGTGCTTCCATTTTCATCTGTCTCAAGGAAAGTTTCCTTTTTAATTTCTTTATTGACCCATTTGTTGTTCAGGAGCGTGTGGTTTAATTTCTATTTTTTTTTTTTTTTAGTTTTAAATTTTCCTACTGTTATGTATTTCCAGCTTCATTGCATTGTGGTCGGAAAAGATACTTGATGTAATTTTTATTTCTTAAAGTTTGTTGAGTTGTTCTGTGACCTAATAATATATGGTCTATCCTGAAAAATGTTCCATATGCTGTTGAGAAAATTTGTATTTTGCAGCTGTTGGATGAGATGTTCTCTAAGTGTCTGTTAGGTCTATTTTGTTGAGTGCCATTTAACTCTGATATTTCTTAGTCGTCTGGATAATCTGTTCATTGCTGAAAGTGGGGGTGTTGAAATCCACTACTATTATTGTATTGCAGGCAATCTCTCCCTTTAGGCCTATTAATATTTGTTTTATATATTTGGGTGTTCCAGTGTTTGTTGCATATATATTTACAATTGTTATATCCTTTTGCTGCATTGGCACCTTTATTATTATATAATGGTCTTGTTTGTCTTTTCTTGTTCTTGATATAAAGTCTCGTTTATCTGATATAAATATAGATATTCCTACACCTTTTCTGTTTCCATTTAAATGGAATAGCTTTTACTATCCTTTCACTTTCAGTCTGTATGTCTTTATAGGTGAAGTGAGTTTCATGTAGACAGCATATAGTTTGGGCTTTTAAAAAAAATCCATTCATGTACTCTATGTCTTTTAATTGGAGAATGTAATCCATTTACAATCAAGATTAGTATTGATAGGTAAAAGTTTATTAAAAGATAGGTTACCTGTTATCTGGTCGTTTTGTAGATCTTATCTTCTTTTGTTCCTTTCTTACTGTCTTCCTTTGTGATTAAGTGATTTCTCCATAGAAATATGTTTTGATTCCCTACTATTTATTTTTAATACATCTATTATAGGTTTTTGCTTTGTTGTTACCATGTGGCTCACAAAAAATATAACAGGTTATTTTAAACTGATAATGACTTAAATTTGGTCACAAAGAAAAGTAACAGAAACAAACTATAACATTATCACTCCTCACATATTGGCTTTTCAATGTTTCAGTTTATATCTTTTTATATTGCCTATGTCTTATCCAATTGTTTTTACAGTTTTTAACAGTTTTGCTTTTTTCTTTTAACATACCTAAGATATAGGTAGTTTAATAACCCCATTAGAGTAGTGGAGTATTCTTAATTTTTATGATTTCCTTTTTTTATACTAGTGAGTTTAATACCTTCAGATTCTATTTTGTTACACATTAGCATTCACTTTTTTTAGATTAAATAATTCGTTTCAACATTTATTGGAAAGCAGGTCTGATGTTGATGAATTTCCTCAGCTTTTGTTTGTTGGGGAACATCTTTATCTCTCTTTCATGTTTGAAGGACAGCTTTGCTGAGTACAGTATTCTTAGCAGGTTTTTTGTTTGTTTTTGGCTTTTGGGTGTTCCTTTAGCACTTTGAGTAGAGCATCCCACTTTCTTCTGGTCTTCCAAAATTTCTGCTGAGAAATCTACTGAAAGCTGTATTGGAGTTCCATTGAATGCGGTATATTTACTTTCTCTTGCTGCTTTGAGTATTCTTTCTTTGCCTTTGATTTTTGCTAATTTGATTATCATGAGCCTTGGAAATGTCTTGTGTGTGTATGTGTGTGTGGTGGGGAGTGCTGAATTTGATGAACTCTGAGCTTCCTGTACCTGGATGGTGTCATCTTTCTCTACACTTAAGAAATTTTAAGCCACTGTTTTCTTAAATAGGCTTCATAGGCCTTCTCCCTTGTCTCTTTGGGAAATTATTATGTGGAGGTTTGTTCACTTGATGGTGTCTCATAATCCTTTTATCCTTCTTCAATCTCTATTTTTTACTTTTTGCCATTCTGATTGGGTAATTTTATATTTTCTGTTTTCAAGCTGGCTATTTTTTTTTTCTGTTTCATCAAGTCTGCTATTGAAGCTTCCTATTCAACTTTTTGGTTCAATTATTGTATTTTCTACTTCTGGAATTCCTATTTGTTTTAATTGTATCTATTACTTTGTCAAATTTCTCACTTTTTTCCTTCTTACTTTCCAAATTTCATATAGTTTTCTATTTGTATATTCTTGTGGTCACCTGAACTTCTTTAAGAAGATTACTCTGAATTATCTGTCTGACATTTTATAGATCTTCAGTTTTTCTGGGTCCATTGCTGGAGTGTTTTGGTTTCTCTTGGTGATGCCATATATCCCTGAGTTTTTACAAACCTTTTGTCTTTATGTTGATCCTTGCCTATTTGAGTAAAAAGCTATCTCTTTCAGTTTCTCCAGGTGTTTTTTGGTGGTGTTGGACCGTTACTGCTTGGAATTGAAATTTACATGCTGGCCTGTTGTTTCTTCACATTCTGGGGATTACTTATAGTGAGCACCAGAACTAAAACACTGCACTGGAACTAACTCATTACTTTGCCATTGTTTCCTGGTCTGGAGAAGACTTACAGTGACCATCAGAATTTAAATGCTACTCTGGAACTAAAATACTGCTCTGTTTTTCTTTTTTCTGGTCTGATGAAGACTCATAGTGAGCACTGGAAGTTAAACTTTGCCCCAGAACTAGATTAATGGCCTGATGGTGTTTCCCAATCTGAAGAGTACTTAAGCAGGCACTGGAACTTAATCCTGAACTTTTGGTTAATTCTAGGCCAGAAGAAGGCTCCATGTGAGCATCTGGGCTTCGTGGAAAATCCATCTAGGAATTCAGACCTTCCTCAGATTGTGACTTCTGTAGCAATATGGGTCTTGGCCAGTCTCTTCACATGTCATCCCTGCTGATCAAAGTGCAGAGTAGCCCCCATAATTTATCCTCCACTTGCTGTAATCAGCATGCCATTATTTGTCTGCCATTGATTTCAGGTGGTTCAGCCCTCCTGGCAATCTCAGTGCTTCCCATGGGACAGGACTGGCGTGGGCTTATTGTAAAGGTTTCCAAACCAGTGGGAACATTAAACATCCACCTCCAATTCCCTACTTTTACTTCAGAAACTGTGGGTCTAGGAAAATCCTCTGTGATAGCGGTTATGTTGGCTTGGAGGAGGAGGTGGCATAGTCTGAAATGACCTTTTTCTTACTGATCACAGCTTTTCTCTGTTCTGTTGGCCCTGGGAATGTCTTAGCTTCTCCCCTGAGTTCTGGTGAGCTCAGGGTGGTATTTTTGTGTTGGAATAGTTTCTAGTTGTATTTTTGTAAGTGGAGTTACGCTGTGGGATCTTCTGTTCTGCCATTTTGCTGACATCACTCAAATTTCTGATTCTTAACTGCTAATGCAAGAAAGTCAGATATTCCTGAAGGTCAAAACTAAGATCAAGTTTTTAAAAATTACAAAATAAATATTTTAAAAAGCAGAATACTATTTTAAAAGTTTCTTTAAAATTAACATTTTGTCTATGGGATTTCTGAACTTTCTTTACTTTTAGGATAAAGACAGATGACTCAATAGTTTAAACGAAAAGTGTTTCCTTCAACCCTCTTTTAATATGGACTAAAATCTGGTTCTCTTCTTCAAGTTGTAGTCTTGGGAATGTTATATCTGATCTCTCCTTTTTTAATACCATGTTTCACATGACATTTTAAAAATTACTGTATAAGTTAGCTATTGTGAGAAACAGTTTTATTCAGTTTGAAGCATTCAATAAAATAAAAAATGTATAGAAGAAAGAAAACTCCATATATGCAGAGTAGCTATAGAATTTTGTTTCCTTTCTAAAGGTTTTTATCTGCCATAGATCCTTACATTTCAACTTCTCACAGTTCTCATCTAATGTTTTACGTTTGGATTTCACATACACCAACTTAGTTTCAGTATCACTCTTCTTAGTGTTAAAGGACACTCCTATAAAACACAGATGATTAAGGGAGGGGAGTACACTATTTGCCAAGGGGCAAAAAATACCTCATAGAGGAATAGATAGCAATTGTTGCTTTCTTCTTCTAGAAAATGTGTAGATACTTCGTATAGTGTGAACAATCTTCTCCTACAAAATATTTAGATAATACAGTGTGAAAAATCTTGGTTTGTTTGTGTGGAGATGATAGATAAATTTTGCCACCCAAAGATGCTTTAAATCTCAACATTGTGGTCATAGAGGGATATTTAAAGCCTTTTCATGATGACTTTTACAGATCAAGTCTTTCATCTATATTATTTGCAAATTTCTTTCATATAGCATATCCACAGTAAAATTTGACATAATTTTTATTAGCCTAACAGTATGATTTATCTTCACTATTACAGTATTAACTGTGTCTGTTAAAATTCATTTTCTATTCCTCCTGAAAATACAATAAATGAGTATGCTTTACTTGCCTGTCACCATTGTAGTCAGATAAAGCTACATGACTACACTTGTCAAATGAGATGTGGACTGAAGTGGTGTATACAACTTTGAGACTTGGACCATAAACACCTTCACCTTCACCATTTGCCAGCTGAATGTTGAATCAGGCTGCAGAAGATTTATTGATCAATGTATGGCTCCCAAAGCCTCTCATCCATGAATAAAGATATAGAGCAGAGAAGTCCTCATTCCACTCACCGCCTATGAAGTTCAGTTGTCTGTAAAAAATATACAGCTATTTTCATAAATCACTGAGATTTTAGAGATTTTGCTTTATCATATTTTATTACATTAAATAATTCAAAACTCTATAACAATATACCTAACAGTATTGATACCTTGCTCTTTTCCATGGCCATAGTTAACTCTCTTTTAATTGCTGTTGAGGGCACTTGCCAACATGGACTCAAAAGACAGCATGGGTAAGAATTTATGCATAGAGCAATATAACAGATGAGAAAGAATATCCACCTATCTGTTCAACAAATATTTATTGAACATTTCCTTCATGATAAACACTATATCTACTGGACAAATAAAGATGAATTGCACATGTGCTGGCATGTATTTTAGCCATGATCATGTGGTTCTTGAGCCAGAAGCCTTAGTGTTAGTTTGCTGACTCAGTTAGGCAGTTCTACGATATAGTAGCAGCAGCTCTCTTAGCTGCTTATTTCTGTAACATTTTTGGGAATCATCTATTAGAATATATTTTGTTAGACCTCCTGATGATTCTTCACATCATTTCATAATACTATGTGCTAAATTATTTTCCACTTGAACAAGATTCAGTAGCTTCCATTCTCTGAAACGCAGGCCTGGGCCCCAAGTATTCATCTTTCCAAGAATATATTTACAGATGTCTCAGTCTTTGGGCTTCAGTTTGATAACATTTTGTTTAATGTTAAATGTTATTTTAGCGTTTCTCTTGGTAAATAGTGTGAATGCACACCAAAATTCCAAAACAGGAACTGAAACTTGTTCAATGATAAGGTGAAAATTCAGATAATTCAGAATAGGTTCATATTGTTTATTAATAAAAAGAAATAAAATAAAAAATAAGTATAATGATGTAAGAACCTACTGACACCCATGGTGCTACTGATCCAATATTGAAAACTGCTGGTGAGATACATATAGGTATATAGGGCTTGGCAAAATAAAAGAAAAATCAATCAATTGTTAAGTAATTTTAATAATAATATTGTTATTCTTAAATATCAAATGAGATAATAACATAGAAGTACTTTGTAAAGAGATAAAGTGCCATACTCGTTACTGGTAGTATCTTCTACATAAATGCCTTACATTTTTTAGTGCCATTTAAAGACGATGATCCAATGTCATATTATTGTAACTGAAGGACAATGCACTGTATGTTTTATCTACTAAAGGTGTAGATGGAAATTAGATAAAGGACCCTTCACTCTACAGATGAGATTTGAATTAAGTAGCATTATTGTAAACAAAAGAGGAGTTCAATAATTGAATGTCCACAGTGACTGTGTAGGTCAAGATAGAGGCCTGCCTGTGGAACACTTTAAATTACTGCTTCTCGTGTTCTACTTTACTTTGGGAAACTTGAGCTGCCATTATAACACCTTTCACCAGACTGAACGTGTAATTGAAAGTAAATCAATCTTGAGGTGATTGAAATTATTATTGCCTGACTTCTTTTACTCTGTCATTCCACAGGAAGCCAGTTGGCAGTGGATAGAGAATTAACTGACATTTCTCCTTTCATTTTATTACATCACAAACTTCCACAAAAATTAATTATAGCACATTTTTTCTGTGACTTATTAGAAATTGTAATATATATTTTCTATATTTATTTTATCTATATTTTCCCCACCTTATATGCCCTCTCAATTCAATTACTAAAATCTCCTTTGCCTTCCAGAACTTTTCAAAAACATTTGTAAAAATGTTTGACATACTATTGATATATATGTATATATAAAATGTTGTTAGCGTATATGTATTTTTATACAAATAGCATAGATTTATATAGTTTTCAATAAGTACATGACCCAACTTGCATGGATTAAATTATTAACTAGTTAACTATATTTTACTTTATTAGAATTTACTAATTCCACTTTTGTTGTTGTTGTCGTTGTTGAAACGGAGTTTTGCTCTTGCTGCCCAGGCTGGAGGGCAATGGTGCGGTCTCGGCTCACCACAACCTCCACCTCCCGCGTTCAAGTGATTCTCCTGCTTCAGCCTCCCGAGTAGCTGGGATTACAGACGCCTGCCACCACGCCCAGCTAATTTTGTATTTTTACTAGAGATGGGGTTTCTCTATGTTGGTCAGGCTGGTTGCGAACTCTCAACCTCATGTGATCGGCCTGCCTCAGCCTCCCAACGTGTTGGGATTACAGGCATGAGCCACCGTGCCCGGCCTACTAATTCCACTTTTATCCTTCATAGCATGTGCATATTCATTCATAGAGCTTAATTTTTGCCCCCCACGGACTTCTTTAAGCTCTTTTTGCTTTTCGAAAACAATAAAGAGAAAAAAGCTAGTGAGTAGCTTTTACTAACAGTAGCTGTTTTTGTCCCTCCTTTATGTTCATTCCTTTACATCCAAGCCATTGATATGTTCTTGTCATTTGCCTCATTGTCTCTTGGACTGCATCTTTTCTCATAATTCCCTCTGCCCCAGGTATCATCCTCATGACTTCACGACTGCACCAGGGCATTAGCTGCCCTGCCAATTTCTGGACACAATTCCCCCTTCTCCTCACTACCTCCACATACTTCCTCCACCTACATTCTGCTTCTAAACAATGATTTTTACCATGCTACTTTCTTGTTCAAGCATCCGTGCTCATTCCCACCATCTTTTGTAAATTTTACCAATATAAAAATTGTTCATCTTATGAAAAAGAGTTCAGTGACTTAAGTGAACGAATGTGAAGAAGTTTCTCTGCCACAGAATAGCATAGTAACAATCATACGCTAATACTGTAAATTGCCATGAGAGCGTATATTAGCTAGCAGTCCCCCAGTACAATGTATTATTATTTTGAAAGGGAATGGAGTTAGTATCTAACTCCAGACTAACAGAACTCCATTCTGTTAGTTAATATCTAACAGAATACCAGTGTTTTACAAAATGCCATGAAAGTAATGCTAATCTAAGGAAATCATTTTGAAAAAGCCTTTTGTTAAAGTCTGGCTCTCAAACAGCTCACTCATTTTCAAAAATCTCTTCAACAGTTGTGATGAGCCACAGTCTAGTTGGTGTTACAATGTGGTCTGCATAAGGCTGGTTCATTTCCACTTCTGTGACTTTTTTTGCAGGCTGTGTTTCCAGCAAACAACACCTCTTTATTCCTCTTGACATGTCCAGAACCACTGTGATTTATGTAAAGATTTCCCTCCCACAAAAAGTCATTTTAAATTGTCTTGATTATAAGCCATTATGCATTAATTTTAAAGCCATAGTAGGTAGACAAAATTTTCACTGTCCTAAGAATTATATCTTTTTTTTTTTTTTTTTTTTGAAACAGAGTTTCAGTCTTGTTGCCCAGGTTGGATTGCAATGGCGTGATCTCAGCCCACGGCGACCTCCACCTCCTGGTTCAAGCGATTCTCCTGTATCAGCCTCCTGAGTAGATGGGATTACAGGCATGCACCACCACACCTGGCTAATTTTGTATTTTTAGTAGAGACAGGGTTTCTTCATGTTCGTCAGGCTGGTCTTGAACTCCCGATCTCAGATGATCCGCCTGCCTTGGCCTCCCAAAGTGCTGGGATTACAGGAGTGAGCCACTGCACCCAGCCTATATCTTCTTATATATAAATCAATCATCTGTTTTTGATTGCAATGTATTCTTCTTTTTGGGGTGTGACATTCCTAATTTAATTAATTCTTAGTATTTGTTTATATTTATGTCTCTAGAATGAGTTATGTGATATAACTTTTTATGTGTTTTTTTTCTTATATTTTGTTTGTATCTACCTACATAAAATATCCATCAGGCTCCTATATTGAATAAGCATGTTGTCAATATCCCTGGATAAACTTCAGTGGACAGTGGCAACGTGGTCAGTCAACAGCTGACGGTAACATTGTGGCAACAGGGACTCCGTACTTTCATATCAATGAACAGTATTTCTGGCGACTTATGCATGATTCCAGAAGACAGCTTCCAATAGAGATAGAGAGGAGTACCAAGTGGTTTTCATGGGAGAATTTATTTGTACATTTTTATAAACAGCTTCTTGGAGATATATCATAGACATATAAAAATTATATATACTTAGGACAACTTAATGTTTTGATAGACACACACATTGTGAGATGATCACCACAATCCAGGTAATATATCAGCTCTACATAGTCATCGTGTGTGTGTGTGTGTGTGTGTGTGTGGTCAGATGATTTAAGATCCATTCTTTTAACGAATATCAAGTATACAATACATTATTCTTAATTATCATCACTATTTATCTGTAATGTTTTATGAGCAAAAAGACAATATATGTATTTACAGCGTGTATAATATAAATTATGTAATATTTAAGTAGTAAGGAATTATTTAAAAATGAAATATATTAAAATGTTAACCTTTGTTAATTCTGAATAACAGAAATATGAAGGACTATCACATCCTTTTGCAAATGTCTATACATTCACCTTTCTTTTTTTTTTTTTTTTTTTTTTTTTTGAGACAGAGTCTCGCTCTGTCGCCCAGGCTGGAGTGCAGTGGCGCGATCTCGGCTTACTGCAAGCTCCTCCTCCCAGGTTCACGCCATTCTCCTGCCTCAGCCTCCCAAGTAACTGGGACTACAGGCGCCCGCCACCACACCAGCTAATATTTTTTATTTTTTTGGTAGAGACAGGGTTTCACCATGTTAGCCAGGATGGTCTCCATCTCCTGACCTCGTGATCCACCTGCCTCGGCATCCCAAAGTGTTGGGATTACAGGCATGAACCATCGCGCCCAGCCTACATTCATATTTCTTAATAAAGATGGAGAGAGCCATGGCCATTCTACATAATTAAAAAGATTTTCTGTGAGTTCAATAACAATTTAAACCTTGATTTTTTAAATTTGAATCATATGGATTATCTTATTTCAATTTTTGAATTAGCTTTCTGATTATAACTGCTCTGACTTACTGACCTAAGTATACTGCCTTGCATGAAAGTTGTAGTTTTAATTTAAAAAAATACTTCAGCATTTTGTTATATACCTTGGTCCCTGTGAACTCATGAGTTATGTGTTTTTTTCTGTGAACTTGTTGGCGATATGAGTCTACTCCAGACAGAGAGATCCATAGTTAATGAACTTAAAATAGTTTCAGTTTTCTGAGGCTGCAAGGTTGAGAGTGAGATCCTAAACCAATGGTCAAAGGACAACCTGCAGCAGAATCACCTGGGTAAAGGCTATGCATTTAGGTCTGTAAATGGGGGTCATTGTGCATGAATATGTGGCATCTGTCCCCCACATTCTCACACACATGTGGAGGAACATTGTCCTTAAACCATTGAGTATATGCTACCTTCTAAGATTTCTTGTTCTGTGAGCATCAGGCTTTTCCTGGTAGTACTCCAATCTTAGTAAACTTTTTTCCTTCCAACAATAAAACCCCAGGACAAATTAATACAAAATTCCCTATATAGTATATCATCAAATATTAAGAACATAAAACTCTTCTATGAAGATCATCATTCTACAATTAAAAATCACAATTTTATTGGAAATACTTCATTTCTTATTATTACACTTTTGGAATAATGATTTATTTATGCTTAAGCAAATCTGAACTTCATGATTCAATCCAAATCATTTCTATGGAAAATGTATCCCTTATTAAGTGAATAACTTCACAAAAATTATACAGAGGCCTAGTTAATTTTCTATGATATTAAACAGACAATGAAAGTAATGTAAGGATTAAAACCTATATGCCTTTGTCTTAATGTCTTGGACTTTATCCAAATATTCTTTCAAATTTGACTCTTCCTTGAAAATGCATATGCATAGAATAAAATAGCAAATTTCTTTAAATATTTTTATGGGGATATTATTCAAGGCATATTCTGTAAAGAGTGAGTGGACTCTCTGTACTCTGAAAGATGATATTTAAGATTCCATTATTTCATTTTTGACTAACATGTGATAAAACCAATTAGCATTGTTCTATTTTCTAAGTGTCTTCTTGCCTACATGCTGAGTTAGAAGGGCAAGAAAGAAAAAAGCTATGATGGAAAGTGTACTCAGAAATATTCTGCTACTGTGCCTACATATATAGTCCTTTCTTAGCTGAAGAGTATACCTTACATAATTTTAAGTGGAGTAGAAATTTAGCAAGTCTGTTGCTATTAAAATAATAAATGAGATAGTTTAAATCAATAGGAGAATGTCGATCATGGATTTTTGGCTTTAAAGATCTCTTTGTAGAGATATAAAGTAGCATGATTATTATATTTATTTAAAATGCATTCATTTTGGTTAAAAACCATCTTAATTCAATGCTCGCACTCACTCTGAGTGCTGTATCATGATTTTCCCATTATAGATAATTGAATAACACTGACTTATGACTTAAGCCCTTAAAGAAAAGTATTGTCAGTCTTAAAGTTAAGTTAGAATTTTCAAATATATTATATAACTTAATAAAATATTACCCTTTGTGGTGAAATCTATATATTTCTCTGTGGTTTAAGGTCAATATTTAGAAGACTCTTTTACTCAATAATATTGATGTTTATCATTGTTTGAAGGAGACTAAAGTAAGAGTTGCAAGTCTGTCTTCTATATTTGTAGTTTGTGAAGAAACATGGAAGGTAAGTACCAATGAGACTGAAATATCTGTGCAAATTGAAGGAGATCATAATTTAAATGCCATGTATCACTCATCTTCAGTAAGAACACAGATAGATGAATGGATAGACAGAGACACTACATATACTCTACAAATACATGTATTCATGATCATTACTTACATATGGATATGCTTTTCTTGGTACCTGCAAACAAGATGAATGCATTTTCATTTTTGTTGTTTCCTTTTTGTTCGTCTTCTATCCCATTTTCTCAGGAGCAGAAGAATAATTTAAACTGAATTCTCAGGCTCCAACACATCATCCTGATTGGTCGATAAAAGGCTCCTCTCCTATTTTATTCCACCCCTGTCTCTGATCTTTAGCCACTTTCCTCTTTCCCTTTCCAAAGATACCATCCACAATGCATTTGATATGTTTTCCAGAATACATCAAGTGACTAAAATTTATTTTCATTGTTAAAGTCCAATTTTATTAAGAAGTTAGAGGTGTGAATAACTATGTCTAAACAAATGATTTGTTGATCATTTTGATGAAACTAACCAGTAGCTATCATCCAATTCAACATTTACCAAGGCCTTACTCAAAGAAATGCAGAAGCCACAATGTACTACTTTAGGCACTTTTCAGAAATTTTCTCATTTCATTTTCACTATAATTATAATTCACTTTGATTATTCACATGTTAGAGATGAGAAAACTGAAGCTCAAGATTATTAAATAACCCTTTATAATTAAATAAAGCAAAAGACAATAGTGCTGAATAAATTCATGATAAATTCTTTTCAAATGAATAAAATAATGTTTGCATGGAAAAATAAATAAATTTGACACATCAGTCCTTAAGAAGCTTATATTTAACATCTGGGGAAATATCTACCACCTGAGAAAAGAAGAACAATTGTGAAAGAACAATTGTGAACAATTGGGAAATTCAAGTCTGACTAATAGCAAAGGTCAAGAGTACTATTTAGATGATTAGGGATGTATTGAATTCCCTAGGGTGAGATCATCTTGAACTGGAGTTTTCAGGTTGCAAACATACAGGCATTTATAAATTTGTGAATGAAGGCTTCGAGGCTAGGTTGGAAGCACACAGACAATATTAGAGAAAAGTAATGCTGTTTGCTTGTTTGCTTTCTGCCATGTTCAATATGCACAAAGCGAATACTGCTGTTTGAAGCTCACTTGTTCCTAAGTCAATAAAACGGATGGCAGGAGAGTAAGCAAAACCTTTATGACTCACAGTGCTAATTTCATAATCAATAGCAATAGCAACAGCTTCAGTGACTGGCATTGACTATTAAGATGCGCAAAATGAACCATGGAGGCCGCTTTCTATACAGATATGTTATTTTCTCTCCCTCACATAACCATGGTCTAACCAAGTGACTTCACTCAACTATTTGTCTGGCTGAACTTAACCTTTACTAACCATCCAATTATTAAAGTTGTATAAAAGGATTTGTAAGAAAAATCTGTGCGCCAGGCTCTTGTACAGATAAAAATTAATCCATTTAAAGACCTCCGAACAGGTTTCCTGCATAATTTCTGTACATTACTATGTTTGTATAAAACTTTTTATAAAAAAAGAACGGTAATATTGGTTTTGCTGCATGTAGAGTTGAGTGAATTTATTTGTATAAATTGATAATTTATATAATATTGGAATATGAAATGAATAAACTGTATGCATATAAATATATAATTATTTATATATTAACCTTCACATACATGTTTCAAACCTTGTGGACATAACTTTATGTCATTCCTCTCACCTATATTTTAATTATTATCAATGGTTCCATAACTTTTGTAAACTGAAATAAGCCTTTTCTAAAGATGTTAAATAACATACCAGTTTAGAAATGGGATCTGGCATCAGAAAAAATGGGGCCCGAATTCCAACTATGTTATGTACTAGCTTTGTTGGAATATGTTATACTGTTTAATTTTTAACATATAAAAAAACAAAAAAAGTAACAGTAAGAAGTTCATATTTTGGGGAGGAGGTTAAAAGAGATAATACATGTAAAAAAACGCATTATCACTTACCACAGTATTTTATATAAAAAAACTCAAAGACGACACCTACTAAAACTGTCTTTATATTATTCCATATATGTAGACTCTAGCTCATTCACAACCAATAACCAAATGACAATTTACAAGAAATGTTTGAAATTGAAAAAAACTATTTGGAAAATGCAGATCTCACAATTTGCATCGGAAATACAATGATATTGAAGTACAGACAAAAAAAAAATCAATTGCCCATTTCAATTTACTGTCTGAGACATGGCCTAACTTAGTTAAAATGCATTCAGACAGACAGACGAAATATGCACATTCATAGAAAAGTTATCATCTTGGTTTTGTATTATTCATTCTCCCTCATTTGTTCTCTAGCACTTGATGTGCCTTTAATGCATTTTTAGCTGTGCATTTCATTAATTGAAATTTCAATTAATCTAAAGTTATCCAAAAAGATAGGAAGCTGCCAAATTTGTTTTTTTTTCTTTGAAAACTACATTGTGCAGTAATATTCATAGCTACACCCACTCTCCAGCAATTTTGAGTTGTGTGGAATGAGTCATACAGACATATGCATGTATATTTTTATCTGGCTAGAAAATGTCATGCCCATCGAATTTTCAGTCTTCCAAATACATGCATTTCTGGGCCCGAGTTATCTTTCTCACATGCATGGAATGCAAGATAGGAAATGCTATACTGTAATGTATGTAAGTCAGTTTTTAAACCACCCAGTCGAACTTATTTGAAAAACACTGTTTTAATAAAACCTACCATTATGCTTATAATTTGTTAAATATTATTTTTATAAAATGTAAAATTAAAAAATAATGGCTCATTACTTAGAACGCAAAATACAAAACTGCCTATTAATTGAGAATTTTTGGTATCTGTGTTTAATTTTATAAACCATGTAAAATAATAACAAATGTATTCAAAAATAGATATCTTATGTTTGGATTTTCTAAGACAGTTAAGTGAAGAAATAATCAGATATATAGTTATGGTTGTTGTTGTTTGTTTGTTTGTTTGTTTTTTGAGATGGAATCCTGCTCTGTTGCCCAGGGTGGAGTGCAGTGGCACCAGCTCACTTCAACCTTCGCCTCCCGGGTTCAAGTGATTCTCCTGCCTCAGCCTCCAGAGCAACTGAAACCACTGGTGTGCACCACCATGCCTGACTAATTTTTGTGTTTTTAGTAGAGACAGGGTTTCACCTTGTTGACCAGGCTGGTCTCAAACTCTTGACCTCAGGAGATCCGCTTGCCTCAGGCTCCCAAAAGTGCTGAGATGACAGGCGTGAGCCACTGTGCCCAGCCAATATTTTCGAGTAATACATTTTTAAAGTTAAAAATTCCATATTGGTTAATGAAATCACTGTCAATTTTACAGTATCATATTGTAGAGTACACAACAGATTGGTTTGACTATTATATTTAGTCAAAACAACTACTTACAGGTCAGCGTTGATTACTTTCATTTTTTGAAAATAACTATATATGATTAGCTTTCATTAAAGTTCATGTGACATTTCCCCAATCTTGATACTTCTTAAAATCTGAGAAAAGCATATACTTTAGTTGAAGAATGGCTCATAGTTCACATTAACCCTTGAGTTATTTGAAGCAAACAAACATCACTGAACTTGCTATAAGTTCTAATTGTTATAAACATGCTGATGTAAATCCCCCTTAACAAACAAATATAGCTTATTTTTTCAGACAGAATAACATCAAAACATAGTGAAAATAGTGTCTGTGCACCCACAAGCACATACTCTGTCCCCACCATCCCTTACCTTTACCCCTATGCTCTAGGCTAAAAGTCAAACTTTGTTGTGTGAGACTCAAGTTCTTTTGCAGTCTGGCCACAACCACCTTCCCTGTCTGGTTCCTTCTACTCTGTAGGCATGACTCACCAAAACTCGTTCAAACACTCAACACTTCCCAGCTTTTGCACATGCATAGTCCTTTGAAGCAAAGCAAAATTGTTAATTTGGCTGAAGATATGGTTGTATGGCTGGAAATGTGGAAAGATAAGGCTGGAAAGATAAATTGCATCCAAAGTATAAAAGTTTTGACCCTTCGGCCACAAAATTTGTGTTGCTTTTATTAATCAATGCAAATATATTGATGATATTTTAATAAGGAGGTGACTTAGAGCTGTGCTGTAAGAATATCAGCTAGGCAGCAGTATACGAGAAAGCTTAGATAGAATAAAAACCTGATAAAATACTGAATGAGGAGAATGAATTTCAATAGAAAGAAGGTGAAAGAGTACATGACAGTGGTAAGAGTATAAATTCATACTTCAGCTCCCCTGCATACCAGATGCATGGATTTGGACAAATTATTCACTTGCTCTAAGCCTTTCCTCATGTATAGAATGAAGATCATAAAGGTACTACCTATATATTTGTATGGGAATGAAGGTTTAATGAAAATAAAAACCTACAAAGTATTTATTTAACACAGCACCTTGCTCATAGTAAGTGTCAAGGAATATTGTCTATTTCATTATTATTATTATATCAAATGGATTTGACATCATATTGGCTCTGATTGTCAAGACAGATAAAGTAATTTTAAAATATTCTAAGATATCTAATCAGTATACTGAAGCGATATATGCACTCCTATGTTAGTTGCAGCACCATTCACAATAACCAAGTTTAGAAGCAGCCTAAGTATCCATCAACAGATGAATGGATAAAGAAAATATGTTACATATACACAGTGGCATACTATTCAGCCATAAAAAAGAATGACATCCTGTAATTTGCAACAACATGGATGGAAATGGAGGTCATTATGTTAAGTGAAATAAGCCAAGCACGGAAAGACAAACTTCACTTGGTCTCACTTGTTTGTGGGAGCTAAAAATTAATACAACTGAACTCATGGAGTTAGAAGGCTGGGAAGGGTACATTGGAGAGATGGCTAATGGGTACAAAAAATAATGAAATAGAATGAACAAGGTTTAGTATTTGATAGCATAACAGGGTGACTACACTCAACAATAATTTATTATACATTTAAAAATAACAAAAAGAGTCCAGCTGGGTTGTTTGTAACACAACGAAAGGATAAATGCTTGAGGTGACAGACACTCCATTTACCCTGATGTGATTATTACATATGATATACCTTATCAGAATATGTCATGTATCCCATAAATATATATGCCTACTGTGTACACACAAAAAATGAAGATTAAAACAATTTCTAAGATTTCTAGCTTTAGTTCCTGGAATAAGAATGATCTCAACAGAATCATTTATGAGACTACAGGGGGAAAAGGAGCTGGAGGAGGGAAGATAATAAATAAGCGATTTTTTTCCTTTACAGCTTTTATTTGAGGGGTTGGTGGAATGTCCTGGTAGAACACATCTGGTAGGCAGTTAGAACTGTGCTCAGTAGTGAGCCTCCTGCTCACCATGATGTAAATAGACTATGACAAAATCTGATCAAGTAATTGTGTTTTGATTATTATTCAGTAGATAGTTTTCATTAAAATGACCATTATGGTCATATGGGAATTTATGTTTATCTTTAACAAAATCTAATCAAAGAGATAAACTATTTTACAACCAAGTCTTGTAGTTTCACAGATTCTGAGTCATTTCCTATATTTATATAATCATATTGTATGTTTATTTGAAAGAGGAATTCAGACATAATTTTGTTTATTTTCATCTGTAGAAAAATGTTTCAATTACCTCAGAACACTAAAGATGACTCAGGGAATCTCCCCATAATCAATCCAAGGAATTTTCCCAATGTTGATGACTCCAAAATTGAACTGTGTTGTTTGGTTCTAGCTGGGTTCTCAACGAAACTAACATTATTCCTATTTTGGTGATTTGCCAGCACAGTCACTGTAACATTTATTCTCAAAGTTCCCTACTTTTCTCAGACTCTCTATTCCATTATTTTGCCTGTCCATTTCAAATTGCCACATTTCCTATTTCATATGAAAATTAAGTGTGATTTCTCAATCTGGCCTATTTTATGTAGGAAGATCGGTGTGATCTCTCTCATCTAACCCAATATTTACCTTGCTTTAAGATAACTTTATGATTTTTTTCTGCTCATTTATAAGGTGCATGTTTTGAAAATATGCCCTTCCCAAACTGAACTCCTTCAAGATCGGGCTTTCCAGTTATGTCTTCATTTTATCATCTTCAATCTCATTGCCCCTGCCCTTAAACACATCTGGTATATGGTTTCTGAAACATTGTACAGTGAAAATGTATCATATAAATTAAAAACAATAAAATTATTTCCTCCAAAATTAAAATTGAAAGGATAACTTGATAGAGAAACAAAACAAACAAAAGTTATTCACATTAGCCTTCATCCCTACCCCTAGAAAAAAGTGTTTCTTCTTCCTCTTAACATCTCTTAACATCTTTAGTTTTTTTAAGTTTTTGTTTTTTGCTTCATAAGATGCTTGTCCTATGATGCTTTGTGTTAATTTAATTTTACATTCTTTGTCTTGCTACATAACAAGCACCCTGAAATCTGATTTCATTTTTCATACATTCTTGTATAGGCATTGTTTGTAATATAAGGGTTGGATGAAAGGTGCTTGAAGCTTGTATGTGTTAAGATTTCTAGTTTTCCCCTTCCTGTGTCCATGTGATCTCATTGTTCAATTCCCACCTATGAGTGAGAATATGCGGTGTTTGGTTTTTTGTTCTTGCGATAGTTTACTGAGAATGATGATTTCCAATTTCATCCATGTCCCTACAAAGGACATGAACTCATCATTTTTTATGGCTGCATAGTATTCCAGGGACTGTTGTGGGGTGGGGGGAGGGGGGAGGGATAGCAGTGGGAGATATACCTAATGCTAGATGACGACTTAGTGGGTGCAGCACACCAGCATGGCACATGTATACGTATGTAACTAACCTGCACAATGTGCACATGTACCCTAAAACTTAAAGTATAATAATAAAAAAAAAAATAAAATAAATAAAAAAATAAAAAATAAAACTGTTTTAGGACAAAACAAAACAAAACAAAACAAAAGATTTCTAGTTTTAAAAGAAAACGTAACAATGAAGGCTATACACGCCACAATAGCTGAGATTTTTGTGGTAACAAAGAACACAGCAATTCCCATCATCATATCTTTAGGCATGCTAGAGAAAGAAAGATAAATAACTCTTTATTCTTCTTTGAGTCCTGTCATCTGATCATGTATGCCTTCTGATTTAATCATTCCATAAATACATTAAGACAGGGCTGGGAATTTGCCTTTCCTCCCTATCACCATAATAGATTGAATTTTTACCATTAAAAATAATTAATTTTTGGCTGGGTGTGGTGGCTCATGCCTGTAATCCCAGCGCTTGGGGAGGCTGACGTGGGTGGATCACCTGAGGTCAAAAGTTCGAGACCAGCCTGGCCAACATGGTGAAACCCCATCTCTACTAAAAATACAAAAATTAACTGGGTGTGATGGCATGTGCCTGTAGTCCTAGCTCCTCGGGAGGCTGAGGCAGGAGAATTGTTTGAACCAGGGAGGCAGAGGTTGAATTGAGCCAAGATCACACCACTGCACTGCAGCCTGGGCAACAGAGTGAGACTCTGTCCCAAAAAAAAAAAAAAAAAAAAGAATAAATAAATAAATAAATAAATAAATAAATAAATAAAATAATAATAATAATTTCTTTTGGAGGGGAAGAGGAAATGGAGGAATTTCCGTTCAGTGGGTATGGAGTTTCAGTCATGAACGATGGAAAAGCTCTAGAGATCAGCTATACAAAACTGCGTTTACAGTTATTATTATGCTATACGTTTACAATTTTGTTAAGATGGTAGATAACTTATATGTTTTTAATACAATACAAATAATTTTTAAAAACATGTAGGTCTTTCAATTTTCACAATTTAGTTATGAAACACAAATGACCCTAATATGTAGTGCATTCTATCTTCAGCAAATTATGCTAGTGTTCAAAATGCGGTCCAAAGAATGGTGTTCATCTGTGAACTACTTGTTATGGATCTGTGATAAGTACAAAAGTTGAGAGTAAGTGCTTAGACATTTTTACAGTAATTTGACATTGTCATATTTCCAAATTTTATTCGGTAACAGTGTCACTCTGCAATAGATTAGAGGTAAGAAGAAAAAAGAAGTGGTCTTTCCTCACAGATAATTTGAGAAGCACCACCTTACAGTATTTCTCACTGGGGACTTGTTCCCAAGCTCCTGTAATGCTAAAACTTGTGTATATAATTTGATTTTTAAAGGATTTTTAGTACAAGAAAATGGAAATAATCACTTTCTATAATGGAGAACAACTTTGTGGATTTCAATGCCCCAGAAGATAGCATAAGTTGGAAACCTAAATAGATATAAAAGATGTAAATCATTTTAAAGTTGGTGGAGCATTATGCTGTAAACAAGGTTTTAATGAAGAATGGCTCAAGATTATTGTCTACCTTTAGAGAAAATATGGGGGTCATGGACTTCCTTGAGAAACTGGTGAGAAATATTGATTCTTCCTTAGGAAAAAAGTTGTAAAAGATGCATATAGATAAATATCTGCATATAATTTCAGAATGTTTGCTGTTTAAGTAGGGGATAGTCTGGTTAAAAGTAATGCCCAGGATGTAAGGAAGGGATCCAGTTTCAGCTTTCTACATATGGCTAGCCAGTTTTCCCAGCACCATTTATTAAATAGGGAATCCTTTCTCCATTGCTTGTTTTTCTCAGGTTTGTCAAAGATCAGATATTTGTAGATATGCGGCGTTATTTCTTAGGGGTCTGTTCTGTTCCATTGATCTATATCTCTGTTTTGGTACCAGTGCCATGCTGTTTTGGTTACTGTAGCCTTGTAGCATAGTTTGAAGTCAGGTAGCGTGATGCCTCCAGCTTTGTTCTTTTGCCTTAGGATTGACTTGGCGATGTGGGCTCTTTTTTGGTTCCATATGAACTTTAAAGTAGTTTTTTTCCAATTCTGTGAAGAAAGTCATTGGTAGCTTGATGGGGATGGCATTGAATCTATAGATTACCTTGGGCAGTATGGCCATGTTCATGATATTGATTCTTCCTACCCATGAGCACGGAATGTTCTTCCATTTCTTTGTATCCTCTTTTATTTCATTGAGTAGTGGTTTGTAGTTCTCCTTGAAGAGGTCCTTCACGTCCCTTGTAAGTTGGATTCCTAGGTATTTTATTCTCTTTGAAGCAATTATGAATGGGAGTTCACTCACGATTTGGTTCTCTGTTTGTCTGTTATTGGTGTATAAGAATGCTTGCGATTTTTGTACATTGATTTTGTATCCTGAGACTTTACTGAAGTTGCTTATCAGCTTAAGGAGATTTTGGGCTGAGACAATGGGGTTTTGTAGATATACAATCATGTCATCTGCAAACAGGGACAATTTGACTTCCTCTTTTCCTAATTGAATACCCTTTATTTCCTTCTCCTGCCTAATTGCCCTGGCCAGAACTTCCAACACTATGTTGAATAGGAGTGGTGAGACAGGGCATCCCTGTCTTGTGCCAGTTTTGAAAGGGAATGCTTCCAGTTTTTGCCCATTCAGTATATTGGCTGTGGGTTTGTCATAGATAGCTCTTATTATTTTGAGATACATCCTATCAATACCTAATTTATTGAGAGTTTTTAGCATGAAGGGTTCCTTACACCTTATACAAAAATTAATTCAAGATGGATTAAAGACTTAAACATTAGACCTAAAACCATAAAAACCCTAGAAGAAAACCTAGGCATTACCATTCAGGACATAGGCATGGGCAAGGACTTCAGGTCTAAAACACCAAAAGCAATGGCAACAAAAGCCAAAATTGACAAATGGGATCTAATTAAACTAAAGAGCTTCTGCACAGCACAAGAAACTACCATCAGAGTGAACAGGCAACCTACAAAATGGGAGAAAATTTTCGCAACCTACTCATCTGACCAAGGGCTAATATCCAGAATCCACAATGAAATCAAACAAATTTACAAGAAAAAAACAAACAACCCCATCAAAAAGTGGGCAAAGGACATGAACAGACACTTCTCAAAAGAAGACATTTATGCAGCCAAAAAACACATGAAAAAATGCTCACCATCACTGGCCATCAGAAAAATGCAAATCAAAACCACAATGAAATACCATCTCACACCAGTTAGAATGGCAATCATTAAAAAGTCAGGACACAACAGGTGCTGGAGAGGATGTGGAGAAATAGGAACACTTTTACACTATTGGTGGGACTGTAAACTAGTTCAACCATTGTGGAAGTCAGTGTGGTGATTCCTCGGGGATCTAGAACTAGAAATACCATTTGACCCAGCCATCCCATTACTGGGTATATACCCAAAGGACTATAAATCATGCTGCTATAAAGACACATGCACACGTATGTTTATTGAGGCACTATTCACAATAGCAAAGACTTGGAACCAACCCAAAGGTCCAACAATGATAGACTGGATTAAGAAAATGTGGCACATATACACCATGGAATACTATGCAGCCATAAAAAATGATGAGTTCATGTCCTTTGTAGGGACATGGATGAAATTGGAAATCATCATTCTCAGTAAACTATCGCAAGGACAATAAACCAAACACTGCGTGTTCTCACTTATAGGGGGGAATTGAGCAATGAGCGCTCATGGACGCAGGAAGGGGAACATCACATTCTGGGGACTGTTGTGGGGTGGGGGGAGGGGGGAGGGATAGCATTAGGAGATATACCTAATGCTAAATGACAAGTTAATAGGTGCAGCACACTAGCATGGCACATGTATACATATGTAACTAACCTGCACAATGTGCACATGTACCCTAAAACTTAAAGTATAATAATTAAAAAAAAAAAGTAATGCCCAGGATGACTATTGGCATTCATGTTTCTATCCAATGGGTGTTTGTTTGACCCTCAAATTGGAATTATTTTCTCACTATACAGTGAATATGATGAAACATGCTTTTTATTGCTGCAGCTTGATTAGACACATAGGTTCCTGCTTAGGGAATGGAAAATACAAATATAAGGGGTGAGAAATCAAGAAGCCTTGCAAAGTGAGAGAAAACACTGTTCAGCAAGAATATCAGCAAATATCTTAGAAAAAGATTATCCTCTCTCCATAGGCTCTGCTCTTAATTTCTCCCATCTCCATCCATCAGTTAGACTGTCTCATTTGTACACAATAGCCTCCCTTCCTTATAGCTTCATTTGCTTAGATGACCTTTACACATTTTATATGACAGCATCATGATAATGGAGATGATGACAAAACTAATAATGATAATAATTGCCAACATTCATTGAGTGTTTTGTTTATTAGATTGCAGTCACTACACACATACACATATGTATATAAAATTTCTCTATACAACAGACCCATATGCGGGGTACCATTTTACAGATGAAGAAAGTGTTGCACACAGAAAAGTTAATTATTTTGCTTAATATCACACAGATGTTAAGTGGTAGAAGTAAATCAGAGGTAAACTTTGCTGACAAGATTTTCAGGTGTTTTGATTGAAGAGAGTTATTTCTGTTGTGTATAAGACAATAAAGCAATGTTTAGTTTGACAACTTGAGGCAGATCCTACAACAACAAATTAAGAGCAAAAGTCAATTAAAATGGATAAAAACCTAAATGTAGCACTTGAAACCATAACTCTTAGAAGAAAATATATACAAAAAACTGCATGACACTGGTCTGAACAATTACTTTTGGCATATCATAAAAAGTTCAGGCTACCAAATGGGACTATATCAAACTAAAAAGCTTCTGCATAGTAAAGGATACAATAAACAAAATGAAAAGGCAGCATACAGATTGGGAAATAATATTTGAAAACCACATATCTGGTAAAATGTTAATATCCAAAATACATGAAGAACTTACACAACTCATTAGGAGAAAAATAAGTAACCTAATTTTAAAAAATAGGCCAATAACCTGAATAAACATTTATCAGAAGACATAAAAATGGCCAACAGGTATATGAAAAGATGCTCTACCTCTCTAATCACCAGGGAAGTGAAAATTAAAACCCCTATGAAATAATTGCCTCACATCAAGCAATAACAATTGTTCATGAGAGTATGAAGAAAAGGGAATCTTTGTATACTGTTGGTGAGAATGTAAATTGGTGCAACCATTATGGAAAACAGCATGGAAGTTCTTAATAACATTAAAGAGATAACTACCACATGACTCAGTAATTCTTCTTTTGTGTATATACCAAAGGAAATGAAATCACCACATCATAAAGCTATCTTCTGTTCTGTGTATATACCCAATGAACATGAAATCATCATGTTATAAAGATATCTGCACTCCTATGTTGATTGTAACATTATTCACAGTAGCCAAGATATAGAGACAACCTAAGTATCAATTGATAAATGAATAAAGAAACTGTGATATTACATATATGTATAATGGAGTATTATTCAGCCTTAATAAAGAAGAAGATCCTGCCACTTACCATAACATGGATGAACTTGGAGGTCATTATGCTAAGTGAAATAAGCCAGATTAAAAAAAAATATTACATAATTGCACTTATATGTAGAATCTTTAAAAAAAAAAACTGAATACACAGAAATAGGAAATGAAGTGGTAGTTACCAGAGATGAGGTAAGAGGGAATGGGGAGACGCAGGTCAAGAAATACAAAGCTACAGATATATAGGAAGAATAAATCTAGAGATGTAACAGAGAACATGGGGACTATAGTTAATAATATAGTATTTAACTGAGTATTTTTACTAAAAGAGTGGATTGCAGGTGTGTTTGCCACAAAAATAAGAAGGATAACTACAAGAGATAATGAATATTTTAATTGCTTGAATATAATAGCCATTTCACTATGTATAAAGAGATCAAAACATTATGTTTTACTCCTTAAACATATATGACACAAAAAAACAATGGAATGCAGGACCATCTGTCATTGATCTCCAGTTTTCTCTTGTACCAACTGGAAACTCTTAGTTTGTGATTGAGCATGAACCTCAACCACAACAATGATTATTTCCAAAACGATAAAGCCAATCAATATCTTGTGTATTGATCTACACGTTATCAAATAACTTGCACTGGTTTTCCTTCTTTTACTGAATTGTCAACTCATTTAGATCAATTTAATTCTACTTAGTGACAACCTTGCTTAATGATGTAAATTGTAAATATAACTTTTTTCTCATGACAACAGTGCTGCAATGGCCTATTCACAAGCACCCTGCTGCCATTCCTTCCCTTCTAATTCTGCATACAGACAAAAGGTTTTGCTTACAAGAAGATTACTTTCACTGTTGTACTTCCCTGCTCAAAACCTCCAATTATTTTCTTGTCTTCAGGATCAAGGTCAGATTTCTTAGCCTGGTGTCCAAGGCTTTCCACAGTCAGTCGAATCTTGTGTGCTCCACTTATATCTGACTCTTCTTTTGCATCATCCTTCTGTTTTATGATCTCTGTACATTTCTTTCTCAATTCAACATTTTACCATGCAGAGTTAAAGAATAACATTGAAAATTATTTCCTCTTCCCTTCAGAATCTCCCTATTTTCTAATAGTCCTAATATAAATTCCATCATCTTGTCCTCCGCTTGTCTAACAGTCTTAATATAAACTCCATCATCTCTCATGAATGTTCCAGCTTATGCTGATATTTTCCCTTCTTAGATTGTGGAATTAATTTTTGACATCATTTATTTGGCATTTGGTTTTATACTATCTATAGCATTCTTTCTATTATTTTTATTTACTCGTGCCTTCTTTTCTTAATTTGATGGTCAGTGTCATGAGGGCAGAGAACATATCTTAGACTCCTGCTATATTCCATACGATCCATACTTTCAGTAATGAATATCTGATAAATAACTGTTGAAAGTATATACTTATGCTATTGGGGTGAATGTTTGATGAGAAGTTCCCAGAGCAGCACATTATTCCAGACAGGAAGCTTGCCAGGCTGAGTCATTCAGCAGCTGCAACATGTTTGCAATTTAGTTTCTTATCTGGGTGAGAGAATTGGGAATAAAGAAATCTCAGTTTGAAGTGTAGTGAATAAGCTTGGGTTTTGTACCTGTTGTAATTAAATAATTTATTTTTTAAAACTATTGCTGTGTATGATTCTTCCTTTTGATTTTAAAGCAAATATAGATTTGGCTGTGAGTAATAGAAATGGCTTCAATAATAAGGAAATAGTCTTATCAAAAGAAAGACAAAATGAAAAGTTCATTGATATAATGGTTTCAGATTTAGTTAATTTTGTAAACCAGTGATGTCACATGGGACAAAATTTCTTCTACCTTTCTGTTTTCATGCCCCCTGTTGTGTTATCTCCTCAGTCTGAGTGTTTACTTGGAAAATAGCTGTTACAGATCCATACTTCTGTGAAAGATACTACAATGTCCAGCAGGAGAAACAGAATCATTTCTTCTTTGAATCTCTAGTTAGAGGTGAAGAAGCCATTTCCAGAAACACCCTGAAGATTTCTCATGTCTTACTAGCTAAAACTGGGTCACGTTCTCACATCAAGATCAATAAATGGAAGGAAGGATTAGATCTCTAAAGATATAATGTACAATAATCTGACTATGATTAACAATACTTTATTGATACTTAAAATTTGCTAAGAGGGTAGAGTTTAAGTGTTTTCACCCCCCAAAAATTGATACTATCTGTTGTGATGAATATGTTAATTAACTTGATTGTGGTGATTATTTCACAATGTACATGTGTATCAAATTGTCAAATTGTACACCTTAAATATATAAAATTCTAATTGTCAAATATACCTTAATAACATTAAAAAAAAGAATTCTTGTTACCTGAGGTGGCAGGATAGGTATCAGAACAAAACTGAGACTCTTCAGTAGGTTAAAGGGGAAATGACTGTTTGCAAAATAATCAAACCAATTTTAACTAATCCAACATTAGCCAATAACCCCCCCTCAAAAAGGTAGGCAATGCTCTCACCCCTCTTATTTGTTTCCAAAGGACTGAATAAGGAAAAGCATTTCCTGACTCTGGGGATATCATCCAGCTGATTAGTGGGAGGAATCTTCTGCCAGAACATTTTAATAGTTTTAATGACCATAAATTATATATATTGTTTGCATTAAAATATTGGCTGTGACTAAGCCCAGAGGTTTCTCTAGGACACCTTAAAAAAATTAGAGTAGATGCCTTCATAAGCCAACTGGTAAAGGAGGGAGATCAGTTATCCCCACCACCCCGTTTTACTCCTTTCTTTTACCTAACTAGGTCACTTGAAACCTTTCTCCAGTGACCCAGAGCTATGTCAAAACCTGCTCTTGGATGTGTTATCTTGCCAGTCAGTTACACTGGAAGGGAATTTGTTCACGTGTTAGCTTTACCTTACACAAATGGATTAAAAATAAATGGTAAAAATATGGATATTTTGGTTTTATGTGCCAAAATTGTAGATATCAGCTACAGAGTGTGTATAGCAATTTAAGTGATGCTAGGAGTTTTCTGGCATCAAAAGCAATTCAACATACATTTGAAGCTGTGAAAACATATTTCAATTAGCCAGGTAATGTGTGTGTGTGGGCGTGTGTGTGTGTGTGTGTGTGCATGTATATGTGTGTATGCGTATATGTGTTTTGAGGTAGAATGAAGGAAACAATTTTGAGATGCATGTTTTATATTGTAAACCTAATTAGGCTTATATATCCTATTGCCATCCATCAGCTTATAGATGTTTTACATCAAATGTATGCGATATTTTCTACATAGAAAAAATCAACAGTATGGTGTTTTAAGCCACTTGGAAATAATTTTGTTTCTAATCAACTGCTTCTGAAAAATATTTTCTCAAATATTTCAAAAAAGTAATGTTACTAAAATACTTCCACTCTTCATTTTTTTCTTCTTAAAGTCTGTTTCCATCTATATGATCTGCTTACTTGAGCTCAATGCTATACATACAACACCCAAAGTCACTACAGTTTTCAAAATTGCCTAAATACATTTTATGTGAACATATATTTAAAATTTAAACTCAGATTATGTCAGATTTCTGAACATGTATTCTACCTGACTACATTATTCTTTTTCTCCATTTCCTTTGGATAGACATATAAGAAAACGACCTGTGTCAAATCTGTCAAGGGGAAGAAATACTAATTAAAGTAAGGTTTTCAATGGAATAAATAATGATTTCTAAGAATAAATTATGATTTCTTCATCAAGTCAACTTATAATAGGTTTAAAAACATATGAGTTTTAGCCAAAAGAGTAATTTGACACAAGAATCCTTTGTGACGCTTTCTCCAACACAGCTACATCTAGCACAGTATGGCCATTTTCTAATTTGGATCCCTACAAAGTATTTATGGGGCTCGTGCTTCAGTTATTTTACTTACCACAGTGCACTACATTAATTTCTGCATTTTCTTAAACTACAAATATTTGAAACTCAGGGATCATTTCCAAATTATCTCTGTGTATCCAATACTCAGCCAAGTGCCAAGCTCACCTAAGTGCTCAATTCCCATTAGAAATGCTTTGCTCATTTCTGGCTCCTTTGTTTGAACTATGCTGGGTACTCAGAATTGGAGTAATGCTGAACTGTTCATGTGAGGGAATAGCAGTAAGAAGTCAAGGCCACCTTGTTCATGTTTTACTCCTCTTTGTGGTCTCAGACACTATCAGAGTGCTTTCATACTTTTCCCTTCCTTATCTCTGAATTCATTCATTTAAAATATATTTATTAGATGTCTCCTATATGCTTGTCACTACTGCAGGCTCTGGGATGCATCAGTGAATGAAACAGACAAAATACTGCTCTCATAGAGCGTACATTTAGTAGGTAGGTAGCAGAAGAATGATCAAATAGATATAAAATATAATGTCAGGTAGTGATAAGTATCATGAAGAAAAATAAAAAGGGATAGAGAGTTTCCAGAGATGTTATTTTTAGATAAAGTGGTCATCACTCTGAAGTGATAATAGCTGATCAGAGACAGTGTATATCTAGCGATTGAATGTTACAAGCATAGAATGACAAGCTAAGGGGCCAAGACAGAGCATGTGTGGTGTGACTAACACACAACCAAAAGAACCATGTGGCAGTAGCATAGTAGGCAGAAGGAAGTGTGGTAGAAAGAAGGAGTGGATGTCTGATATTGTGGGACCTTGATGGAGTATTGTAAGACCCTGATATTGTAGGGCCTTGATGTTATTGTGACATATACACACATAATTAGGTATTGATATATTTGTACATTATTTTAATATAAGAAACTACTAATGTTTGAATAAAGAAAGGACAAGATGTGATTTATCTTGGAAAGGATTACTCTGACTTTGGGAATTATAAACTGAAGAATAGCAAGAGTAAAATCAGACAGACTAATTAGAAGGCAGTTGCCCCAATCCAAGGATGAAATGATTATAATGTGGATTTGGATAGTAATTGTAAAATGAGTAAGAAATGGTTAGTTTCTAGATTTAAGGTGAGCTAATGGGAAATATGAATGGATTATATGGAGGAGATGGAGGTTGAAGAAAGTAAAGAATGGCTCCCTAAAATTTGTCCTGAGCTACTGATAGAATAATAGCATTATTTAGAGAGTTAGGAAGCACTGTAGGGTGTGCAGGAGGAAGGCAGAGAGGAGCTGGTTTTGAAGTGCAGCAGGAATCATACATTCATCTTGGGAGACTCTCTTAGTCTGTTTTGTGTTGGTATAACAAGATATCTGAAACTGGGTCGTTTATAAATAACACAAATGCATTTCTCACAGTTCTGGAGGCTGTTAAGTCCAAGATCAAGGTGTCAGTAACTGGTGAGACCATCTTGCTGCATCCTTAAATCGTGGAAGGTGTAAGGGCAGGAGATAACTGAACACCGAATGAAACTTTTCTATAAAGGCATGAATCCCATTAACCAGGGAGGAACTCTCATCACCTGGTCTTCTCGTAAAGGCCCTACCTCTCAATACCATCACATCGACAACATCTGCATTTTTGAGGGGACATTCAAACCACAGCAAAGATTTCTTTTAAGTTTATGATGCTTATTAGACACCTAAATGGTATATCCTAGATTTCAGAAAAAAATGGGAGAGCCTGGAGGTTTAAATTTGGGAGTTATTAGTGACTTCAAGCCATGGACTCAGATGGACTTACCTAGGAATTAATTATAGGAAGAAAAGAGGGGGAGACAAGAGAATGGCTAAATGAAGTACTCCAACATTTATGGCTCAGAAAGAGGAAGATAATCCAGTAAAAGGGACTGAGAGGAAGAGAAGAAAAAAGAAAAAGAAAGAATAGAAAAAAGCATTATCTAGTTAGAACCTGCTTTTCTTTTTGCTTTGAATGTTTTCTTCTCATTTTCTATAGATCTCAAAAGGTGAGATTGATCCTGTGATCCAATCTATGCATTAAAATTATTCAGGCAGGTCATGGTGGTTCACGCCTGTAATCCCAGCACTTTGGGAGGCCAAGGCTGGCAGATCACTTGAGGCCAGAAGTTTGAAATCAGCCTGGCCGACATGGTGAAGCTCTGTCTCTACTAAAAATACAAAAATTAGCTGGGCTTGGTGGCATGCGCCTGTAGTCCCAGCTACTTCGGAGGCTGAGGCAGAAGAATCGCTTGAACCCAGGAAGCAGAGGTTGCAGTGAGCCCAGATTGCACCACTGCACTCCAGCCTGGGTAACAGAGTGAGACTTCATTTCAAAAATAAGTAAGTAAGTAAGTAAGTAAATAAATAAATAAATAAATAAATAAATAAAATTATTCAAACTGAGACCAACACATCCAATTTCCCCAGTGTGTAAAGTGATGTCTAAAGTATCCATCATGGGTCTTGCCGTCCCTGATCCCATCAGTCAGTTAGTTACCTCAGCTTACGGTTAGCCCCTTATTTTACTACAGAAGAAAGGAGCTGTAGGGTGGAGGCCAGATGTTTGGAATGTGTCCATTAAATTTGTTCAGACCCAGGCTCTGAAGAACATTTTATCTTATTAAGGCCGATTTTGCTAAAATTCATAAATGTTTTGAAAGTAATTACAGTAAATGCCTTCTTATTTGGCCTCTTAACAAGTAGCTAAGAATGTTTCCATCATTTTCTTAAAATATAATGACTAATACCCATAGATACCAATTGCTCCCAGACATAGGCTTGTCTCCCACTATATTTAAGATGCTTTCAAAATTTTTTGTCCCCTACCCATTTGTGCCAATTGTACTTATCAGGGCAATACTCATCATAATGAAATACTTGTAAACTGATAAAATATGAAAATAAAATTAGCTGCTTTGTTAAATATTGATGAATGTGAGTTATTATATAATACTAAAATTAATTTTGATAATTTTGTGTTGGAGAAACAACTAAAAACTAGAGTGAAATTATAAAAATTTATAAAGAATTTGTAACTAAGTTATGAATCTAGATTTCTCCACCTGCCTCTTTAAGCACCCATGTAATGGGAGGAAGGAAGGAAAGGAGGGAGGGAAGAAGGCAGGGAAAGGAGGAGGGAGGAAGGAAAGGAGACAGGCAGGCAAAAAGAAATACATAAAGAAAGAAGAGAGAAGAATTTTGAGAAAAAAAAGTGAATTGTAAGAAGATGCATTTTGGACGTGATTCATGTAAAAGAGATAATTTAGAACTTCAGTTAAACCCAAAGAAAATGTTACATGTTGGCATTTCTATATGAAAATATTGGCAAATAAATGGATATGCATGTGATTTAAGTTAAAATTAAAATGTTAAGTATTGTATGTGTCATTTTTATTGGATGCACCATAAAATCAATTTTGATGTCCACTACTGTTTTTCTCATTACTTTGGTATTTATGAATATGTATTTATTTGCGGCTCAGAAGAATTGATTAGTTTTATTTTAAAATGGTCAAAATTGCTGCAAAACAACCCAAGCAAAGTGCCTATCTCTTTCAAAATAGCTTATTATCAAGACATAATTTAACAATCAGCTGACCTGCATCTTTTGAAACTTCCTTCCTATTCTTGATATTACATATTTATTTAAATAAAGTTTAAAATTAAATTTAAAAACAAGGCACATTAAACAAATTTGACTTTAATAGCATAAAATCAACATCACTTATCAGTGTACTATTTAACTTTGAAAACTATAATAAAAATAACTTAATTTAAAATGCTTATTTGGAAAACAAAATGAAACAGCTGAATCTTCTAAAAAAAGAAAGGGAAAATCAATTTAGAAGAAAAAAATGACAAAAATAACAGAGGGACTATGAAGCAGAAGATATCATTCCAGTGTCATTTTCAAATTCTCAGAACAAAATGGATATAAAATACATCTTGTCATGTAGAGAATTGTGCAGCTTTCTATTTCTTCTTAATTTGAGTATTTGTGTTAACTGACTTCTACATGATTTAATGAAAAGAGAACACCCCAGTTCTAAGCTTGGTTTTACCATAAGCTCGCTATGAGATAGTCACACTTTTCAAGCATTTACCCTAAGCCAGGCACTATGTTTTCCATTTAATCCTCTTAATAATCCTTCCAGGTAAATATTGTCAGCCTCATTTTTTTAACATAGAAATACAGGCTTAGAAATGGACTAACCGCTTAATCAACAGTGGAGCAGGGGTGCCAGCAAATCTCTGCCTGATGACAAAGGCTGTATATTTAACCCCACCCCTACTGTCTCACCTCACTCATTCATGTGTCCATTTCTTCATTGCGAGTTGAAGATAGAGTCATTTGCCTTCTCCAGAGTAGGTCCAATCCAAATGTCATGTAGTGTTTATTGTTAATAACATCTCTCAGAGAAAATTAGAAAACATTAGAAAAACTAGGTAAAGGCACTTCCCCTAGAGACATGGCAACATGTTCAGCCCTGAAGCTAAGCTAGTGCTTCTAGTCAGCCCTGTCCTTCTACCCCACACTCCAAGCCAGGTCTCCTTTAGGCTACACAAATTGTCTTACATTATTCTTCTGCTTAGCAGTGGGTCAACGAGTCAGCAGATTAACTTTTCAAACAATTTAATTTTGCATAATGGAAGAACCAGAAGTTGCATAAGTCCCAGTTCTGATTTTAATAGGGGCCAGAGGACTGCTGGCCAGTGACCAGCTATCAGCAAGCGTGCCTGCTTCAGATACTTGCCCAACTCAGGAGAATTGCCTAATGACAGGAAATGATAAAACAAATACTGCAGAGAGTCACTGTATTGTCTTTTAGGTCAAAGGTAGGAACCCCCGCTTTGAGAATAAATTTTGAACACATGCCTGATTATTAACATGCGACCTCACTGATGAGACATACATAGTATTCCTTAAAAAAAAATTCCTGGATTTATTTGAAAAAAAAATTTGAATGAAGCGTAAGGAAAACGTAGTGCCTTTTCTAATGAAGTTTAACAAATCAGTTTAAAAAATTTGTCACTAAACTAAATAGTTCATGATTATATTAGCAGCAGAAATATCCAGGGATTAGAAATTAGAATGTATGGCCAGATAGAAAGTGGCTTAGGGGTAATTATTAATTGACATTTCACTGAACAGGATTAAGATGATGTTCCCCAAGAGTGAGTTTTAGGGCAGACAGTGTGAACAGTAACGGTATGTACTTGATTCCCAGGAAGGGACTTCAGATATTTGTTAGAAGCATGTTCTTCAGGAAACCTAGGAATAGAGTAAATCTATATAACTATTTTTTATGAAACATAATGTGTTAGTTTTCACTCAATGAGCAGAGTGGCTAGAAGAAGATAGGGGATAGATAAGAAACATATTAAATAAATAATTTTAAAAAGTGAAAAAGGATATGTTCAAATTTCCAGCCTGGGGTGCTTGATTTCACAGTGTCAACAGATGGTGTTTCTTCTAGTTCCCCACAGTGGCCTAAATGAGAAAGTTTTCCAAGATATCTAAAAATTAGGTCTTTTAAATTTAAAATTCAAGTCAAATCACAAAAGAAAATGAAAACAATATTTAGAGGTGAGCCTTTATTGTATTTCTGACTCATGAAAGTGCTGTGATAAAACTGCGAAAGAAGATGCTCCAGCTATGAAATTCTCCAGTGGCGATGTTCTACAAGATTTTATTAGGAAAACATGTAACTGGGAAAGCAAGTTTAGGAATCTGTATTTTTGGGTCTCTTTTGGACACTCACAATGTCCAAAATCATGCTATAAAGAAAATGGTCTAGCCTTGTTGGGTTTAGTATTTCCTGTATTTTTCTCCCCTACAGTAGACAAATTGTTTTGTTTTCCTAATGGAAACTAAATAATAGCTTCCTGAATATTTAGGGATGAAATGGTGATGTTTTAAGGATAATTTGTTATATATCTTACTGTGTGCTTGTCTATAAGCACCAATTACATGGGTAGAAAATATTTTTGCCTATCTCCTCATATATAGCGGTATGTTTGGCATCTACTAGACTGCCTAGCATGTAACAGATGCTCAATAAATAGCTGTTGAACTAAATGGAATGAGGAAAGTTATTACTTGATTGATATTTAGTCAGATATGTGGTCCTAATAATGAATTATTTACATGTAACACACACAAACACACACACAAGTACTCACACATGGAGCTGAGATTTTAATAGTAAGTTAGAGTTTACAAAATAGTCTTACGTATTAAATGTAAAATTGTGTACTCATATTTTATTTCCATAAATACGTGTGAAATAGCTTCTATTCAACAGAGTACTGGAGAAGATGGTTTGCTTTCCATCAAAACTTGTATTTTTTCACTTGTAATACTGTGAAAGTAAAGTAGTTGCTGGAAAGTGACTAAGTAGAAATGATTTATCAGTCTCCCTCCATCCCTTATATTTTGGTATGACTATTTTTCACCAATGTAATATGAGTGGATGTGAGACCTATCACTTCTGAACCAAAGCTTTTAAGCAATGTGTGTTCTTCTCTGTGCTTCCCCTTCTGCTACTGCATAAAATAGGCAAAACTGCCATGTGGGGAAAACTTGGGTCCATGTATTGTGTTGAGTAAGGTTGATTACCAGCCTAGAGAAACCACATTAGGCTGTTAAGTGGGCAAGAGAAAAGAAATTGTTGGGGTAAGCCATTGATACTGGGTTTATTACAGCAGTTAGTGTTACTCTGACTAATTAAAAACAGATAGTGCAGGGATAGTTTAACATGTGCAAGCCAATAAATGTGATACATTACATAAACACAATTAAAAACAAAAATCACATGATCATCTCAATAGACGCAGAAAAGGTGTTTGAGAAAATGCAGCAATCCTTTATAATTAAAACCCTCAGCAAAATCGGCATAGAAGGGACATACCTCAATGTAATAAAAGCCATCTAGGACAAACCCACAGCCAACATAATACTGATGGGGAAAAGTTGAAAGCATTTCCCCTGAGAACTAGAACAAGACAAGGATGCCCATTCTCACCTCTTCTATTCAATATAGTTCTGGAAGTCCCCTAGTCAGAGCAATCAGACAAGAAAAAGAAATAAAGGGCATTCAAATCAATAAAGAGTGAGTCAAAGTGCCACTGTTTGCTGATGATATGACTGTTTACCTAGAAAATCCTAGACTTCTCCAAAAAGCTCCTAGAACTGATAAATGAATTCAGCACAATTTTAGGATACAAAATTAATGTACACAAATCAGTAGCTCTGCTATAAGCCAATAGCAACCAAGCTGAGAATCAAATCAAGAACTCAACCCCTTTTAAAATAGCTGCAGAAAAATAAATAAATAAAATACTTAGGAATATATTTAACCAAGGAGATGAAAGACTTCTACAAGCAAAACTACAAAACATGGATGAAAGAAATCATAGATGACACAAACAAATAGAAACACATCCCATGCTCATGGATGGGTAAAATCAATATTGTGAAAATCACCATACTGCCCAAAGCAATCTGCAAAGTCAATGCAATTCCCATCATACTATCACCATCATTCTTCACAGAACTAGAAAAAACAATCTTAAAATTCATATGGAACCAAAAAGAGCCTGTGTAGCCAAAGCAAGACTAAGCAAAAAGAACAAATCTGGAGGCATCACATTATATGATTTCAAACTATATTATAAGGCCATAGTCACCAAAACATCATGCTACTAGTATAAAAATAGGAACATAGACTTATGGAATAGACTAGAAAACCCAGAAATAAAGCCATATACTTACAGGCAGCTGATCTTTGACATAGCAAACAAAAACATACAAAAAAAATTTGTTGAATAGAGAAGAGGACACCCTATTCAACAAATGATGCTGGGATAATAGGCTGGCATCATGCAGAAGAATAAAACTGGATCCCCATCGCTCACCTTATACAAAAATTGACTCAAGATGGATCAAGGACTTAAATCTAAGACCTGAAACTATAAAAATTCTAGAAGATAACATCAGAAAAACCTTTCTAGACATTGGCTTGGGCAAAGACTTCACGACCAAGAACCCAAAAGCAAATGCAACAAAAACAAATAGATGGAACTTAATTAAACTAAAAATCTTCTATACAGCAAAAGAAACAATTAGCAGAGTAAACAGACAACCCACAGAGTGGAAGAAAATCTTCAAAATGTACACATTTGACAAAGGACCAATATCCAGAATCTACAAGGAACTTAAACAAATTAGCTACAAAAAAACAATCTCATCAAAAACTGGGCTAAGGACATGAACAGACAATTCTCAAAAGAAGATACACAAATGGCCAACAAACATATGAAAACATGCTCAACATCACTAATGATCAGGGAACTACAAATCAAAACAACAATGTGATACCACCTTACTCCTGCAAGAATGGCCATAATAAAAAAATCAAAAAAATTATAGATGTTGGTGGGGATGTGGTAAAAAGGGGAAACTTTTACATTTCTGGTGGAAATGTAAACTAGTACAACCACTGTGGAAAACAGTGTGGCGATTCCTTAAACAACTAAAAGTAGAACTACCGTTTGATCCAGCAATCCCACTACTGGGTATCTACCCAGAAGAAGAGAAGTCATTATACAAAAAAGATACTTGCACACTCATATTTATGGCAGCATAGTTTGCAATTGCTAAAATATGGAACCAGACCAAATGCCCATCAATCAAAGAGTGAATAAAAAACGTAGTATATGTGTGTGTGTGTATATACATAGTGTGTGTGTATACATATATGTGTAATATATATGTCATATATGATATATATCAAAAACATGTGTGTATATACGATAGAATATATACATGATAGAATATATATGATAGAATATATAGATGATAGAATATATATATATATATATATGGTAGAATACTACTCAGCCATAAAAAGGAATGAAATAATGGCATTTACAGCAACCTGGATGGAATTGGAGATCATTATTCTAAGTGAAGTAGCTCAGGAATGGAAAGCCAAACATCATATGTTCTCACTCATTCATAAGTGGCAGCTGAGCTATAAGGATTCAAAGGCATAAGAATGATACAATGAACTTTGGGGACTTGGGGGAGAGGGTGGGAAGGGTGAGGGATAAAATACTACAAATTGGGCATGGTGTATGCTGCTCAGGTGATGAGTGCACCAAATTCTCAGAAATCACCACTAAAGAACCTATTCGTGTAACCAAAACCACCTGTTTTCCAAGAACCTATGGAAATAAAAATAAAAATAAACTTAAATTAAAAACCTCTTTCAAATTGTAGATGCCATAAAAGACTCATAAGTTTGATTACATTTAAAAAGACTTTTATGTGTTGAAATAAAATAAAAACAAAGACAAAAGACATAAAGAAACCAACAAAAGTGAATTCCACAAATGTGTTGAACTAAAGGAGGCAGACACAAGAGAATGAAGAAGTATGACTTCATTTTTATAATTACAGTAAAAGCAACACTAATATCTGTTGTTAGAAATATCAAGGAGTTGGGTTGGAACGGGAACCCAAGAGGTGATTCTGGGGTGCTAGCAATTTACTGCCTTTTGTTAAAATGCTGGTTACAAGGGTGTGTTTAATCTGTGAAAAGTCAGGAAGTTGTACTCACTTTTATGTGTATATATGAATTACTGTATCATATTCAGGTTTTGAAATGTCAAAAAAAAATCAATGGTTTAGTTAATGGTAGTTTACTGATCTGGGGATTTTTCTAATGTGCTATAATTATGTCAATAATATAAGAAGAACCTGAGCAATGTTACATGGGACCTCTTTGTACTATTTTTGTAACTAATTGTGAATCTGTAATTACCTTAATTAAAAATTTATTTAAATAGAAAAAAATTTAAAACATGGAAAAAAGCTAGTGCTATTATAGCATATTAGAAACATTGAAATGAGAAAAAGTCAAATGACTTAACTAATATTAGTCAGTGAAATGCGAAAATGTCAAATCCAGGTCCTTTCATTATAAAGTCAAAGTTCTTTTGAATGCTTCATGCTGCCTCCCAGCCAGATATTCATCTGGGGTGGCCAGGCAGAGTTATTGATGCTTGTCCTTTCCAAAGTACCTTGCATTTGTGAAGTTGCTTTGACAATTCAACATGAGAATAATATTTTAATGATGAAAGTAATAATACCATCATTAATTTTTGGTACTTTTTAGTTGATAAAGTATTTTCTTAGATGTCTCATTTAGTCCTCATAATAATTCTGCATGCTTTATAGATTTTCCATATGTCTATGTTATAGGTGATAAAACTGAACCTTAAATAAATATTTTTGTCCAAAATCATATCATCCAGTTTAGAACAGTAGAATGAAGACTCCAGAAAAAAGATCTTCTGGGGGAATAAAAAGAGGTAAAGAGAGAGACTGTCTCAGAATTCCCAACATAATAAAAGTTTGAAAGAACATTTGAGAATATAATCAAGAAAATGAAAGGTAATTAAAACATGACGTGAAAAGAAAATACTTAAAAGATGGAAAATGGAAAAGAATTACTCTGCTTGGCTCTCCAGTGCAAAATATATACCTAACCATAATCATGTATGCACTATTTATTCATTAAAATATAAACAGTAATAAAACCATATAAGGCCTAGGAGATAGTTTAGTAGGGTAGAGTTATAAAAGAACTAAATCCTCATCCAAAATAGCAGAGACTCTGAGGATAATATTAGAAATTAATGAGCAAAGGAATATCAATGTATGTATGTTGTTTTTATAGAAGGAGGTAACTGCTAGACAAAACAGTTAAGAGAGTTAAAAGTTGTTGCCTCCGAGGTGGTGCAACTAAGGGGTGAGAAGCAGGGTTTAGGTTTTTGGTTTAGCTTTCTATGATAGTTGGGTTTTTTATGACACACAACTACTACTCTGATTAGAAATGACATTTAAATGGCTATAAAAAGTCAAATGCTTAATACTATTGAGAATGATATATATAGACATGGTGTCCACTCTTTATCCCCTGAGGGTGAGGTCAGCTGTTAGCTCAGTTCCCGTGTGGCTGGGGATGAAAGTGGAAGCTTCCACATGGAGATGCAGGATTACAGGGAAGAGACTACAGGGAAACATGAATACATGCAGAGAGAATATTTAGGAGCAATTACCATCATCCAAGTCAGAGAGTTTAGGCCTGGAGTAGTAGTTGTAATAGAGTCAATGAGAATGGGAAGGATTCTGCTGTTTTGAAGGTAGAAACAAAGGATTTGCAGTTTGATTGTATGAGTGTGAGAATAAAAGGTAGTAAACAAGGACTTTAAAGCTCGGGTCTAAACAACGTGAAGAATGAAAGTGCTATTTTATGGAGATGAAAAAGACCACGTGAGGAACATATTTGGGAGATGGAAATCAAGATTTCAATACTAGACATGATAAATTTGTTATACCTATTAAACTTCCGACATGGTTTGGATTAGTGTCCCCACTCAAATCTCATGTCAAATTAGAGACGGGGCCTAGTAGGAGATGATTAGATCTTGGGAGCAGATTTTTCCCTTGCTGTTCTTGTAATAGTGAGTGAGTTCTCACGAAATCTGATTCTTCAAAAGTGTGTGGCACCTCCCCTCCCCTCTCTTTCCTGCTCCACCATGATAAGATGTCCTTGCTTGCCTTTTGCCATGATAGTCCTAAGTTTCCTGAGACCTCCCACTCATGCTTCTTGTTAAGCCTGCAGAACTGTGAGTCAATTAAACCTCTTGTCTTCATAAATTACTCAGTCCCAGGTGGTTCTTCATTGCCATGTGAGAACAGACTAATACAAACTCCAACTGGAAATGCCATGTAAGCACTTAGATATATGAGTCTGTAATTCAGGAATAGTTCTGAAATACTAGAAAAAAAGCATGAAAAGATAGAAAATAGGAACAACAAGAAGGGATATGAGGTGATGGACTCAAGCAATTAACTTCAAAAAGATAAGATAATGAGGTAGAAGGAAAGGACAATGAATGGTCTCAGTGCCACAATGGGCAGCAAGTAAGAGACCTACCCATCTTTCCTTCAACATCCATGACATCTGAGTGCTCCATGGGATGGATACAAGAGAAAAAATGGCCAGTTTAGCAGGGGCACAGGAAATTTAGTCTTCTGCATGGATGAACAAAGTTCAGAGTATCAGACAAAAGAAATAATGCACATATATCTTAGAATATATTTTTGAATTTGGGATTTAACTATACAATATGCCACACTTTAAAAAAATTGTATAAATATATATAATAATTTCTTCTAGAAATAAACACTTCTAAGGATGCTTTTCTGATGTTTTATTCTTTGTAATCTATATAATTTATATAATATAGTCATATAATTATATAATCTATATATGTATCTGCATATCCATGCATTTGTTTTCTTCTATTATTTTATAAGAAAATAATAAAAGGGAAGCAACAAAAGTCCCAGGAAGCATCAATATTAAGCATACCACTCTTTGTTTGTCATGGCTACTTTTTCTCTGAATTTCTTTAACTTAAATCTTACCCGTTAGCATAAGTTTAACATACTCTTTTTTGTCATTTAAATATTCACCACTCAGCATTTTGGAAATGACTTCGTAGTATTTTGTTAGCAATAACTTTCTTTGGCTCTTTTGCCAAGTAGTTGATATCCAGATGCTCGTAAGCACAATAATGTGTTGGCATAAACTAATTATCTGCCATGTGCAACTATTTATACGTCCTCACTACATTAGTAAGATATGAAAGCGATTTACAATTTCCTTTAAATAGCCACATGCACCTGCAGGCAGTTTTGGTTCAATAACACAGAAATGAATGATAAAGATATGTTAGGCATCTTTGTTCTTTATGGCTTTAAGAGTTCAAATGACTACGAATAAAACATTTCCTTTCCCTTTGCAGCATTGCAAATACTGTGACTTTTTTCTTTCTTTCTTTTTGTTTTTTTTTTTTTTTAATCCTGAATTAATTCTGGAGTGTTACATCTTGGAAGCAAAGAAATTGGAGTTCTACAAATTCACAGAATTTAGGCTGGGTAGATTGTGACATTAGTATTTTAAAAATCATTTTGAGAGAAGTGGGAAAAATGTGAGGTTCACGATTTGACAGTGGCCAAGATGAGGGGAATGCATAGAAGGACGTAGCTATTGGACTCATTCCATCAGCCCAAGTTTGAATCCTGTCTCTGCAGGGCCAGCTTATTTATTAGGCACAGTAGGCACGATGCCAAGGTCTCATGATTTTTGGGGGGGTCTCACAAAATATTTTAATTTTAATTTATTTTGAATTCAAGAAAAAAGAATTGAATATAATAATAACGGATATGTAAGAGTAAATCCAGCCTGGGATATAATTGTCTTCATAGTTAAGCAGTTATAAGATATAATTTTTGTTTTTTAATGAAGAAAGGGGCTCACAAAGACAAAAATGCCTAGAGCTCATAAAAGTGATAATGCTGCTCTGAGTGGCTCAGTTGCCTTGAATGAACAACTTGGAATAACTTAACCAGCTTGAACCTTTCTCTTTCAATCTTTAAAACAGAGATAATATCTGAGAGTGCTGTTACAAGAAATCCATGAGACACTATATGTAGAGTTCTCTGTAGAATGTCATGCATAGAGTAAGGGCTTAATAAATGTGAGTTATTGTTAAGTTTTCCTAAAAATGGAGACTTTGGCACTATTACCACAGTCAAAGTGGCTTAAGGAGTTCTTTCTTTCCTTTTTTTCTCTCCCTAAAATGGCATTCTTTGCTACATTGCTACTTGATGAAACTGATTGTAAGGTCTGGTGAATTCAATCAGGAACAGTTCTTTGTAAAGATAATTGATGGCTTCATAAATTAACTGCTGATCTTAACCATTCAGGCATTAAACTGAAATATCTTGGGCAACACAACCAGGATCCTTGGCTTATGTAGCGCTCATGGACCTTGTGTACTTTTACATTTATTTTTCATTTGAGTATTTATAAATGAGTAGAAAACTATGTTTTTGACCAAATTCTTAAATACGGGACTATAGACAATCTGTCTTAATTTGAAAAAAAGAATATTTATAAACACTTTAACCATGTAAATTATGGTAGAATTCCTATGAAAAATAACTAAATAAAGAAAAACAAAGTCTTAGTATCACTCTTCCCCTGGCACCCAGTAATAATAGCCAGGGTTTCAGTCACATAGAAAGAACTGGAATTAGGCCAGGTGTGATGACTACAGGTAGCTCCAGCATTTTGGGAGTCTGAAACAGGAGGATCCCTTCAGCTCTGGAGTTCAATACCATCCTGGGAAATATAGTGAGATCTTACCTCTAAAAAAAATTTAAAAATTAGCTGAGGGCCGGGCGCAGTGGCTCACGTCTGTAATCCCAGCACTTTGGGAGGCCAAGGCAGGTGGATCACAAGGTCAGGAGATCGAGACCATCCTGGCTAATACAGTGAAACCCTGTCTCTACTAAAAATACAAAAAAAATTAGCCAGGACTGGTGGCAGGCGACTGTAGTCCCAGCTACTCAGGAGGCTGAGGCCTGAGAATGGCGTGAACCCGGGAGGTGGAGTTTGCAGTGAGCAGAGATCGTGCCACTGCACTCCAGCCTGGGCGACAGAGCAAGACTCCATCTAAAAGAAAAAACAATTAGCTGAGTTTGGTGGCACATGGCTGTAGTCCCAGCTACTTGGTTGAGACAGGAAGATCACCTGAGCCCAGGAGGTTGAGGCTGCAGTAAGCTATGATCACATCACTGCACTCCAACCTCAGTGACAGAGCAAGACCCTGTCTCAAAACAACAGCAACAGCAACTACTGGTATTGTTTCCAATTTTATCTGCTGATTTTGGAAAACGGCAATGGGGAGTGAGGTGACAGAGGATCCTGAACATTATACTGTCCGATATAAACGTAAATCTGTAAGTGGGAACAATGTAAATCTGTAAGATGGTGTAATGGTCTGCTTGATTTTCTGTTCTTGCAATGTTACAGCCTTTCCAGCCCTGGTTATTAACTCATTAATCTTGCTCTCCCCCCAGTAGAGAATCTAATGGAATCTGATGATTCCTTGGCTAGTAGCATAGACTTCCTAACCTTTCAGCTGTCTCTTGAGCCATAATCTATGGCTCTAAATCTGTGATATTTTTCTCAGCAAACAGAGAGGCTCTTTCGGAATTACAGGAATTTAATCAAATTGAACAATCAGCCTGTTGCACAGCATCCTGCCCTGAAGTCTGTTTTTCCCCAAACCGTGTGTGGAATACAATCACCTCGTTGGTTGGAACCAGTTTCTGACAGACTCTGGCAACTTATAGATGGACCCTAGTAAATTTTCCTCATTACATTCCTAAAATATCCACCCCAAAGGAGTTTCATTACCGTAACATGCAGCTTCATTACTATAACATGCAACTTATGTACTGGCATAATGGCTCACTACATCTGTACAACTGGGACCCCTACTCTCACTTATCTACATGTGATGATGTATTCTCTCCCCTGTCCGTCATCCCATAAAACCTTTCGTCTCTTTCCCTCAGGAAGACACTGCTTTGAAGAATACTCTCAGTGTTCTCTTCCTTAACACTCCTATTGATGAAAACTTGTGTTCTCATGAACAGTCATTTTTTACTCACCAGGCTAATGAAATCTGGTTTTTTTACTAGTAACATTCCCATTTCAGTCCTATTCATGCTAGTATGTGCCACTGAAACTTCCCCCACAAAGTTAACAAGAATTGCATGCTGAGTTCAACCCAGAAGGCAGAGTTGCAATGAGCCAAGTTTGCACCACTGCACTCCAGCCTGTGTGACAGAGTGAGACTCTGTCTCAAAACAAAAACAAAAGATAAAATTGCATGCTGGGTTCTGGACAGAAATATAGTTACTTATAATTAAATATTAATGAGGCTGCACTCTGGTCCACTTCCTTGTTGCTAAAAGTCACATAGCACTAGATACTGACCATTTACATCCCCCCGTTCCTATAGATAAGAATTTGAAAATTAGTGTCTTAAAACTGCTTAAGACTTGATTTGCATTCTCATTGTTCCTATAGATGGGATCTCTGACATTGGACTCATAAGGTTTTTAAGGGTTGCTTAAGATGATTTTCAGGACCAGAATTCCACTAGCCAGTTTGAAGACCTCTACGGAGGAGTAAGATCAACATGAAAATACAGCTTCTTCATCTCCCTGTCCCACGACTTCATCATGCACTCTTAGACCAATCAATGATCTCCACGCTTCAGCCCACTCCAACACCCTTAGAAACCTTAACCCCAAGCTCCTTTGGGAGATGGATTTGAGGATTCGTCCTATCTCCTTGTTCAGTGACCTACAATTAATCCTCTTTCTCTGCTGCAACCCAGTGTCTCAGTGTATTGACTTGCTGTGTGCATCAGTCCATAAGCCTATTACAGTCACACCTTAGTGGTGATTCTACTAAGAGTCATCCATTGTCAGCATCTGCCCATGGCTAGTGCCCCCTCCATTTTGGAGGGCCTAGAGATAAGCTCAAGTAGCTGTCTGGCTCCTTTAAGCCAGGCGCTATCCCTGGAGCCTTCCTTACCAGTGGAGTGTTGCCAACATTTGGCACATAAGCTTGCTTACAGTAGAGAAATGGTTTCTGAGTCTTAAAGATGTCTTCTGAATCTGGTGAGTAATCTCAAGTGCAATGAACACCCCTTTTCCCTTCTCCTGATATGTTGACCTTTTCAGAGGTCCTGTTACCTGTCAGAAGGTTCTGTTGACTCTCCCTAAACTATAGGATGGGCCCTGTTTAAGGGGACTTTCACCAACTGGAAAGACAATAAAGAGCACGGTTTGGAGGAAGTACTACTAGATGCTTTGGGTCTCAGTTCTGAAATCTAGTTTCAGAATTCAGACTTGTAAGACTGCATGCCTGTTCTTGTTCCATTTATGTGTGGGGAGTCTTGAAGGAGTCACTAGCTGATGCTCAACAGGCCTGATTTGCGGGAAACCATTTTGTCTCTTTTTCTAGGTTAAAACTCAGATACCGAGAGGAGTGACTGGTATTGTGTCTTTGTTACATCTATAATTTTGTCTTGGCTGCTATGATAAATGATAAGTTGATTTTTCTAAGCAGGCTATTGGCTTGTGTATTACAAAATTGGGCATTCTTCACCTAAAAATCCATGAAAAAGAAGAAGAAAATGATTTACATTTGTAATGCAACCTGGTCCCAGTACTTATTAGAATATGGGGAAAGATAGCCAGAAATGGTTCCTTTGGTTACAATACCTTCTTTCAGCTAGACTTGTTCTACAAGGAAGAAGAAAAGCAAGATGAAGTCTCTCATGTATATAGTGTTTTATATTCCTTTGGCAAAACAGACCAATAAAGACAAAAATGTAAAATTGGGATATCAGAAAATGTTAATAATCCTGTACTAGCAGAGTCCCAGTAAAGAGATGATGATACTTTGTTAATTCAGTTAAACAAGTGGTCAGGTCCACTTCCCCCACTATATGGGGGAGCCTTGGCCACATCACCAGGTCCTGAACCATAGTTCCCACCTCCAAGAGGCCAGAAATGAGGGGGATACAGGAATGGTCATTTCTCACACCTATCAGGGAACCCTTCAGCCAGGGTGCCACTTGAACTTCAGTAGGGCAATTCTGCTTTCAGCAGCTAATTATGGGAGGTGTTGATGTCAATGCAAGGAAACCTATGGGGTTAATTTGGGTATATTCTTTATTCTCTACTTCTGAGTTATTCAATTTGAAAAACAATATGCCCACTTACAGTTTTCATTTATATTTCCAATTCATAACCCCACCTGGGCTAATGTTTGAAGCCTGTTCAATATACTTCTAATATCTGAGGAGTGGAGAATGGTCTTAGAAAGGCTAGAGATGAAGCAGATTGTTTGCATGCTGACTTCCCTGGTAACCCTGGTATAGGCAGCATCCCAGATTTCAGTGCTTATAGCCAACCCTGGATGGAATGTTAACACTGGAGACAAGCCTAAGCTTCAGCATTATTGTGATTGCACCCTGGCTAGACTCCATAAAGAGGACCTGAAGCAAAGAAGCCTTAACAAAGTTCAAGAAGTAATGCAAAAGCCCAATGAAAGCCCCTCTGAGTTCATGAGATGCATTTTTAAAGTGTTCGGTAATACACATATGTTGACCTCACTGTTCCAGAATATTTAAGCATAATAAACATGACATTTACTAGCCAGAGTGCTTCCAATATTCTGAGAAATTTGCAAAATGCCAAAGGGGCATTGGGCATGCCTTTGTCTCAAACGGTGGGGATTTCTTTCAAAGTATTCACCAGCAGTGACCAGGTTCAGAAGCAGAAAAACCTTCAAAGAATGCAACAACAAGCCACCTTGCTGACAGCTGCTCTAACCCAAGGAACTCTACCATGGCAAGGACCCTGCTTGGGCACCCCACTTAAGATAAGACCCTCTTTTCCCCATGCTTCCAATAAGAAGGGGCACTCCACTGCAGATCCTGACCAATGTGCCTATCGCAGACAGGAGGGCCACTGGAAAAAAGATTGTGCAAACCACAGAGGGGCAAATACTGAGAGAAATCAACCTCTCATTCACCAAATGCATTCCATGCTACCTGCAGGCAAGGGACTTGAGGCTGAGAACTTTGTTGATGAGGGATAGGAATTACAGGACCCGGGCAGCTCCTTCTGATCCAACCAACAACCTTCAGTTTTCCCACACAGAGACCCAGGTTGTTATAAGAGTGGAAAATAGATGATTGGAATTTCTAGTAGATACTGGAGCTACCTACTTGGTATTAAATACATGCCTGTCCAAACTGTCCAGAAACCACAAAAGTGACTGGAGTCACAGGGAGGACCCTATAAAGACTACTTCAATCCCTAGATTGCCAACATACTTTCTTATATATGCCTAAATGCCCCATTCCTCTCTTGGGACATGATCTTTTGACTAAACTGAATGCAAAGGTTGCCATTTCCCTGGATGACTGAATGTCAGCATGTCCCCATATGAAGTTTGCACCTAGCAAGCTGAATTGTTACAAGAAGCTCATAAACCTGCTTCCATCCCTGAAGAATTGCTACAAAGGGTGAGCCACCATACCTGAGCCCATAGCAGACAAGAGAGGGCTAAATCCACAATCCCAATACAGGTTAATGTATGTGTAGAAATCTAAAACAATAATGTATTTGTAGAATCTACAACAATATTCCTGAGGAAAAAAGCACAATAAGATATTGAAACTTTGTTGCCCATTTTCCTCCAATTTAGGCACAGTAGACCTTTCTGGTCCCCATATTACACACCTACCTTGGTGGTCCAGAGGCCTGGGACTAAGGAATACAGGGTTGTTCAGGACTTCAGAGCCATTAACCAAATTGCAAAGGACATTTACCCAGTAGTTCCCAATCCTTATAGACTACTCACAACTTTAACTGGTGAACATTGCTGGTTTACAGTCTCAGATCTGAAAGATGCTTTCTTTTTCATTCCTTTGAGTTCAGAGTCACAGAATTGTTTGCTTTTGAATGAGAGGGTCCAGATACTAAGGAAAAGCAGCAGTACTGTTGGACAGCTCTCCAAGCCTTTAAAAACTCTCCAGTCATCTTTGGGGAAATTCTTACTAAGCACCTTCAAGACCTTCAGCTAAAACATGGGACTCTACTCTAATATGTTAATGACATATTAGTTGCTGGCACAAACAAGGAGGCTTCTAACCAGAGCACTATATTAACTTTAAATTTTCTGGCCAAAGAGGGATATGAAGTATGCAAGAAAAGGCAAAATGTTACAATCCTCAGTTAAACACTTTGGGGCTAAGCTTTTGCAGGGACAGAGAAACCTGCTCCCTGACTGGAAGGAAGCTCTTTCTAGAGCTGCCAGGCTTATGACAAGGTAACAACTAAGGAGTTTTTTAGGACTGGCTGGGTTCTGCCACACTTGGATATTTGGATAATTTTTTTCTTTTTTATATATACTTTAAGTTCTAGGGTACATGTGCACAACGTGCAGGTTTGTTACATAGGTATACATGTGCCATGTTGTTTTGCTGAACCCATCAACTCGTCATTTACATTAGGTATTTCTCCTAATGCTATCCCTCCCTCAGCCCCCCACCCCATGACAGGCCCCTGTGTGAGGTTCCCCACCCTGTGTCCATGTGTTCTCATTGTTCAACTCCTACCTGTGAGTGAGAAGATGGGGTGTTTGGTTTTCTGTCCCTGTGATAGTTTGCTTAGAATGATGGTTTCCAGCTTCATCTGTGTCCCTGCAAAGGACATGAACTCATCTTTTCTATGGTTGCATAGTATTACATGGTGTATATGTGCCACATTTTCTTAATCCAGTCTATCATTGATGGACATTTGGGTTAGTTCCAAGTCTTTGCTATTGTGAATAGTATGGCAATAAACATATGTGTGCATGTGTCTTTATAGCAGCATGATTTGTCATCCTTTAGGTATATACCCAGTAATGGGATGGCTGGGTCAAACAGTATTTCTAGTCCTAGATCCTTGAGGAATTGCCACACTGTCTTCCACAATGGTTGAACGAATTTACAGTCCCACCAACAGTGTAAAAGCATTCCTATTTCTCCACATCCTCTCCAGCATCTGTTGTTTTCTGACTTTTTAATGATCACCATGCTAACTGGTGTGAGATGGTATCTCATTGTGATTTTCATTTGCATTTCTCTGATGACCAGTGATGATGAGCATTTTTTCATATGTCTGTTTGCTGCATAAATGTCATCTTTTGAGAAGTGTCTTTTCATAACTTTTGCCCACTTTTTGATTGGGTTGTTTTCTTTTTTCTTGTAAATATGTTTAAGTTCTTCGTAGATTCTGGGTATTAGCCATTTGTCAGATGGATAGATTGCAAAAATTTTCTCCCGTTCTGTAGGTTGCCTGTTCACTCTGATGATATTTTCTTTTGCTGTGCAGAAGTTCTTTAGTTTAATTAGATCCCAGTTGTCAATTTTGGCTTTTGTTGCCATTGCTTTTGGTGTTTTAGTGATGAAGACTTTGCCCATGCCTATGTCCTGAATGGTATTGCCTAGGTTTTCTTCTGGGGTTTTTATGTTGTTAGGTCTTACATTTAAGTCTTTAATCCATTTTCAGTTAATTTTTGTATACAGTGTAAAGAAGGGATCCAGTTTCAGCTTTCTACATATGGCTAGCCTGTTTTCCCAGCACCATCTATTAAATAGGGAATCCTTTCTCCATTTCTTGTTTTTGTCAGGTTTGTCAAAGATCAAATAGTGGTAGACATGTGGTGTTATTTCTGAGGACTCTCTTTTGTTCCATTGGTCTATATCTCTGTTTTGGTACCAGTACCATGCTGTTTTGATTACTGTAGACTTGTAGTAAGTTTGAAGTCAAGTAGTGTGATGCCTCCAGCTTTGTTCTTTTGGCTTAGGATTGCCTTGGCTATGTGGGCTCTTTTTTGCTTCCACATGAACTTTAAAGTAGTTTTTTCCAATTCTGTGAGAAAGTCAGTGGTAGCTTGATGAGGATGGCATTGAATCTATAAATTACCTTGGGCTGCACGGCCATTTTCACAATATTGATTCTTCCTATCCATGAGCATGGAATGTTCTTCCATTTGTTTGTGTCCTCTTTTATTTCGTCGAGCAGTGGTTTTTAGTTCTGCTTGAAGAGGTCCTTCACATCCCTTGTAAGTTGGATTCTTAGGTATTTTATTCTCTTTGTAGTATTTGTGAATGGGGATTCACTCATGATTTGGCTCTCTGCTTGTCTATTATTGATGTGTAAGAATGCTTGTGATTTTTGCACATTGATTTTGTATCCTGAGACTTTGCTGAAGTTGCTTATCAGCTTAAGGAGATTTTAGGCTGAGACAATGGAGTTTTCTAAATATACAATCATGTCATCTGCAAACAGAGAAAATCTGACTTCCTTTTTTTCTAATTGAATACCCTTTATTTCTTTCTCTTGCCTGACTGCTCTGGCCAGAACTTCCAACACTATGTTGAATAGGAGTGGTGAGAGAGGGTATCCTTATCTTGTGCCAGTTTTCAAAGGGAATGCTTCCAGGTTTTTGCCCATTCAGTATGATATTGGTTGTGGGTTTGTCCTAAATAGCTCTTATTATTTTGAGCTGTGTTCCATCAATACCTAGTTTATTGAGAGTTTTTAGCATGAAGGGCTATTGAATTTTGTCAAAGGCCTTTTCTGCATCTATTGAGATAATCATGTGGTTTTTGTCATTTGTTCTGTTTATGTGAGGGATTATGTTTATTGATTTGCATATGTTGAACCAGGCTTGCATCCCACGGATGAAGCTGACTTGATCATGGTGGATAAGCTTTTTGATGTGCTGCTGGATTCAGTTTGCCAGTATTTTATGGAGGATTTTTGCATCAATGTTCATCAGGGATATTGTCCTAAAATTCTCTTTTTTTCTTGTGTCTCTGCCAGGCTTTGGTATCAGAATGATGCTGGCCTCATAAAATGAGTTAGGGAGGATTCATCTTTTTCTACTGGTTGGAATAGTTTCAGAAAGAATGATACCAGCTCCTCTTTGTACCTCTGGTAGAAGGTGGCTGTGAATCCATCTGGTCCTGGACTTTTTTTGATTGGTAGGGTATTAATTGTTGCCTCAATTTAGGAACCTGTTATTGGTCTATTCAGAGATTCAACTTCTTCCTGGTTTAGTCTTTGGAGGGTGTATGTGTCCAGGAATTTATCCATTTCTTCTAGATTTTCTAGTTTATTTGTGTAGAAGTGTTTATAGTATTCTCTGATGGTAGTTTGTATGTCTGTGGGATTGGTGGTGATATCCCCTTTATCATTTTTTATTGTGTCTATTTGATTCTTCTGTCTTTTCTTCTTTGTTAGTCTTGATAACAGTCTATTTATTTTGTTGATCTTTTCAAAAGATGAACTCTTGTATTCATTGATTTTTTGAAGGTATTTTTGTGTCTCTATCTCCTTCAGCTCTGCTCTGATCTTAGTTATTTCTTGCCTTCTGCTAATTTTTGAATTTGTTTGCTGTTGCTTCTCTGGTTCTTTTAATTGTGTTGTTAAGGTGTTGATTTTAGATCTTTCCTTCTTTCTCTTGTGGGCATTTAGTGCTATAAATTTCCCTCTACACACTGCTTTAAATGTTTCCTAGAGATTCTGGTACGTTGTGTCTTCGTTCTCATTGGTTTGAAAGAACATCTTTATTTCCGCCTTCATTTCATTAGGTTGTTCTGTTTCCATGTAATTGTGAGGTCTTGAGTGAGTTTTTAAATCCTGAGTTCTAATTTGATTGCATTGTGGTCTGAGAGGCAGTTTGTTATGATTTCTGTTCTTTTACATTTGCTGAGGAGAGCTTTACTTCCAATTATGTGGTCAATCTTAGAATAAGTATGATGTGGTGCTAAGAAGAATGTATATTCTGTTGATTTAGGGTGTACAATTCTCTAGATGTGTATTAGATCCACTTGGTCCAGAGCTGAGTTCAAGTCCTGGATATCCTTGTTAACCTTTTGTCTTGTTGATCTGTCTAATATTGATAGTGTGGTGTTAAAGTCTTCCATTATTATTTCGTGGGAATCTAAGTCTCTTTTTAGGTCTCTAATGACTTGCTTTATGAATATGGGTGCTCCTGCATTGGGTGCATATATATTTAGGATAGTTAGCTCTGCTTGCTGAGTTGATCCCTTTACCATTATGTAGTGGCCTTCTTTGTCTTTTTTGATCTTTGATGGTTTAAAGTCTGTTTTATCAGAGACTAGGATTGCAGCCCTTCCTTTTTTTTGCCTTCCATTTGCTTGGTAGATCTTCCTACATCCCTTTATTTTGAACCTATGTGCATCTTTGCACTTGAGATGGGTCTCCTGAATACAGCACATCGAAGGGTCTTGACCGTTTATCCAATTTGCCAGTCTGTGTCTTTTAATTTGGTCATTTAGCCCATTTACATTTAAGGTTAATATTGTTTTGTTTGAATTTGATCCTGTTATTATGATGTTAGCTGGTTATTTTGCCCATTAATTGATGCAGTTTCTTCTTAGTGTCTATGGTCTGCACGATTTGGCATATTTCTGCAGTGGCTGGTACCAGTTGTTCCTTTCCATGTTTAGTGCTTCCTTCAGGAGCTCTTGTAAGGCAGGCCTGATGGTGACAAAATCTCTCAGCATTTGCTTGTCTGTAAAGAATTTTATTTCTCCTTCACTTATGAAGCTTAGTTTGGCTGGATATGAGATTCTGGTTGAAAATTCTTTTCTTTAAGAATGTTTAATATTGGCCCCAGTCTCTTCTGGATTGTAGGGTTTCTGCCAAGGGATCCACTGTTAGTCTGATGGGCTTCCTTATGTAGGCAACCTGACCTTTCTCTCTGGCTGCCCTTAAAATTTTTTTCCTTCATTTCAACCTTGGTGAATCTGACAATTATGTGTCTTGGGGTTGCTCTTCTCAAGGAGTATCCTTGTGGCATTTTCTGTATTTCCTGAATTTGAATATTTGCCTGCCTTGCTAGGTTAGGGGAGTTCTCCTGGATAATATCTGGAAGAGTGTTTTCTAACTTGGTTCCATTCTCCTCGTCACTTTCTGGTATACCAATCAAATGTATATTTGGTCTTTTCACATAGTGCCATATTTCTTCAAAGCTTTATTCATTTCTTTTCACTCTTTTTTCTCTAATCTTGTCTTCTCACTTTATTTCATTAATTTGATTTTCAATCACTGATATCCTTTCTTCCGCTTGATCAAATTGGCTATTGAAGTTTGTGCATGTGTCACAAAGTTCTCATGCTGTGGTTTTCAGCTCCATCAAGTAATTTAAGGTCTTCTCCACACTGTTCTAGTTAGCCATTTGTCTAACCTTTTCTTCAAGGTTTTTAGCTTCCTTGTGATGGGTTAGAACATGCTCCTTTAGCTCAGAGAAGTTTGTTATTGCCTACCTTTTGAAGCCTACTTCTGTCAACTCATCAAACTCATTCTCCATCCAGTTTTGTTCTCTTGCTGGCGAGGAGCTGAGATCCTCTGGAGGAGAAGAGGCACTCTGGTTTTTGGAATTTTCTGCTTTTCTGCTCTGGTTTCTCCCCATCTTTGTGGTTTTATCTACCTTTGGTCTTAGATTTTGATGAACTACAGATGGGGTTTTGATGTGGATGACCTTTTTGTTGATGTTGATGCTATTCCTTTCTGTTTATTAGTTTTCCTTCTAACAGTCAGGCCTCTCAGCTGCAGGTCTGGTGGAGTTTGCTGGAGGTCCACTCCAGACACTGTTTGCTTGGGTATCGCCAGCACAGCCTGCAGAACAGCAAATATTGCTGCCTGATCCTTCCTCTGGAAGCTTCATCCCAGAGGGGCACCCACCTGTTTGAGGTTTCTGTCAGCTCCTACTGGGAGATGTCTCCCAGTCAGGCTACATGGGGGGGTCAGAGACCTGCTTGAGGACGCAGTCTGTCTGTTCTCAGAGCTCGAACACCATGCTGAGAGAACCACGGATCTCTTCAGAGCTGCCAGACAGGGATGTTTAAGTCTGCAGAAGCTGTCTGCTGCCTTCTGTTCTGCTATGCCCTGCCCCCAGAGTTGGAATCTGGGGAGGCAGTAGGCCTTGATGAGCTGCAGTGGGCTCCGCCCAGTTCCAGCTTCCTGGCTGCTTTGTTTACACTTTGAGCTACTCAAGCCTCAGCAAAGGCAGATTGCCCTACCCCCGTCAAGCTGCAGTGTTACAGGTTGATCTCAGACTGCTGTGCTAGCAGTGAGCAAGGCTCTGTGGGTGTGGGACCTGCTGAGCCAGGCTGGGAGGGTATCTCCTGGTCTGCTGATTGCTAAGACCATGGGGAAAGCACAGTATTTGGTCAGGAGTGTACCATTTCTCCAAGTACAGTCTGTCATGGCTTCCCTTGGATAGGGAAGGGAAATCCCCTGACCCCTTGCACATCCTGGGTGAGGTGATGCCCTGCCCTGGTTCAGCTCACCCTCCGTGGGCTGCATCCACTGTCCAACCAGTTCCAGTGAGATGAACCATGTACCTTAGTTGGAAATGAAGAAATCACCCGTCTTCTTCGTCGTTCTTGCTGGGAGCTGCAGACCGGAGCTGTTCCTATTCAGCTATCTTGGAAGCGACCACATGATGTTTTAAAGGGGAGATAAGGTAACGCAAACTCCAAGATGTGCTTATTTCACATTGAATGCCTGTATCGAAATATCTGTCATACCCCATAAAAATATACACCTACTATGTACCCCCCAAAATTAAAATATATATATATGTGTGTGTGTATATATATATATATGGAATATAACAAACTGTTAGAATGGACTGGGGATTGCCAAAAGGCTTTTTTGACCATTAAAGAAAAGTTGATAACAGGTCTTGTATTAGGACTCCCCAGTATAAGAAAGCCCTTTGACCTATTTTTGCATGAAAGACAAGGAACGGATTTAGGAATGATAACCCAATATTTAGGGAACATCAAGAGGCCAGGTCCATACTTCTCAAAACAATTGGGCACTGTCACAAAAGGATAGTCATCTTGCCTTAGGGTTATTGCTGCCACCTGTGATTTTCTTTAGGAAGCAGAAAAGTTTACTCTGGCCCAGCCAACTACAGTGCACACACCCCACTATGTACTTCCTTTACTGGAACAAAAAGGAAGCTATTGGTTGATTTCTAGAAGCCTATGACAATATTATGCCATCCTCCTTAATAACCTAAATGTGATGTTGAGAGCTGATATTACTTAAAATCCTGCCACCTTGCTTCCTCAGATAGCATCTAAACCTATGCATGACTGCTTACAAATTATCCAACAAGTTAATTCTAGCTGGCTAGGTTTGATTGACATACAATTGGAAGATCCAGATCTAGAGATGTTCACTGATGGAAGTGGCTTTATGGACCAGGAAGGAAAAAAAAGGTTGAGTATGCTGTGGTGATACACCAGCAAGTTTTGGAAGCTGAGGCACTTCCCCCAGAACATTAGCACAGAAAGCAAAACTCATTACCCTCACCCACATCCTCCAACTACGTGAAGACTCAAAAATGACTATCTACAGAGATTCCAGGTATGCCTTTTCTGTTATCCATACTCATGGGATTATTTGGGAAAAAAAAAGAGGGTTTTTAACTGCTGGCAACAAAGAAATTAAACATGCTAAAGAGATTTTAGCTCTGCTAGAGGCAGTCATGGGCTCCAAAGAAGTGGCTGTAGTTCATTGCGTTGGGCATCAACAGACAGACAGTTTGGTGGCAAAAAGCAATAATCAGATAAGGCTGCAAAGACCGCAGCAAGAGAAAAGATCCCCCAAACTTTACTAACACCATTAACACCTGGAATAATCCTTGACCTTGAACTACCTACATACTCAGAGGAGGATCTAAAAGAGCACTCGATTGGGGTTTTGACCCCAGTTGAAAAACACAGGATGGATGGATACATAACCAAGAGGGGATATTCCTAGTATCTGAATGCCTCATGGATGGCATTGTTGGACATACTCAGGGAACCACTCAGTATAGGTGGGATGCCCTTCTCCATTGGAGTCAGAGATATATTGTTCACCCATGTATGCATAAGATTTTTCAAATGGTCATACAGAAGTGTCTCTCCTGGGTCTGGAGTAACCCAAAAACTGGCCCTCCACCCATGATACAAGGAGTCCAGGCACGGAGTGAAGGGCCAACTTGGGGCTGGTAGATTGACTTCACCATGATGCTGAGGGTGGCAGGAAACTTTAAATATCTGCTCATGTTTGTAGATTCTTTTTAAGGATAGATTGAGGCATTCTATTGCAGAGCAGAGAAGATATCTGAAGTTGCTAAGGCTCTGCTTTAAAAACAATCATCCCTCAGTTTGGCTTGCCCATTTCTAATCAGAGTGACAATGGTGCCACCTTTGTGGCTAAAGTCACTAAGGATGTCTCTCAAGTCCTTGGCATAACATGGAAATTCCACACAGCCTGGAGGACCCACAAAGAAGAGTGAAAAAATGAATCATGTCCTGAGAAAAGGCTTTAGTTAAGATTTGTCAGGAAACCAACTTGACCTGGAATAAGGCTTTGCCTATTTCCCTGCTCAGAGTAAGAGTGGCTCTTAAAATCAGGATCAAATTTAGTCCTTTTGAAATGCTATATGGGATGCCCTTCCCATGCTCCACCCTTGGAATAAAGGACCCCAATAATATACACAAAAAAGAGTGAGACACTGTCAGGTATGTGCAATCCTTAGGCCTGATTCTCCTGCCATTCATAAATTTGCTTCTAGCAGATTGCTGTTTCCTACAAATGTGCCCTTTCACCCTAGTCAGCCTGGAGACTGGATGTTATTGAAGACCTGGAAAGCCAGCATCCTGACAACTAGGTAAAGCCTCAGTAGAACAGATCACATGAAGTCTTGCTGGAAACTCACTTCTCCATAAAACTCATGGGGATTAGACCTTGGATTCAGCACAGACACGTAAAGTCAGCCCCATCTGACTCAACCAAAGTGCATCCTGATTAATGCTTAATTATAACTATTTTTTTCTGCCCAGAATCCAGCATGTAATTCTTGTAAACTTTATGGGGGCGGTTTCACCATGGTGAGCTTTCTTTGGGGAAAGATGCTAAAACTTAAAATATCTCTGGCTCTGACTTGGGTCAGAGCCAAGCTCTGAGCCTACCAACAACCAGGCTCAAGAGTTTCTTTCCATATTACCTACAAATGTTCTAGAAATAAAACACCTTTTCTGCTTCATGCCCTTTCTTCCTGTGACATAAGTTTTATTTTCCAAGCGAGGCCTTGTCTAAATTGAAAATCTTAGGTTCAGGTGTGAGTGCACCTTTCCTTTATGTACTAGCTTCAGCCAACTTTTGTCACTATTGATACCTTTAGTCCTATCACAACTCTAAAGCCCTAGCAACACTTTCTTAAATACCAGCTGCTCATTCCTTGTTCTCTCATTTTCAAACTCTACAGATCCTGTGAACTGTTCTAGATCACCCAACTATGCAAAACCAATTTGTTCCTTTAGTGAATGTCAGGCTCTTCTGGTAAACATGAGTAACCACCACTGATTAGAGGTAGTCTCTATCCTACAATCTCCTAACTAGATGGATGTTAACTCACAATGAAAGCAGATCTCAGATGAAAATCTTCCAAGCAGAATGCACTTATTAACAAGCAGTATAGTCATGGAACTTCTTAGCTTGGGAAAATTTCATTCATTTGCCCTTAGTTCCATAGACCAGCATCTTCCATGAAATATTCGCTCTGAGTGTTACATAAGAGAGTCTGATGGCAAGATCTGCTGGCCTTGTAATTGGATCCAGTGGCAAGATGTCTCCAGGTCAAAGTCTCTAGGGTTGGCTTGCAGCACTCTGGGCATTGCTGAGCTTGCTCTTTGTAGACCTTATTCATGCAAGGAGTTTGGGTCCTCTTAAAGTCTTCTTAGCTTCAAATCCCATTACTATTATCGCCAAAAGATTATTATAGGTCTTATGCTAATTAATAAGCCTAAAACAGGTTGATTTATACTGAAAATTTTCTTAGGTTAATTAACCCCACCATAAGATGTTAGTTAAATTTAAATTGCCTATACACATATGTCTACTACTTATACTAAAATGTCTACAGTTAATTGCACCAGGAAATATCATAAACAAACCAGCTGGTGGTGGTGGTAGAGTGTTTGAGAGGGTTCCTCAGTGAGCTCCTAGATGACTTGTAAATTCAATGGTTTCTTAAAGTTAGTCACCTTTATGGCTCAGACATAGCCCTAGGTAGAAATAGATGGCAGGATTGGTTTCGATGGCAAAGTCCCTTAAAACATTTCAGTCTATGATTTTCTAATGTCAGTGTTCTTCTTTATCCATCAGACTTTAGTCCTATATTATAGCTAAATAATAATAGATCATTCTATTTTAGGCAGAGATACTAAGGCAAGATTTGATGGATGTCAGTTCCTGAACACTGGCAATAACCTACTTGAAGTTTTATCCTTTGAAGCTAATAGCCCACTGGCCTCTATCATTACCACCTACATTGAATGGCTCATGCTTGCAATCCCATCACTTTGGGAGGCTGAGTGGGTGGATTACGAGGTCAGGAGTTCAAGACCAGCCTGGCCAAGATGGTGAAATCCTGTCTTTACTAAAAATACAAAAATTATCCAGGCGTGGTGGCAGGTGCCTATAATCTCAGCTACTCGGGAGGCTGAGGCAGACAATTGCTTGAACCTGGGAGGCGCAGTTTTCAGTGAGCCAAGATTGCAACATTGCACTCCAGTCTGGGAGACAGAGCAAGACTTGGTCTCAAAAAAAAAAAACAAAAAACAAAAAAAAACTTCCTTATTGTGAACCAAATACATCATTTCCTTTTGTTCCTTTTGCTGGCCTACCTTGATTGAATTTCTCTCCCACTTTTTTACCAACACAAAATGTGTCCTCGTCTCATTTCTCATAAGTGTAGAGAGGCAGTGACGTTATCTTCAGCTCCTAGTTCCCCATAGGCTCTTTATGACAATAGCAACAGTCCAAATAATTGGACTATAGATTTAATTTTAGGCATAGGAAATGTTATCTTTGAAAGTAACATTATACATCACATTTTGAGCTTGTTATACATTTATTTGTTCTTTAATTTTTTTCAACAATGATTTATTGCATGCTTACAAGGAATCAGGCAATGCACCAATTCAAGGATATACAATGTTAAATAAAAATAAGCAGGACACCTGAACTCATGGAATATATAGCACTGTTGGTTAACAGATGTTAATAAAATAATCACACACAACAATTAAAAAACTGAGACAAGATATCTTTTAAAAAAAAAGCACATTTAACAAGGGAACATAACAGAGACTGGTGGTGGGGTTACTATGTCAGGGAAGGCTTAAGGAAGTGCTTCCTAATTTCTTCTAAGAGGAATGAATAGATGCAAATCAGGTAAAGGAGGTAGGAGGCTTCCATCAGAGGAAACATGTGCTATGATGCCCCATGGCAGGAAAAGAAATGCCATTAGGGAGCCTGGCATATTTCAAGTACTGAAAGAAGGCTGGTGTTCTTGGAGCAAGGAAAATAATGATTCCACACCAGATAGGAGCCAAGGCATACAAGACATCAACCATGTAAGGAATCTAGTCTTGAACTTAGGAGAAATGGAAAGTATTTGAAGAATTTTAAGTTATGCAGTGACACGATCAGCTCTGTATTGCGACAAGATCACACAGCCTACTGCATTGAGGCCAGGCTAGAGAGGGTCAAAATGGAGAAGGTGAGAACAGGTGAGCTACTATAAACGACCTTTAAGAACTTTTTGGCACAGTCTTTCATTCATTTGTTAATTTACTCATGTTTATTCACTTGTCTATTGTACTTTCTATTAATGTTTATTGAGCACTTACTATCTGGAAAGCACTGTGAGGAATATAAGGAGAGAGAAATAGTTTCTGTTCCCTCAAGGGCTTATTAAAGACAAGTACATTTTTCTTTTCACAATTTGAATGCTAAATTGTCTCAATGGTTTGATGTTGATTGACTAGCTAAAAGCAGTTTAAACCCATAAATTTTTGCTCCAGTGAATTGTGCAATGACAACGAAATAGTTCATATTAAAACCTGTAACTAACTGGCCTTTTCTACCTTGTCAAAAATCTCTGAAAAAGGCCTCAAAGTTCTCATTGTATTTTTAGGTCAGAGCCGATTTCTTTTGTTTTTCTTTATGTAGTGAAAACATGGAGATATCTTCCTACATGCATTTCTACTCAGAAGCAGTTTTTTTTTTTTAATCGTCTCTCTTTCACTTTAACATCTAACAGTTGCTGTCACATCAGTCCTCTTTTCCTTATCCCTTCTTTTTAAATCATTTTCTATCCCATTTCTAATACCTGTCAGATGATTTGATAATCAGAGTTCCTGTTGGAACTCAATGAATATCATCCACCTACCCAATGTCTGTGCCACTATAAGGAAGAATGAAACGGAAATTTAGAAGAAATGTTTTTCAAGAACAATCTCAGACTTTTTCTCAACCCCTCTGGGTGTTTAGGTGGAGGAGAAATAAAGATAAAAACAGTTAAGAAATGGGAAAAAAACATAAATACAACCAAAGACCCATGAAATAATTTGGTTTAGGCTTAGGCAAGCAAGTATTTATGGGCTGTGATTTTTGGATCTTTTAAAAAATCTTCTTTGCCAGAAAAGATTTTATATACCACTTCATCAATCAATATTTGGTATTAAAACAAGACAAAAAAACTTTGCTTTTCTCCTCATATTTCAGCTGTAAGGAGAGATCAAGTTATTCTGTAGTAGATACTACTCCAAATTTTAGAGGCTTAAAGCAGCAAATATGTATTTCTCGTCCATGCTATAAGTTCAGTGCCAGTCAGTTAAGAGTTCCGAACTTTGTCATCCTCATTCAAGGACCCACTGAGCAACCAGCACTATTTGGAGCATCACTGGTCATACCCAGGTAACAGAGAAGGAGTAAACATGGTGAATCAGACACTTATTCGTCCAGTTTCCATCTGGAAATGGCCTAAGTCTGTTTAGCTTCCCTATCATTGGTCAGAGCAATTTTCATTAGCAACTCTAATTTCAAGGAAAGTGAGAAAATTTGATCTGTTCTTACATCTATGCTGGAAACTGGCAATATTTGCTGGAGAGCAATAATGCTGGAGAGCACCATCATTAGCCTCTATAAAAATGTCTCCCTCCCCACCAAAATATTTTGGAATAGTTTGTTATCTTAATTGTTTGTTATCCTATTTTAAGGATAATTTGTTAACTCTTAATTCATAATGCAGAAAATTTTCATGTTTCTCTTTTCCAACTGAATACATGCTGGATACCCAGAAATCACAGAAAAAGGAAGAGCAACTTTTAACCATATTTCACTCTAGGGCATGGGTAGGAGGGGCAGCTGGACGCCTTCACGTTGACAAATGAATTTAGCTCTCTAGGTGTTACAGATTTGGGCTTCATTTAAACATGTGACTTTTTAAAAAAAATTCAGGCAGATCAAGCCAATTTAAAAAATAAAGCCCCTCTTGACTTTTCAATTCAATTAATATAATGGATCAATACCATGCATTTGAGTGGATTTAATAGTATTGCTTATACAGAGGCCTTTACCCAGAAACACAGGCAGGGATGCCCATCCATGTGCAGCATAAGCACTCACATTCCCATCTGCTTAAATAGACACTGTCTTCTTATCTGTATGCACTCTTATAAACACACATTTTCCCATATGCCAAAAGACAAGTGCATACACAAATGCAGATGTATGCTATGTAGGAATGCTAATGAGAAAGAGGGAGGAAAAGGGGACATTAGAGAACTAACGAAAGATGGAAACAGGCCGAGCTGGAATAAAAAGGAGGGCATAGGATACTAAAAGGAGGACAGGAGAAAAAAAAAGACCAGAAAAAAAATGAGGGAATGAGGGAAACAATGTATTCATGAGAAAAAATAATCTAATGCAAAGTAAGAGAATGTAGGTATATGTGCTGGGCTCTGACAGGTCATTCTGTGAATGTGGGAGCTTGAATGTGGGTGGGAAAGAGTGGATGGGAACATATTCACACTCATGGGAAAAGGTAAGAGCCAAAAGAATCAACAAACTCAAGTGCTGTGCATGCAACTAAATCTCATCAACTGAATGTGGAGGCAGTGATCTAACAGCTTTCAAATACTTCAGTAACACCAGCAAACACTGTGTAGTGTTGTCTATGATCCATGTGTTGTTCTGTGCACATATATCAACTCATAAAATACTTGTGATGACCAAAAATAGTAGGTTCTACAAATACTTTTATTCTTCAGGTAAGAAAACTAAGACAAGGTAAGGCTAAGGAATTTGTCAAAGGTTGTATAGTGAATAAGCAGCAGGATTCGGATTTAGAACCAGAGTCTGAGCTCTTAACCTCAACTCTCTGTAACATCTCATTCCTCTGAAGGAAGGATTATGATTCCCATATACATATTGTTTTAGTTCATTTTGCATTGCTATAAATAAATACATGAACCTGGATAATTTATAAGAAAATAAGTTTATTTGGCCTATGGTTCTTCTGGCACTGTACAGGACCAGCATCTACCTCTGGTGAGGGCTTCAGGCTGCTTCCACTCATGGCAGAAGGCATTGGAAAGAAGGCATCACATGGAAAGATGAAGAAAGAAAGAGAGAGAGAAGGCAGTGCCAAGCTCTTGTAACAATCAGATCTCAAGGGAGCTAATAGAAGAAGAACTCATTCATTACTGGGGGAGGGCACAAAGACCTTCATGAAGGACCTGCCCCCATAACCCAAATACCTCCCACTAAACCCCACTTCCAATACGGAGGATCAAATTTTAACATGAGATTTAAAGGGGACAAATATCCAAACTATATCACATATGAAGGTACAGATGCTCATGTCCTCAAGAATTTCCTGAAAGATGATATATGCTTGATTCTGCCTATGCATGTAGAAGGTAAAGATAGCTTAGATGAGTCTCCTTCTGCCTTTAAATAGCTCACTGTTCAATAGGGTGAGTGCTATGATCTGAATGTTGTGTTCTCCCAAAATTCGCGTGTTGAAATCCCAATCCCTGTGGCATTAGGAGGTGAGGCCTTTTGGGAGATACTTAGGTCCTGAGAGCAGAGTCCTAATTAATGAGATTGGTGTTCTTATAGAAGAGACTCCAGAGAGCTACCTCCCCCTTTCTACTATGTGAAGACATGGCAAGGGGCACCATCTATGACACTGAATCTTGCAGTGCCTGGATCTTGGAGTTCTTGACTTTCAGAACTGTACAAAGTAAAATTATGTTGTTTAAAAGCTACGCATTTTATGGTATTTTGTTATAGCAGCCCCAAATGACTAAGACAGTGTGATAGAAAAGTTAATAAATAAGTTCAGTTGAATATTCTAGGTTTAATGTTAAATGCCTGTGCTAAGTTCAACAGGAGTAAAAAGTAAGGCATGATAATTTTATCTGGAAGAAGAAGTAGTTTACATGGCTGAAACTTGGAGTGTTCATCAGGTAGATAGGGTGAACGTGGCATTCCAGTAGGGGAAGACAGTGAGAAACAAAAGCATAGAGACATGAAACCACTGGCTCTTGAGAGAAATGCAAAAAGTTATGTTTGCAGGAAGCATAGAGGAAAGAATGATGCTTGAAAAATGAATGCTGGCTATGGATGTGTGTGCATGTGTGTGTATGTGCATGCATGTGTGTGCATGTGTGTAACAAGGAGTGTGCAGAGAAAGCAGAGTTGAGACTGGAGGTATAAGCTATAATTTGAAGTCAGATGTGATATGCAAAAGAGTTTGCACCTTATACTGTTCTCAAGAAAACATTTTAGATGGCTGAGTGACACTATCAAAATTAGTTTTAGAAACATTTTTGTTGTTTCAATGGAAGATAGATTGGAGAAAACGAAGATCAGAGGCAGAGAAACTAATTAGTAGGCCACTATTTATTAGTATTGCAGTATTCCAAGTGAGGATAGAGATAAGGCTATGGAATTGGTAATGAATAGAATGGTTCAGATGATGGATAGATAGGAGGTACTTTCTCAGCGATAGTAATTGTGTGTGTGTGTGTGTGTGTGTGTGTGTGTGTGTGTGTGTATGTGTATGGTACTGGTGGGTGGTTGAGAAAGAGTCTAGAATGAATATCTCCCAGTGTTCAGGATTTCCATAGGGGAAAGGTGAAAAGGTAGAGGAAAAAAGGTATCTAAGCACTGATAGTCAGTGATGGACAGAGATAGAGCTCTAAGAGGTAACAGAATATGTCATAGCTAAGACTGCCCAAGGTCAGGCTCTGGAACCAAGGCTCCCAATTTGTATTCCAAAGTGCTTAACTTTACGAAGATCAGCAATTATTTATTGAGCATCTATGAGCAAGCCACTCTCTCAAATACAAAAAGTCTCTACCAAAGAGAAATGATCTATATTTAAAATCATTTGATATCCATAATTAATTTGCCATAGCATTATTCACTTTTTCTTAGAAATAATTGGTTTCTATTTTCTCTTTCATGTCGCACTGATTGACCATAAAATGCCCATAGCCTGATTATATTTTTCGTTTATTTCTTCACTATATATACCCTCTGTTCCTCTTAAGATGCAAGTGTTTTGATGCTATAAATAATGATATTGGAATAATCCTTCAGTTGGACCAATCTTATCCCACCTGAGGTGTTTATAAATGGGTTCAAATTAGGTCCTGGACTCGCTATGTTTTCTGATTTTGTTGTTATTGTTGTTGCCTTTGTCTGAATAATTGCGCATGATAAGGTGTTATTACAAATAGTATAGTAGTTACGGAAACTCTGGAGCCATGTTGCCAGGGCTCTACTCCTTTTGCCAGCACTGTGAGACCTTGAGTCGGCTTAATATTTCTGTGTCTAAACCTTCTTATCAGTGAAATGGAAATAATAATAACTTCTTACTTTTGAAGATTAAATGAGTTAATACAAAACACTGAGAATGGAATCTAAGCTGTTATACCAATGAAGACATTACAGGTTTCCTTTTATTCTTGTCATTACTATGAATATCATTTAAAGGACATGTCTCACAGGTAAAGCTGCTGATCATGTAGCCGCTTATACTTCATTAACAAGCATAGTTTTCAGTGAGGAAATTTTTGGTTTGAATTACCAGAGTTTTATCTTTGTTTTAGAAAGGAATTGATTAACCTAAAAATAAATTATACCTATAATTTCAAGAAAGGAAGGTAAAATAATTTTCTTACAAATAATTCTTATGTGTGTCTTGTTGTAAATTGTTTTAAAAATCTCAGAAACCACCAGGATATCCTGAATGCTTGATATATTCAATTTGCAAGTTGGATGAGAATTTGTAAAATTACTTGGTAAACAGAAAGTTACTAATTCTATTTGAAGAAGGTAATGTGCATAGTTTATCCAAGCTAATACACATGATATATTTAGCTCTAATGAAATGTGACCTAGATCCGTGAATGTAAGAGAGTAGTTTCGGAATTATTTGTTTGTGAAACTAGTTACTTCCACTTTACAGCTGTTTCTTCTCTCAGAACCTTGGGGCCTAACCCTCCATCTAAATGCAACATATGGGAAAAATAGAGCTTGACCAAGTCCTGGTTTTGAATTGATAATTGTCAGCTAAGAATTTGCACCGGTTTTGTCTCATTTTGTCTTTCAGTAATGTGGTGAATATGTGAGAACTGACATATACTCCAGGTCCACTTTGAAATTAGTTAACTAGTTCAATGGGAAAAAGTAGAAGATAATATTAAATTGTTTGAAAACAGAATAATCTGTGCTTCCGTTCCTAATTTTTCATAAATTTGTATTCTCATTCAAATGAATGAATCACATAGGAATGTATGTAGTTAAAGTATACACAAATTTATTATATGAAATATGTGCTGAGAGTTTAAAAAGTTAAATATAGTGAGATGCTATTCTTGTTGAAGTAATTATGATATTGCTCTTTAAAGCATGTAAAGATCATCATGATCCAATTCATGTAGTAGTAAGATTAAATGTATTTTGTAGAATTGTGGTATTTAAATGCTATTCTTATTAAAATATTCTTGTCTATTTTTATTAGTTCTGATATATATTTATCTACAGATATATTAGCATATTTGTATATATGTATGTATGCATATAAGTGTACAATAAATATAGGTGTATTATATATATACATATGTAATATATATACTTCTATACACATATCACTCTATAGAAAGCTTAAAGATTAATGAAGTCCCCTAGGGCATATAAAGTAGTAGCTCTCTATAGCAGTAATGCTAGGCTGAGCTCTAAAAATGGAAGCTGTACAAAATATCTGTTCAAGAACATGAACAGTTTTTATAACAAATCTTAAAATTGTACAATATTGTGAGATGTCAGCTAATAAGAAATCAGACAAAACCAAGATCTCCCAATTCTTCAGCTTTCTTTTATTCATGGTCTTTATGTGGAAATTTCCTTAAGGATTTCAGCGTTGGGGTTGGGGAATATGTAAGAAGTGACCACCTCCACCCACCAACCTAATTTGTTGATCAGTAATTCAAAGAGGTTTGAAACAGAAGGTTTTGTGCTGCCCAAGCCTGGATGGGAATGGATTTACTGGCAACCAATTAGTTGTCAATTCTTCCTCAGGATTGGTTGCCTTAGGACATGCTCTGAAAGGAGTGGGTAGGAAGAGCTTAGTCACGACCCACACAGGCTGGCTCAGATCTCAGGCAGTTAACCTGCACTCTATCACAAAGAGCAGAGAAGAAAATCTGGCTGAGTTTGTCAGCTGTTTGAGGAAGCTGGATAATCCTCCAAATTTCCAGAGAAATTTGTCTGGGCTAGTAATACAACAAAATAGCAGTATAGATATGGCTAAACACCAGAAATCTGCTGCCCACAATCAGCTTTTCTAGTTCCATTTCCTTTAATGTGCTTTGAAGTTTAAGTTACAGCTATCCAACATTTAAAATTGTAAAACATTTTGTGAGAACTAAAAATCAAGGTTTTATAATGAAAACTTTTAAATTTAGTTTTTACTGTGGGTCATTCTCCAGTAAATGCATCTCTAAATCGGTGGGATGTAGTAACATACACTTACAGAAAAAAAACCAAAATGGTGAAAAACATTCAAAGCAGCTTGAACTTTGTGAAGTGTCATATAAGAGGGTCATATGTCATTGAAATTACATATTTAATAAGGGTGCTAATGGGAAAAGCTAATTCCTCAGAACAAACAATTCCAATTGATATAAATGTTGAACGAAAAAAATTAAAACATTTATAATTTGATATTAGAATCCAGGAGAAGACCTTATAAGTATTAGAATAATATATGAATATATTTACAAAAATTGTGACATTCATTAAAGAAAAATTTTGTTGGAGCATAGCAATTAAGGCTGGGAAGAAACCATACACTGCTTAACTTCCATTATCAAAATATCAACAATTTATTAGTAATATAAATGGAGAGGTGATAGAGATTTTAATGAAGATTGACTCACAGAAATGGAAAATAGGAAAATACAGTAGCAAGTGAACTGTTCATGCCAAGTATAAGATACTTAGGTTCTCTGGTTGCAAGGTTTTAAATGGCATGCTTTTTATCTTTGTGAATTTCAATTAGACTCTGCAATGGGCAAGTCAGGAAAAGAATATTAATGATGGAGGAGAGAGCTGGGTGGTGTTCCATTCTTCACAGAGCAAGCTAAATAAGAGAGCAAATGTTTGTTTAGGTTGTAACATATTAAATGCTCATCCAGAAAATGGTGATTAATAGATTAAAAAGGACAGCTGGAAATATTTACAATGTAAAGGTTTTACTCTCCTCCCATAATCTTCAAAGCAAAGCTAAAATTTACTGTAGATTAGCAGTGCCTGTTAGAAAAACTGCACCATCTAGGAAAAACATCTGAATTTTTGGTGCATAACTAACAAAATTGAAGTGTTTGGCACATATTGACTCTGAATGTAAAATGACAGAAACGTATCAGCATACTTATCTCTCTCTCTTTTTTCCTTTAAAGTGTCTAACGTTTATAACAACTTCTGGAGGAGATAAACACTGGCTCTGCTTTGCCTTAGTAAAATGTGCATAACATTCTGTCTTCTGTGCAGTACAAAAAGGAAAATGTCCCCCCCTTTTTTTGTTGTTCAAGTTGCACGTTTGGATTCTATCGCCTCAGATAAAACAGAACAGAAATGAGACAGATCAAACACACAATGCTGAAAGTGTAAGATGGGACTGGAATTCCAAGTCCCTTTGCCAGCAAAAAGCCCTAAAGGGGGAAAACCTCAAACGTTGTTACCTTTCCTCCCACTGGGGAATGAGTTGCAGAGGTAGTAGAAACACAGCAGGTCCGTTTTTGCTCCTGGGTAATGTAAACTTTTTGGAGCTGTTGATTGAGTTTGATCACCTGCTAGGGAGGGCGCCTGTGAAAAGAGGTTGGAAAAGGATTGCTGGAAGTGAGCGGGAGGTTTCCCAAGGTGTGTGTGTAATCTGCAAATGGACTTTACTGACTGGCTCAAGGGAATTCTCCAGCTCTCAGAGCTTTCAGGGGAAATCGGTCTTTATTGCGGGAGTGTGAAGGAATGAATGGTATATCAGGAGGGTTAAGGAATCAAATAAACTTCCTGCTGTCTGATTTCACGCAACATGCTTTGAACTTGGTCCTGCGTGGATGCGTTGATGACTAAGTAAAGGCGTGATTAGTCCCCTTGCCCTCCAGCAGGAGCGGAACCTCTTTACCTCTTAGCAGCCACGTCGCTCCACAGTAGGGTGATGTTGGGGGACGGGCGGCAGGGCGCGGCCCCAGGGATCTAGGGCATCACCGCCACACTACATTCCCGGCTTTACACCAACACCCAACAGCAGCTCTGTCAGGAACCTTGGGGCCTCTCGGGAGCCCCAGCAAGCGGCCTCGGGGAGCAGCCCGAGGCTGCGCGTGGGCTCCGCTCCTCCGGCGAGGTGTGGGCGAGGGGAGCGGCGCTCCGAGCGCACCCAGGCGCCCGACGCCGCCCGGGTCTGCGCCGCTGCTAGTGCCAGGCGGGCGACGGTCAGTTACCAGGGATCGAGGGATCGAGGCAGGGGAGTGTGTGTGTGTGGGGGGGGGGGAGGGGGGGGAGGGGGGGCCCTGCCTTCCCGGGAACCTCCTTAGCCCTCCTACCCGGCCTGACTCCTCCTCCTCCAGGCGCGGGGCTCGTGCCCGCCACCGCCGGCGCGCACCGCGCCTCCGCCCGCGTCCCCCCAATTTCCCCCCCCGGCCCCAGCTCCTGTCATCGTTTTCCCCCTCCTCCTCTTCCTCCTCCTCCTCTTCCTCCTCCTCCGCCCATCACCGCCACTACGAACGCCTTCGCCTCCTTCTACACCTCGCGCCGCCGCCGCGGCTCCTAGCGCTCCTCTCCGGCTTCCACCAGCCCATCGCTCCACGCTCTCTTGGCTGCTGCAGTCTCGGTCTCTCTCTCTCTCTCTCTCTCTCTCTCTCTCTCTCTCTCTCTCTCTCTCTCTCTCTCTCCCAAGTTTCCTATCTCGTCAAGATCAGGGCAAAAGGAAGAAAACACCGAATTCTGCTTGCCGTTTCAGGTAGGGTCGCACACGTTGGTCCCGATAGAGACACTTTCCTGTTTGTCTTTGCCTCGCGTGCATGCCTCATCTCCCCCCACCCCACTTTCAGAGGCTCCCTGGAAACGGAGGAGGCTCAATTCCCGCACCTCCCTCCTCCCCAGCGCACTTAAAAAATAATTTCGATACTTATCACCAGAAGCATATTTGCAACTACAATAAAATCCAGGACACCTGCTCGGCAGCACGTTAGCCTGGCTCTTTTATAGTCTTCAACTTTGCTCACTGTGATTACCGCTGCCTGCCTGGCTGGTGTTTGCTGCCGGAGCCTCACGCGCCTTCTCTTATTGTGATCCTCGGCTCCAGAGCAGCTGTCAAACGCGTCGTTTCGCAGCACTTGATCGGAACCCGGCTGCCTCTAAGACTTGGTCTTGGGCAACCGTGGGTGGGCAGGAAGGGAAATTATTTATTTTATTTTGTTAAGGGGAGTGAAGAAAAGAAGACGTGAGGACCGCAGTTCACTGTAATGTAGAGTAATTGCAAAAGTGGGCTGCCTGCCCCTAGCTTTTCCCGCTGTGGTTGCGGAGGTGGTCTTGGTTGAGGGGGTTGTGGCGTGAAGTACCCATCTCTCCTCTCCTCTCCTTTCCTCCCCTCCCCTCCAACCCATTCCCTTTCCAGCTGCTATGCCAGTTTAAAGTCCAGGGTGTTATTATTACGTGTGCGCAAAACAGTGTTTGCTGACGATGAGGCTGGGGGACGTTCCTGGCAGAGAGAAGTCTGATTACTTGGTCATCTTGCTGTTAAAGAAAGAAAGAAAGAAAAAAAGAAAGAAAGAAACAGAAAGGAAAAGGGTGGGGGTGGGGGTCCATAAAAAAGAAATCGTCTCTCAATCATCAAGTCCTACACAGAGTCCAGGAAGTAATCTCCATAGCTTTAACACGAATCCCTAACTAAAAGGATATTCTTTGGGGTTACTTGGATAGTGAAACTGAAGGCAATTTTAAGTGTATTTTGTTTTTCATTCCATGGCTTTGTAAAGAGCGGCGGTGATGAAGACAAAATTGAACATCTACAACATGCAGTTCCTGCTTTTTGTTTTCTTGGTGTGGGACCCTGCCAGGTGAGATATTTATTGTATTTGACTATTTTAATTCAGGGCAAAGATGTGTTTCTTGTAGGCCATTAATGCTTTTGAAAATCAAGGGTGTTTTAAAGAATTATTTCTCAGAAAAGGGGGTGTATGGGGAAAGTGAACTATGAAGTAATAGACTGTAAAAACTTCACTGCTTCTCGTTCTTAGTGATAAGATCCAAAAGCAAACAGAAACACTTTCCATGCAGAACATTCACAGAAGAAAAGAAAATCCTTTCAATGGCATATTCCTACAAGGAATTGAAGTGATTAATTATAGGCACTTATAATATAACACCAGGATTCGATAAGGAAGCCAAGTTTTCCTTCGAGCTGACAGAAAAGTACCAGCTAAGTGATTTGAGTGTTAACTAATTTTTTTTTTCCTTTTTCTTTTCTTTTTTTAATGGTATGGCTCCTTTAGTCACCATAGAAAACCCAAAAGATGTGTGAGTCTTAAACCTCTAGGTGGAGGTAGTATACAACTTCACAATCACAAACAATGAAACAAAAGCTAGATTTATTAATCATCGACTTTTTGCATTATTAAGATTTTTTTCTCAAATGCTTACAGTCAGGAGTACTGATTTAAAATATGTAATGAATTTTCTTTTGCCTATGCTATAAAAACATGAAATTAATTTTTATTGCTTTCAGTAACTTCATTTTATTTTGTAGACTTTCCTGATTTTCATCATCAGTGGACATCTTTTCTTTAATGCCTTTAGGATATGATTCTCAAAATACCAGAAGACTTAAGATACAAGTTTTATAAGAATGTTCTTGTAACTATTTATTTTTAAAAATCTAATAAGTCTTTATTATACCTTTATTTCTCTTTTAACTTTTTATTTAATTGTCCAAGTAATGGTCAAAGTATGAAAACATTTCTTAGAATTGAGACGCCATCTATCTCATAAAGCCTTGCTTTCATTTGGAAAATATCTACTAATTTAATGACTACATATTGATTTGAGAAAGAAAATATAAAATGTGATTAAGAAACACTTTCAAATGAAAATATGTGGAACTTTATGAACATCTTAGTTATTGGTTTTAAAATTAGCTTAAGTAGGCAATACAGAAACTTTTGAGGCTAGAGGGTATAAAGTGATACACTTATTTAATTTGTAGATGTTTATCTTCATTTGAATACTTTAATATTTTCTCTGCTCTTAAGACAATATTTGTTTGAAGTTGGTTACCAGTTTTTGATGTATTGTGACTATTTATAGCTACTAGGTGTGTAATCATTTAAATGCAAATGGACACTTTTAATAATATTTTATACAATGCACCTTGATCAGAATGTAATTACATATTGTCTTTTATTTTAAAAGAGTGGACAATCCATTATCAATTAATAATCATTGAAAATCTCAGTGTTTAACCATACTTCTCTCAACTAGTTTTCTGTTCTATATTTGACCAGTAATGCTTATGCCAGTATTGTATTCTATTATATAAATGATTCTTTTTTGGGGCCAGCAATTTAAATCTCTGATTCATTCTGAGAAAAAAAAAGACAATGAAAAGGGACATTCTGTTTTATACATTTAGTTGCTTCTGCAACAAATTGCTGCATGTCACAGAATCAGGTGTTTGGCTTTATGATGGAGAAATAATGGAGAAAATCACAATTTCTAAAGCTTTTCTGGTGATATTTTAAGACCATTTGTTCTTTCTACAAAATTGTCACCAAAACAAAGTAACTAGGCATTTTAATCTTTACAATATTGCTCTTCTCAGAGACCAATCAGGAAGAACTAGGCTCTAAGGATCTCTGCAGCTGTGTATGTGTTGCTGATGCTTTCAGAGCCCACCTCCACCTCCTGGCTACATGGAGCCTGGCACATAGCCAGTGGAGTTTCCCTGATGCTTATATTGCACTTGGCCATTGGGTGGAGGTATACCCAAAGTAAGGAAAAAATCCTGATTTAAAAGAGAAAAATACATATGAAAAAGAAAGACACTTATGAGAGAGATAGAAAATATATTTACCTCCAAAAAAGCAATTTATTTTCCAATTAATATTGAAAACGGTTATTTCAGGAGTCTGTTTGATTATTGGAATTTTCTAACTGTAGAATAGCAATACTAATAGTGTTTGCATGTGTTAATCTACAATCATAATATATCCCAGGAGATGGATTTAGAAAGAAAATGAATAGTCCACATAAAATGTTAAAGGGGCAAGAATCTCAAATAATGTTAACATCAAACTTCTGATAATCTACTATTTAGAATCTATTTCAATTTCATGTTTACCTTTTTTGAAGACAAACCGATATTTATAGAAGTTAAAAAAAAAGGAGGAAAACGGGTGGTACTAATAGCTCAGGGAGTGTTAAAATTTAAATTAAGGAAGAAAAGCATGTTGGCATTTGCAAAACACACATATGTATATATATCAGCTTTTAAAATTATCTGTTTAGGTTGGTGCTGGCTAACATCCAAGAAGATGAGGCTAAAAATAACATTACCATCTTTACGAGAATTCTTGACAGACTTCTGGATGGTTACGATAATCGGCTTAGACCAGGACTGGGAGGTAAAAATAGTTTTCCTCTTTTAAAACTCTCGTAAAATAATGCCTTTAAAAGTTAAGGGTAATATTCCTATTTTAATACTTTTATATATGAATGCATCACTGTGTATATAAAATTATAGAAAATAGAAAGTAAGATATATGAAAAAATATTGTCTGTGATTCCTTTTATACATACATAATGTATTTAACATATCTTTCATAGAATGCCTAAAGTCATATGGAGCCCAGACTTTCTGCATGAATAGTTTTTAAATTAACTTTCTCACACTTAGAGTATGTTAAAATCTAGCATTATTGAGCAGATATACATATGAAAGTATATTTCATGTGTAAAGAAAGTATATTTACTTTCTTTGATCATATTTTCATGTCAGCTCAGATACACAGAAATGAGGAACATAAAAAATTTAAGAATATAGTGGTTGTATTTTAACGAATACACTTTTTAGCATTCTATGATGATACTTCTTTACACTTGCATGTGATATTTCTAGAATACAGCACAACTTTGTTATTCTTGAAACTTTCAAAGACATTTCAGATATACGTTAGACATAGGTCTAAAGTTTTGGATTGTGGCACAGTTTGATTTCAAATTTAAACATTTTTTATTCAGAAAAATAAAATAAATATTCAGAAAATTAAAATTTTTAATTCAGAAAAATAAATATATTTTTATTCGAAAAGGGAAAGAAAATTTGGCTTGGCTAATATGTTAAATTTTAATGATCACATTTATCACTTGTTTGTTTCATAATCATTAAGACATTTAGTTTCACAGTTAATTCAAAATTAAGACAAATTAGTTGAACAGTTGATACTAATACAAGATTTATGTAGTTAACCTGGTTATTGCCGGGTTTGGTGACTTTGCAATGCTAAGTTGCTGGAAAAGATTTGTATTAGTCTGACTAAATTCCTGAATATATATGCAAATAATTCTTTTAAAAATATAAGTTTTGTTTATATATATATATATATATATATATATATATGTTAGGCAATTGTATGGTTTGGGTTGTCCATGGGTAAGAAAAAAGTTGGAAGAGACCCAACTGGTTCAATAATATGCCATTTAATTTCTATTAGTTTTTGACTTGAATCCCTGAGTGATATCTTACATTTTAAGAGAGACATCCCAGAGAGGAATAATGTTCACAGGTATGACACATTGTATCCTGAAGGAAGAATTCAGTTGTTTAATATATGCTCAGTTTCTAATAGGAAAAATAAAAAGGAAAAGAATATCTGATTAGTAATTAATATGCCTAACAAGCACGAACATAAGGAATTACTATCCAGGTTAACATATGTGGCAATGAACTATTGGCCAAACTTGTATAAGAGAAGTAAGCCTAGTAAGTAAGAAGTAAGGTTCCCATAATTCACAATCGTGGTTTAAGAGGCATATTGCACTAAGGCAGATGTTTTTCATAAGGCATAGATCATATTATTTTAAAATAAATCACCTGCTGTCAAATTTTAAAATATCCAAGTTAGCCTGTAGACTTTGTCTCTTTGAATTTTTACGAGGAATATTTATCCTCTGGGTATATGGTTAGGTAGTAGAAACTACCTGTTTGAGGACTTATGTATTGCCATTGATCTCCTTATATTTCTTTTGTAAAATCTTGCATCCTTTTTATTTCCAACGCTTGCATTCAAATAGAGATTTACATTACCTTGTTAATTAGGTTAATGCAATACATGAAGTGGCTTTTCTTGAGTTATTCTCTTCCTTCCTCAATCCTCTGATATTGAACATATGCTAATATCTCACAGTCAGGTCAGTCTTCTTTTAGCTTTATACTCCTTTTCATATGTCACTCTCTTCTCTTGATCAAGTGCCAACAGTGGCTCCCCATTTCCTTTGGTAGATGGTGGCGAGGGATAGTGGAAGGAACATATTCCTTGGAGGCAGACAGGTCTAGACTGGAATTCTGCTCCATCCACACACAAAGCTGTGCCTTGGCCATATCACCTCTGTTTCTGTGGCTGTGATATAGTTACCTTTAGGGTTGTTGAGTTGATTATATAAACAAAAAGTGTACACAAAGCATGTGCTACATATTGGCATTTCAATGATATCAATTCTTTCTCTCCTCCCTTAAATTGCTAATTTAACAAGGATTTCCACAGTCTATTTCTCTGGTTTCATTTACCACTTTACCCCACCTCCAATTCTTCCTGCCTTTCAAACACATCTATTTATTTTCTCTTGATAATTCATTCTCATCTATTCCTTTGGCTTTTAGTCATATGATCTCCTCTGACTGGAATCATTTTTTCCTCATCCCTTCTGCTTATCTAAACTCTACCTTTCCTATGCAAATCATCTTAACACCAGTTCTTTTTAGTAAAGATCTTTCTTAACTGAATTGAAGCACCCAGATTAAATTTTCTCTCAAATTTTTTTAACCAGTCACTGGCACTATGTCTCCTGGTACATATTATGTGCTATCATATATGATTTATTACCATTTTATGTTTCTCTTGTTACCTTATTAAGATTAGAAGCTCATTGAGTCAAGATATTGTATAATAAATCCTCCTTTCTCAGCAACTAAATATTGATTTGCATATTGTGGTCATAAAATAAATGTTGATGCTTGATTAACTTTTCTGTGAACAGCTCATTGTCTGGAAAATGGGACTACCCATATCTGGCTGACCTTTTAGTTAGGAATGTTGAGGTGGTATGTTGAGTATCGCTCTTAATGAAGAGAACTTTGCTTTAGACTGGAGATTTAGTAAAATCCTGGTTCTGGGGCTAAGCAGTGTGTGACCTTTCAATCGCTAGCCTCTCTGGATCTATATTTGTCATCTGTGAAACAGGATTTCTAATGACATTCTTAAATTTTTTATGAATATTAAATATAATATATGCAATGAATTTAGCATAGCGACTGGCATTTAGTGGACAGTTAATAAATGACAATAACTAAAAGACTTTGAAGAACTTGCTAAATGTACTGTTTCAAGTTTAAATTATTATCATAATTACCTCTGCATCCAACATTTTTAGTCTGAATGCACACATGTCGTTTCAAATAGAAAACTCAGGGAAATTACCTGTATCATTATTTCCCAGAAATGAATAATAAGGGAAAAATGGGCTCAATTTGATTTTAATGTATCAAACTGCACATCTCTGTTGATGGATAATCTATTTAATTAGTCTCAATTGCTATTTTCTTTCCTTTATAACTATGATATAAATGAGTACATAGAAAAGAGGAACCAGTTTTGAACTATGAGTTAGAAAAATTGTTCTTTTCACCTGGCTCTATCATTACTAGCTCTTATTGTAGACATTTTGAGCCTGGATATTTTCTTTGGGAAAATGGGAATAATAGAATTTTATTCTGAGAGAAGGAGAGTCCATTGTGATTCATTTATATGACAAAGATTATATAATATATTGAGTAACATATTTTAAGGCATTTAACGATTAATAATAGATCCCTTTAAAAATTTAAGTCAGAGCATGCCCCTCAACTGCTCAGATCCTTGCAATGGTGTCCTAGTCATTCAGAATAAAAGTTGGATTTATTTCTTGTGGTGACCTGCAAGGCCCTGCAAGGTTTTTCTCCCCACTCTTTCTTTAACCTCACCTCACACAACTCTCCTTCTTGCTAACATCGCTTCAGTCACATTAGCTTCCTTCCTGCTCTTTGAACACACTGGGATACTCTGTGGAGCCTTTTCCCTGCTTGTATTCTCTTCCCTGGTGTATCCACTGATCTCACCTTCTCAACGAGGTCAACCCTGACCAACTTAATGAAACTCCAACCTGTCTACCCATCAGCAATCCTGATCCCTTTTGCCCAATTTCATTTTTTCTTTGTGCTTCTTTAGCACTTTATATATATATATATATGTGTGTGTGTGTGTGTATGTTTGTGTATATATATATAATTTATTACCATTAATTGCACATTTTTGTCTCTTTTGCTAGAATGTATGCTCTATGAGGTCAGGGATTTTTGCTTGTTTTGCAGCTTGATTCACTGATATATCTATCCTAAGCATCTAGAACCGTGCCTGGCACATAGTAAGCACTCAACAAAATATCTCTTGAATGACTTTCCATTTTATTAGTTGATTTCATTTTTGCTTTCAGTGTGCCACCATGAAAATGATCAACTATAGAGTTGACTTCATCCTTAAAATCAATGGAGTGATTATTTAATTACTACACCAGCCTCTCACTATTAACACCAATATATTTTAAGTTGATTTCTTGGTGAATTGGGATAATTATTACACCAATTACTCAGACTCCTGATTTACAGTACCTGTGATTCTGCCATGAACTAACTGTGTGATTTGAGTGATTCATTTATCCCATCTATGACTTAATTTACTCATCTGTGAAGTGGGAGGAGGAGTTCCACTGATTCTATTTATATCTCGCAGGAATAGTATATGGCTCAAGTACATTGAAATTCTTAAGAAAGTGCAATGTGACATACAATTGATAGGAATTAGTATTGTTAGGTATAGCAGAGGAGAATTCTTCAAGGAGAATATTATGTTAGAAAGTAATATTCTTTGAAAAACATGTCAAGAAAATATTGGTAGGCCTTATGCATTTGGTAGTCTTATTTCATTGTGGGCCTGAAAAATTGACATGGCATTGCCTCAAAATCTTATCTAACAAGACTGTAGATGCAGATTAGCTAGAATTAATAACTGTATCAAGTCTTCTCTTTGTCTTCAATTTAGTCATCAGAGCTAACAAGTCGGGGTATCTCCCATGGATTTTTCTATTTCAGAGGAGGCTTTCACATTGTTAAATGAATAAAAGGAGCAACATTTGTTATTTCGGATCAATTTTATAGGTCATTGGAAAATTGAATGTGTAGACAGGCCTCATATATTTATGATAGCTGGCATCCACATGATCAAGAGTAACAACTATTAGCTATGACAAGCCTTGAAATCTAAATTATAGATTCAGCCTGGAAAATCTAGATTGAGCACCATGCTTAACTGCATTTTGAAAAGCTGTTTCGAGGAGGTTGGCTAGTTAGAACCACCCTCTCCCAACCTGGTACTTTTGTTTTATACTCTGAAACCTTGAAGATGCTTTATGCTTAAAAATCATGAAAAACTTGAGGTCTGAACACAGACTTAGAGTCTGATGGTCAGTTTTCAAATTTACTCTTGGATATTTATCCTTAGACTGTGGAGAGATGTATGATAACATGTTTCCATGGATTTTATTACTCCTCAAATTTATAAAAAAATGAAATAGAGGCTACTGAGTGGGCAAAAATTAATACCAAAAAATCTGATCTCTCCCAGAACCTAAGAGGAATTCTGACCTCAAAAGAGCATTGTATTGCTTCATGAAGTAATGGTTAAGATCAGTACCTGCTTTTGAATTCTGTTCCTATTATATATTAACTATATGACTTTCAGCACATTGCTCAACCTCTCCTTGCTTCAGTTTCTTTATTTGTAAAATTACAAGGCTTATTGGTTTGTTGAGGGCTTATTTTACTTTTTACATCTAATCCCTTTGGACAGTGGCTGGCAAACAGAGTAAGAACTCAATACATGTAGAAATTATTATCGTTATTGTTGGTTCTACTACCACTTCTACTAGAAATGAAATAGAATATATCAACCCATGTCGCATTTAATTTATAAAAGCTTTGACTTCCAAAACATGATAAACTTGGGGCATACAGGATCCAGCTTTAAAGAAAGAAGTTATTTGTGTGTTTCTTATGCATTCAGTCTTATTGTGTGGGCACATCTTTGTACATGAACAAAACCCCTGAAAACAAAACCAATGAAAAAGATGATGCATTTATCTTCACGATTACTGTCATGACATATAAAAATTTGGCACCATCAATTCAAGATAATGAATTTGCCTATAGAAGCAAAGCTGTATTTACAGAATAAAAGCTCATTATATGATATAAATGATGATTTTAGGGACATATTATAAAATTGAAAGCATAGTCACCACCCTAAGCTGGGATGTACCAGACACCTCAACAGCAAAACCTCTGAGTCTTGAAACTTTAGAGTATATATCCTGATGCTTGATCACATCATACTTATCTTTATGATTATGGGTGGTGGAGACATCGAGAGAGAGAGAACATGCTGAGAGTGGTTTGAGATCTCAGTATATAAAACTGTGGAGGCGAGGGGAAGATAGGGAAAGGTAGGTTGCAAGATGAGTAGAAAGAAGAGATTGAGCTGAGCTGTTAAGTAGTTCTAGTCTCAGATGAAGGCAGAGTAAACTCCAGATGTTAAAGCTTCTGCTTCTTTGAAAAGCTGTGATGTTTGGCATTCTCCTCAATCAGGCAGCTGCAGTCAAGGCTGATGCTCCTTCAGAAGCATGAGGCAGCTGAGAATCTAGTCTCTCTGCCTTTCAGACTCAGATTCCTGGGGTCTCCTAAAGTTCACTGAGTAGGATAACCTTCAGAATAAGCCTTCCGCATAAGAAGATTTCAGAGCCCTTTAATGCTCCGCATGAGATCCACCCACTAGGCTCCCTAAAGGTCACAGGGAACACTGCATTTTATTATTTCATGAGTGAGAAAATGAAAATAAATTGGGATGATTTCGCACGTATGTAAATAGCTTTTAATAAAAGTGTAAATGACTGATATCAAGTTATTTGTCATTTCCTATTTATTTAAATTTACTTTGTGGGAGGCATGAGACATGTGCTTGGGTGCCTGAAGTGGGATGCCATTGGGGAGGCTGGAGACTTGTGGACACAGCTTTCAGAGTCAGTTTCTTGAATTTTGCCTGGGGGCTATCCCACTTCTCTCCATATGGCATGGAAATAGCATGCTGATGGACTTCATCACAGTGCATGCTAGGTTAAACTAGAAACACGGTAATGTTAGGTACAGCTTTTTGTGACGCTTTTTAATATTTTGAGGCATGACTAACAAGCATCTTATTGTTTCTGCATACACCTCACTGTGTGTTGCTTGCCCACTCCTTGCTGCAGAATGGGACTAAGATAGGCTTCTTAGGAAATAGTTAGGGTGAGGTAGTTTTGCAGAATTTTTTCTCAGTTGGTTGTCTTAACCAGATATATAGCTTGTGATTGTTTTATAGGAAAGGCAGACTGAATATGTGGCAGCGCTGGTATGTATTATATTAGATAGAAGCACTTTCTCCCCATACAGCAAGTGTCAGGCAAAATTCAAGGTGATGTCAGTAAAGTGCATGGCCCAGAAAATATTGCCTACTTTTTTTTTTTTTTGAGGCAGAATCTTGCTATGTTGCCCAGGCTGGAATACAGTGGACTCAATCTCAGCCCACTGTGGCCTCCACCTCCCGGGTTCAAGTGATCCTCCCACCTCAGTCCCCTGAGTAGCTAGGACCACAGGTGTGTGCCACCACACCCAGCTAATTTTTAAATTTTTTTTTTTTTAATTGATCATTCTTGGGTGTTTCTCGCAGAGGGGGATTTGGCAGGGTCACAGGACAATAGTGGAGGGAAGGTCAGCAGATAAACAAGTGAACAAAGGTCTCTGGTTTTCCTAGGCAGAGGACCCTGTGGCCTTCCGCAGTGTTTGTGTCCCTGGGTACTTGAGATTAGGGAGTGGTGATGACTCTTAACGAGCATGCTGCCTTCAAGCATCTGTTTAACAAAGCACATCTTGCACCGCCCTTAATCCATTCAACCCTGAGTGGATACAGCACATGTTTCAGATAGCACAGGGTTGGGGGTAAGGTCACAGATCAACAGGATCCCAAGGCAGAAGAATTTTTCTTAGTACAGAACAAAATGAAAAGTCTCCCACGTCTACCTCTTTCTACACAGACACGGCAACCATCCGATTTCTCAGTCTTTTCCCCACCCTTCCCCCCTTTCCATTCCACAAAACCGCCATTGTCATCATGGCCCGTTCTCAATGAGCTGTTGGGTACACCTCCCAGACGGGGTGGTGGCCGGGCAGAGGGGCTCCTCACTTCCCAGTAGGGGCGGCCGGGCAGAGGCGCCCCTCACCTCCCTGATGGGGCGGCTGGCCGGGTGGGGGGGCTGAACCCCCCACCTCCCTCCCGGACGGGGCGGCTGGCCGGGCGGGGGGCTGACCCCCCCACCTCCCTCCTGGATGGGGCGGCTGGCCGGGCAGAGGGGCTCCTCACTTCCCAGTAGGGGCGGCCGGGCAGAGGCGCCCCTCACCTCCTGGACGGGGCGGCTAGCTGGGCGGGGGGCTGACCCCCCCACCTCCCTCCCGGACGGGGCAGCTGGCCGGGCAGAGGGGCTCCTCACTTCCCAGTAGGGGCGGCCGGGCAGAGGCGCCCCTCACTTCCCGGACGGGGCGGCTGGCCGGGCGGGGGGCTGACCCCCCCCACCTCCCTCCCGGACGGGGAGGCTGGCCGGGCAGAGGGGCTCCTCACTTCCCAGTAGGGGCGGCCGGGCAGAGGCGCCCCTCACCTCCTGGACCGGGCGGCTAGCCGGGCGGGGGGCTGACCCCCCACCTCCCTGCCGGACGAGGTGGCTGCCGGGCAGAGACGCCCCTCACTTCCCAGACGGGGTGGCTGCTGGGCGGAGGGGCTCCTCACTTCTCAGACGGGGCGGTTGCTGGGCGGAGGGGCTCCTCACTTCTCAGACGGGGCGGTTGCCAGGCAGAGGGTCTCCTCACTTCTCAGACGGGGCGGCTGGGCAGAGACGCTCCTCACATCCCGGACGGGGCGGCAGGGCAGAGGTGCTCCCCACATCTCAGACGATGGGCGGCTGGGCAGAGACGCTCCTCACTTCCCAGATGGGATGGCGGCCGGGAAGAGGCGCTCCTCACTTCCTAGATGGGATGGCGGCCGGGCAGAGATGCTCCTCACTTTCCAGACTGGGCAGCCAGGAAGAGGGGCTCCTCACATCCCAGACGATGGGCGGCCGGGCAGAGACGCTCCTCACTTCCCAGACGGGGTGGCGGCCGGGCAGAGGCTGCAATCTCGGCACTTTGGGAGGCCAAGGCAGGCTGCTGGGAGGTGAAGGTTGTAGCGAGCCGAGATCACGCCACTGCACTCCAGCCTGGGCACCATTGAGCACGGAATGAATGAGACTCCGTCTGCAATCCCGGCACCTCAGGATGCCGAGGCTGGTGGATCACTTGCGGTTAGGAGCTGGAGATCAGCCCAGCCAACACAGCGAAACCCCGTCTCCACCAAAAAAATAGGAAAACCAGTCAGGCGCGCGCCTGCAATCGCAGGCAGTCGGCAGGCTGAGGCAGGAGAATCAGGCAGCAGTACCGTCCAGCTTCAGCTCGGCATCAGAGGGAGACCGTGGAGAGAGGGAGAGGGAGACCGTGGGGAGAGGGAGAGGGAGAGGGAGAGGGAGAGGGAGAGGGAGACAATTTTTAAATTTTTTGTAGACACAGGATCTCACTATGTCTGGTCTTGAACTCTCGGCTTCAAGTGATCCTCCCACTTTGGCCTCCCAAAGTGCTGGGATAACAGGCATGACCCACTACGCCTGGCCACTACCCATGTTTTAATGAACTAATACTAGTGTTTTGTTTTCATCTGAAAACATTTTTGGTTAATAGCAGTTGGTTTTTTCAACCATCGCTGTTGTGAAGGTGTTGTCCTCAGTCATAATTTTGAGGGATGCTTACTTTGGCTGTTTCAGGCACAAGCATGCCTCACTCACTGTATTTTTTCCCTGTAGCACTTCAGCTCAGATGCAGTCAAAGTTTTTGTTTCTCTCCCCCTTAATACACAGTGGATAAATTGGACCATAAGCATGACTGATCCATTTGTTTTAGTGTCCTATTTTGATTGCTACAGATAAATCACCTTGTAGAAATCTATATTGGTAGTGAAGATAGTGAAATGAACAGATTGGCCAGTAAACTATTCATTACTTTTCAATGTGTTAACATGGAAAGAGTCAAATGAAATTATTCTAGTATTTTGTTCCTTAAAATGTGTATTGAAAGAGTGTGATATGCCAGCCACTCTACTCTGCAGGATATAAAGACGTACAAGGTGTGGTGTTGGTCTTCCTGGAGATGAGGTCCCTCGGGGAGATGAGGCATGTACACTGTCATTCTCAAAATAGCTTGAAACCACAGAACACATGGTCCATTATAAGAACATTCTATTGAAGTTTAGAGAAGTAGGAAATGATTTTTACTTGTACCATTTAACTGGAGTTAGCCAAGTTTTGTAGCTGTAAGTATAGCTCATTCATTCAACTGTTTCTTACTAAGGGCTTAGGATTTGCCGGGTACTATTTTAAATGCTGGAAATACTATCACGAGCAAGACCCAGTCTGCATAAATTCATATCACACCATATTTTGGCTCGTTCTGGCTTTCATGTGTTCTAGGCACTGGTTTCTTCTTTCTCTTCTTAATTAAGAATTCTGTATAACCACTCTGTGTTTTCTTTATTGAACTTTAAGTATTCTGTCATAAAGGGAAGAGTGATTTCTGGTATATTTACTGTGAGGCAGAGAATTATGATATCTACAGAAGAGTGTAAGGCTCAGAGAGCACATTTTTCTATGTCTGTAGCAGGGATGTCGAGGGTGTTTAAGTGTGGCATTCCCAAAAGTACTAAGACCGTGTTAATTCCAATAGAAACTTCCGGATTCTCCTCAATTATCTTCTTTAGAAAAACTTATTTGTTTTGAGCTACAGGTAAAAGAAAAAAAAACTAGACATGAACAGCAAAATGAAAAACTTATGAAGAGTTATATGATGAGAATTATTTCTTCTAAATTTTTAGTGTTGTTAACACAGAATTCTGGAAATTTTTGTTTTTAACTTAAAATACCCTCATCCCATGAGGTACAGATCTTATCATTTACAAATAAGGTATTATAAGAATAAAATTAATGTTTAAATATTAAATGATTTAATACAGAAGCTGATCAAATTAGGGATATCAACTTATCATCAGATACAGATCCCTTCAAATTCTTCACTGGATTTTGCAGTTTAAGTAATTAGCATTAGTGGTAGTTTTGCTATTTTTGTGTTTTTATTATACCTTTTTAAGGTGCAATCTTAATTTGATACATGAGTTAAATCTATTTCACCTTCTCTATATTCCTTGTTGTTTATTTCAGTATTAAAACATGTTAAAAATTGAAAATGGTTTCATATAACTTTTTTTAAATAGTATTCTGTCATGAGAGCATCCATTTAATAAATATTTTTATTAACATTCAGATTGTCACAAACTTATTAGGGGGGTGAATGCAAAATGTTTCAGGGATATGTGTGATGCCATTTTTTTTTGTATAGAAGCATATCAGTATTCTTAGAGAATATGATGAATTAGGGCATTAATAATTTGATTTAAAACGTAATAAAAAGTAAGATGTCCCTTCTGATATATATAAGTATGCATATAGTAGTCATCAAAAAATATACTAAAATAAGGTCATAATATTTTCAAATGTTTGGTGGAGATGGTTAGCAAAGTCTAATAACTTTATGGATATTTCAGGAATATACTGAAATACATGAGTATTTCGATATAATGGGTAGTACAATTGGATTTTGTCTGTGAGTAGAGGAGTAGAGTTATATCTCCAGGTTAAGGAAAGTTGAAGAAGGTATAAAAATTACAAATGTCTCCAAGTAGTATTACAAAATACGTTATTTAGATTGTGTTTTATAATGGGACCTAACATATTTTAGTAAGTATTGGATAGGCACTTGGTTTCCATTATGTTGGCAAAGGGATCAGATGCTTTTAGAATTAGGTATGTTTAAAACTTCCCAGGACATAAGATAACTCCAGACTTGAACTGGAGGGGTTTAGAGGAGGAAGACAAATGTCATGGGGGACTTTTAGAAAGAGATGGAAGATTTCCTGTTTTAATTACTTGTGAAGATTTTAGATTTTGTGCAAAAGATGCTGAGTTACTAAGATTTTTTGGTTGGAGAGTTCAAATTTTTTCAGTTACATGCATTTTTTAAGGTTCATTACAATAGAATTCAGTAAGTTAGCAATAGTCAGAGAATCAGGGTAAATAGAACAAATTCACTGTTGTTACTGTGATCATATAGAGAAACTCTTCAAAATTTTCAAGAAAAAAATAGTGGGCTAAAATGCCACTTAGGTTTGCAAGGAAGATTAAAATTTGGATACCACAAGAGAGGACATCTTAATTAAAAGAAAACGGAATTGCAAGGCTGGTGTTCAGGTCAGGTAGGGGGGAGTATGGGAGGATAGATTTAATTAGCTATCTAGGGCATGTAAGGGTAATCATTCAAGCAAAAAATGGGAAACCAATGATTGTGCTTAGTAGACTTGCAAAATAATTGTGCAACACATATTCGAGTAAAAGAAACTTCGGAATCTTAAGAGACTAAATGGGGCAGGCTTACATTGTAAAAATATCATACAACAATGGGAGTTAATGTAGAGTCACTTTTAAGGAAGCAGAGGATTTCTAAGACAACAGTAATTAAAACTGAGGATCCTTTTATCATTTTGAGTAGTTTTGGCTTAGTGGCAATTATAGAGTTGCAGGATCAGAGATAACTAACAAGAAAACCATATATAGAACCATATTATTAGTAATAATTATATTAAAATATGTCACCATTTAAAATAGATTAAATGTCATAAGTTGACTTATTACTGTTCCAGTACATACATCAGAATAACAGTTATCTGAACTCTTGAGGGAGAAAAGACAATGTAGTAGTGAGGAGAATATTGCTGTAACAGATTCATTTCAACTTTCATTCCTTCAAGCTTCCCTGATAATCTGCAGGACTCTAGGAGGTATTTTTGGCTGCTGCCAAATTGATGGCACAATTAATATCTTTAACAGGGAGGGTCATTTAGGATTTACATTACAATCTGTGAAATATAGGGGTGATGAAAAGTTCCATGGAATACAGTTGCTGACTCAGGATGAAGATGTTTACATTCAGATGCTTGTTACACAGATGTTCACCGCGTTTGCCATTCTCTTTTAGCTACTACCCCACCCAGTCTGGTCTTTGTCATTTTTGGTGACAGCTTCTAATACAGTCATCTCAGCCTCAGATATCTGATTGCCACCAGTTCCAGGGGGCAGCTGCAATTTCTGCCTGTGTTGCCACTTCATTGGAACAGCTGGGATGTTAAGCAAAATCTATCAACACAAGGAAATTGGGCAGGTGCACATTTAAGTGAGTGGATATGAAAGTTACTGGGGTGAAAGCAGATGTCTCTTCATCAAATCCCTTCCGTTTAGGGAACAGTTTGTGGCCTGTTATCTCTGTAATTTTCCCCACCCTCTTAGAGAGGGTGGTGTAACACTTTACATACTTCTGTCTGAAGACATTAGAAAAGGATATAATAATCTCAAGTGGCTTTTTATACCGTGAGTTTAATGCCAATTGGAAACAGGAAAGTTTGCTCTTTAGCATTGGAATAAAATTATCAAATATAGGTAAGAGAAGAATTATCATAGTAGCCTTCATCATTTAGGGATGTGTTTGCCTGAGTGTAATAGGAAATTCCATCTACAGTGACTTCAATGGGGGTTAATTTTTCTCACAAACAAGAATTTTACAGATAGGTGGCTCCTAGCACTGAGTTCTTAAAAAGGTGGCTTAAAGAACATCGACTCTTTATTTTTTTTAATCACCTTCCTTAGTGTTTCCTTCTCTTTATGCTTGTCACCTCATGATCCCAAGATGGCTACTGCAGCTCCAACTATCCTATCTATGGTTAAGGCCAGAACAAAAGGAAGGAGTGGAATCATCTGTTCCTTATGTCAGAAAAATAAGCCTTCTGGGCACTTGCAGCTGATTTCTGCCTTTACCTTCATAGTTCTCTGCAGCTAGGAAGACATCTGGGGAAATTAGTGTCCTGCTTGGCATTGGGCACATTTCTGCCCTAAATAAAATTGGATTTATTAGAAAGGAGGAGGATGTATTTGATAATCAGTAAGCTACTGGCAATGTCTGTCACATCTGCTAACTCTCTAATAGAAAAGTTACTTCTTCTTTCAGTGCCTCCATTTCTTACTTTGTAAAGTGTGCATATGAATAACCTGGTTGGTTATTATTAACATGCATATGTTGATTCAATACATTTATGTTGGGCTCAAGATGCTGCATTTCTAACAAGCTCCTGGGTGATGCCAGTGCTGCTGTTCTGTGCGCCACACTTTGTGCAGCAAGGAAGTGATTAGCTCAGGCTACCATGTCCTACAACCCCAGGGGAAATTCATAAAGAATATAATGTAGTGAAGAGAAGGGGTCCTTTAAGTGCTCACTAAATATTATTATAATATCAATTTTTTGACACTTAGAGATTTATAATTTTTATTTCTAAATGGTGGTGGTGGTAAACTTTATTTTTAGCAGAGTATAAACATGAACAGATTTATTTCTTATACTTTTACAAAATTGTTCGTAAATATAAGACTGACCATTAATTTAGGTGGATATGCTGCATAATATTAAATGCAATTTCTCTATCCAGTCATGACTGCACTTTAGTTATATCATCCTCTATGAGTAAAAAAAATCTATATCTATACATGGTATGTAGAAAAAATTAAAACTAATCTGTAATAATGCTCAGTAGTATTTGAACCTTGCTTTATAAAAAAATGTATTGGATACTGCAGTTAATGAGTTGTGGGAAGAAAAAATCTGTAATGAAGGTTGTGAACAAAATCTGCAAGAATAATTGATTATAAAAATAACTAATTTAAATCTGAATTTGGTATTATGGTAAAAAATTACCACACATATAATTTTGGCAGAAATATAATAGTACGCTTGATTTAAATTATTTTATGTTCTATTTAACATGTTCCAAATTTACCCTTTGGAGAGATAAAAGGGATGATGTTCTTTAAAACAATATTATATATGATTTGTATCAGAGCTTGACAAAGACCACTTTACAAACCTAGAGGATGCTAAATTGGTGAAAAACATTGTACTTTAATTTTACAGACTTGCTAAGAGGAGAAAAAGCCTTTAATTTGATCAGAGGATTTTGTGATGGCAAAGCTGTATACTAGAGTATAAAATAAACACTAGTTTGTATATAAAGAAAATTCTTTTTATAAAAGCTGTGTGATCTTGGACTAGTGTCATCTCTGTGCCTCAGTTTCTGGAACATGAGTATGAGAGGACTGTAGTTCAGTAACCTACAATGCCCCTTCTATCTAAAATTTCTCCTGTGGTTTTGTGTGTGTGTGTTGTGTGTGTGTGTGTGGCTTGTTTCAAGGCAAATAGAGTAGAAAATAGGGTTCTTGGAACAGAAATCTAAAACCAATTTTTTCTTTGTAGAGAAATAGACAGAGTATAGAGTTGAATACAAGCTAGCAGAATAAGGCTGCAAACCTCTAAGGTCTGTCCAGTCTGGAAGGACACAAAGGCTGCTTTGGTTTTCTGACTCCTAGCAACTAGAAGTTTGTACAAAATTAGGTGCTCCCATTGCATGAAAATCCCAATTAAGAGCTTCTTTGAAACCTGAGTAAGGTTTGATTAGGAAGTGACTGGTGTAAGTAAGATAGTAATGAATGCATCAAATTATATTTCTCAGCTGTTTATGTTTCTAAATCTTGCTCTACATTCTTTATACATGGCATGTGAATGGCAACATCTCTTCAAAGCTCTTTTACTTCTCATCCTGTTGGACTTCATAGATCTACCTCCACTTGAAAACTCCTTTTTCCTGGTTGGTTGGGTTTTTTGTTTGTTTGTTTGTTTTGTCCCTCTACTGTTCTTTATCAGTTTTTTTTCTTTGGTTTCTCTTTATCTTCTCTCTTCTGAAGTATATGAGTGTATTCCAATGTTCTATACTTTTAACTCTTATTACCTTTTAATTTTCCCAGAATAATTCAATTTCATGACCTTAAATATTAACCTATATGTAGTTTATTCACAAATTTTAATTTCTAGCCCTGATGCTTTTTTTTTCAGCTTTGCTTATTATTGCTCACATGAACTCCTTTCTATGATTATCCACTACTTTCATGATCCAGGGCACTTAAGGTAGCTCTGTAGCCAGTGACTTCTGTTCACTTTTTTGGTTCCATCTCTTACTACTTGTCACTAATTTTGTTTGTGGTGGTCCAGATTCACTGAATTAATTTCATTTTTTATTTTTTAGGAAAATTTAAAAATAGACTTTGGACCACTAGCCTGTGAGTCATTATGTAGACTATTGCTTCTATTGGGAACCACATTTTCCTATTTTTAGGTTTTAGCTTAGATGTCACTACCTTCTAGAAGCCTTAAATAACTACCATCCACTTATATACACACATTTCCTTTGGAACAAATCTCCCGTTACTATATTTAATATAACTCTAACATGCAGTTTTGTAATTCTATCATACATCTATTGGAATCTAAGACCTCTAAATACAAAGACTTATGACTCTGCCTGTTAATTTATCCCCAATACTATGTGTAATATTTTTAGGATATAACAGTAATCATATATGTTGAATAGATAGACAAATGATGAACTGTGCCCTTTGATACATGGATTTCTCAAATTCAGTTTCTAGGAACTAAACTCATAATTCTGCCACCTAAAACTGTTTTTTTTCAGCCTGTAGTTCTCTTGCATGGCTAATGGTATCTGTATTTGTCAAGCTGCAAGAACTAAATATCCATCTGAAAATAATTTTTCAAATTCTCTTTACTCCTATTCAGTTTCTTGCTTCTAATCTCCATCCTCTAATCCACAGGTATCAACATAATGTATTGGCCTATTCTTGTTTTTAAATAAATAATTAACTTGAAACATTTGGAATCCAATAAAATGTGAACTTCTGTCTTCTCTTTTAAAAATGACAAATCTGGTGACCCCAAGCTGAAATTCCCAATGACAGTAGCTCAATGAAATTCGGTAATAGCTTCCCTGATTACAGGGGTGTGCCCTCTAGATTTAGCCAGAGATCTATCCAGTGTATGTCACTCAGTCAAGTAAACCGCTTGACCAGGAAGTACTGTGCTGCCCCAAGGAAACGTTTGAGTATATTAACCTAGCCCTACCCTATTTCCCATATTGCCAGATTTCTAACTTTTAGTTAGATTTGATTATGTAATTATTTTGCTCAGCATCTTTAATAGCTTTCTTCTTTCCCAGTTTCCAGAGTGGAATCTCCAGTCTGTGTAACATAGCCTTCAAGAGCCAGAACAAAGGGACCCAAACTCAAATGCTCTCCATGGGCAGAACAAATAAAGGAATGAGTGGAGCATAATGGAGATTGAAGAACTGGAGAGCACATTTCTTGTATGAAGGGGGTTGAGTTTTATCTGATCATTGCCACATAAGTATTTAAAATCAGAGTTGCCAGATATTCCAATTATTTTTCAAAAGTTGTTGAAGATCTCCATTTTTATAGAAAGTTTTCTTCAGTCTTAAAGGTCAACCAATTTTCATTTAAATCAAACTAAACAAAATCTGTGCTTCCCAAACAAATCACACTTGAGTATTAGTTTGCAGCCTCTGGCCCTAAACCAAGACTTCTCATAAAGGGTATGAAAAAACCAGTCGGAAAACTTGTTAAGTGCAAATTTAACAAATCTTCAAAGACTCATTCAGATTTGGTTTGGTCCCAGAACTATATTTCAACAAATGTTCTTGATTCTGATGCACATGGTCCAAACACTGGACTGAGTCATCTGTTTTCAAGGTTCTGGTTAAAAATGATGGTTTCTTTCTTCTTTCTCTCATAGTACTTTATTTGAACTCTTTTAAGTTAAAGGGAAAAAGAAATGTGTATGGTAAGATTGGTCTGTTACCAGATGAGTCTAGCTAGCATTTTCCTCAAAACCTCAAAGAGAGGCCTCTGTCCCCCATTGTTCTGAGGTGGCTGTCAGTGTTACAAGGTCAGAGTCCTACTTTTGTTTAGTGATTGGATTAGTCAGAATTAACTGGCTTATGTTTCAGTAATAACTATCCAGTTTTATCTCTCGATCATGTATCTTGCTCACGATCCAACCTTGTCCACTGAGGTTGGATGGCATGTAGGAATGGGCTCTCTTTTATGTCTTCCTCACTTAGGGTTTCGGATTGATGGACTTCCACCACCTAAAACATTGCTAGCCACTGTGTCCAGGGGAAAGATGTGGCTAGGTGTACACTGTCATTTAAAGCTTCTGCCCAGATGTGACACAATGTCCCTCTGCCCACAGTCCATTGTTCAAAGGAAACCATATACACATGTTTAACTTCAAGGTGGCAGGGAAGTGCAACCCTACCATTTACTCAGAAGTGGAAGAACTAGCAATATTTTGCAAGTAACTTAATAACTACCACACTTGGCAAGTAGAACCCATTTCTCAGGGTGCAAGTCATCTTCCATAGTGACTGATTATACAAACTGTTTGGTGACACAGGTCATATCTCATTTCAAGATGTATAATTCTGCAACTTTGTTTTGTCTGTAGCATGCATAGAATGTTTATGAAGTTAATTATTATGAAGATATGATATTAATAACCATGCTTTTTTGGATATAGTCAACTTTATGTACCTTCTCTTTTCTTGGTGTTAGAAGGCAGTGCTGTATGCCCTTTTTCCAAAGCTCCCAGGAATAAAGAGGTTTGCCATTTGTGCTGTGAAGGCATAGTTCCAGTTGAAGATATTTAAAAAGAGATACTCTTTGAAGTGTTAGTCTGAAATTTCAACCTCCGTGACAGTAATTGCCAGGGAGAATGGAGTTAGATAGGTGAGGAAGAGACCATGTGTGGTTTGCTACTGTGTCCTTAGTGCTTGGCACAGTATGTAGAATTCACCATTTGTCAATTGATTATGTGAATCCAACACTCATATATGCAAAAACAGACATATCTGTGCTTTGGAGAGCTACTTATTTTGGGTTCTTAGAAATGTTTTTGACATTCAACAATCAATTTTTTTCTATATATTTTAGTGGTTTAGACTTCTGACATTGCTAACAACGAGTCATCCTTCTCAGAAACAATGTTGATTGATAGATGGGTTAAATTGGTCTGCTGAACCTTAAATTCAGTAGCACATAAAATTAGAACCATTGGGTTGAACCTGGATTTAATATAGTGAAATGGACTAATTCAGTAGCCCCTGCTGTTACTGCTTTTCAGACCATCTGAGCAGTGATCATGAACAAAGGCTCTATGGCTTCAGTCATCTGTAATGCATACAACACTGCCTTCTAACCCCACAACAAAAGCTTTGGAAGAGCCACTAGATGCACATGATAGAGACAAAAACAAGAACTACAAAAATGTATTTTAAAAGCCTGAAAAGCATAAGCCTAAAATGTCTCTGTATTTTGAGATTTTGCAAAACTATTGTTAGTTTTATACCAACCGTTTAAAGTTTTTCAGTTGTCTTGCAGAGGCTGTTAATGAAAAGTTATAAGATAATGGAATCATACTAAATTATAATTTCTAACAGGTTCTGAGATTGAGGTGCCATGCTAAGCACTTTACATATCATTTAATACTCATTATAACTCCCATGAGATAGATAAATTGATGACCCCTACCTTAGAAGCAAGGAAATGAGAGCCGCAGACCAATTACTTGCCTTTTGTCACCTAATTATTTTGTGATGGCATGGATATTCTATCCAATATAATTTTCTCAAGAGCCTTTCTCCAGAGTCTCATCAATCAGGAATTAAGCACCCTCAAATCAAACAAAGGTGGTATCAATGAGTATATGTATGCTTTGGAGGAGGAGCTCACTATTTGTTACATTTGTGTAATCATTAGCATCTGGATAAGTATCTCTGGAAGGGGAAGGATGGTGCGCAGTTTCATTCTTTTATTTGTTTAGGTGTTCTTATTATTGCATTTCTTGGTCATCCTGAGTTTGACGTATATCCAGACTTGAATACAGGTTTAGACATGAAGGATCAGAAAGGACAGTGCAGTGTTTAGCAGAAAATCTATTAGGGTGTTGTGAATTAAAGCCAGAATCTGTTACTCTCACTGCTGATTTTACTCCCTTACTGTGTGAATCAGAGCTTTTGGTATTATTATGCTGGAGAATAGCTAATGAGAAGGAGATAAGAAGACCATGTAGTCTAGATAGATAATCTCAGCATTTCTTGGTACAAAGTACATTGGTACTTGAGTTATTTGTAAAATTAGTAATACAATGATGCAATTGTTCATATAAATTTCAATCATGTTAAGCTTATTATAAGTGATATTGAAGTAATATGATACATGAAGAAGGGATGAGTATATGAAAGGCAAATAGATGAAGGCATATTAAATGCAAGAACCCTCTTTCCAGATGCATTGAGTTACAACTGCTTCATTTCCCTTTGTTCCCATTTGACCCATGTACATCTTATGAGACACAATATAGTGTACTTTGGAAAAGATCAGGCTTTGGAGCTTGAAAAACCAGGGTTTGTATTCTGGTTTGAGCATGTTCTTACCATGTGCTTTTTGTATACATGAATTGCCTTCTCTAAACCTCAGTTTCTTCATCAGTAAAATAAGTATAAAATAACTAACATTTATAGCAAGGTTACAAAGAGTAATGAAATTATTTGTAATGTTCCTGTAAAAGTACCCAGCATATGTTGGGTGTTCATTAGTGGCCAACTTCCCATGTGCCTTTTGATTTTTGCGAACATGTCATAATGTGGAGATTTGTTCACAATTTAGGAAATAATGAGTGAAAATGAGAGAACATCTAAAAATAGGACATGAGATAGTTATTTTTACTAAGAGAGTTCATGGAGTTTGATAGTCTTTATTTAACTGTGTATCCTAGGGTTACATGTGATTAAATTTTTCCTTTGTGGGATGCCCTTTAAGTAGAAGTTTATTGCAAAATTCTCCATAGAATGTTTAAATTTCATGGTATTTCTTGTCATACACTAGAATTAAATGAGAAGGAATAGTTGGATTTTGAGATTACATCTATGGAAGTACAGAACCAAACAGGAGAATAAGGTGTTTCTGAGAAAACCTGAGCAGTCAAATAAATGATAGCTTAACTTCATCTGGCTTTTCTTTAGAAATTTAGACTTCCATAAATATGTTGTATTTCCCTTGCATAAATATTAGCCATTAGTGATCTAATTACCTGTTAGATTTCTAATCATGATTACTTATGATTTCTTCAAAACTTAAAAAAGGTAACCTTTTAAAATGATTGAAAGTGTTATGCAATAGACAATTTTTAAAACATTTACTGAAATGAGTAGGAGATAGAATTCTAGGCTATCCCCAAATTTCTTGTCACATGTTTTACATGCCCTGTATGATTTCTGTGACTGTGACTGTGATTTCAGTCTGATGATTAGTTTTTGTTATATGGCACAGTTGACTTTAAGAAAGGGACATTATCCGAGTGGGTCTGACCTAATCACATGAGCCTTTTAAATCTAAATCAAGAGATCAGAGACAGAAAAGTCCAGGATATTTAAAACATGAGGGAGATTCTTCATTGCTGGTAGGGGGCCACATGGCAAGGAACACAACAGCCTCTAGGAGATGAGACTTGACAGCCAGCAGGGAAAATGGGAATCTTAATTCTACAGCTGCAAGGAACTAGATTTGGACAACAATCTGAAAGAGCTTAGAAGCTGATTCTTCCCCAGAGGCTCCAGAAAGGAGCACAGCACACCCATACCTTGATTTCAGCCATGTGAGAATCTGAGCAGAGAACCAAGACATAGCATGCTGGACTTCTGACCTACAGAACTATGTGCTAATAAATGGGTATTGTCTTACATTGTTAAGTTTGTAATAATTTGTTAAACAATAGAAAACTAGCATATCTACTGTTACTAATTTTTTAAAATACATTTTTCAGTGTTTAACCTGTGCTAGGCATAGTGTACTTTACACCTACCATCTCATTTAATTATTTCAAAGTACTGTAAGATAGGCATTATAAGCCACATTTAACAGATAAGAATATCGAAGCACATATAAGTTAAGTAATATGCATAGGGTCACAAATTATTAGTGTATAACTCTGAATTGAATTTAGATCTCTTTGATTCCAAGGCTTGGGATCTTACATGCCCCTTTATTAGGTAGGAATAGATACTTCATGAAGATGATAACATGCCATCTACAGAATACGATATGGCATTGATGTGACACTTTACCTACAAAATATCTTATTTCTGAGTCTTCCGCAAGAGAAAAAGCAATTTTATTTTTATGGGACAAGATTGGATGTTACATTTTTAATCAATTACATGTAAGTGTATTCTACCTTTAAAATTGCTATGGAAAAGTTTAATTATTTCCAACAGGATTTATAACTATCAGTTATACCTCAAAGTTGTTATTAACTGAATAAAACTACACATTCCAAAATGATTAACTCTTAAAGCGCATTATTGGTACATTCATAATGTTTAATTTTATTTTTATCATCCTTGCTCATATTGAATAAATGCCTTTTAAAACCATTTTAAGATTGTTAATGTTCTTATATCTTTATTAAAAATCTTACTAAACATTCTCAAAATGTTAACATAGCTAAGAGGCTAAACTATTATACCTTAGATTTTATATAATAAAGTTTATTTTTCCTTAAGCCTTTCATTGCAAAATTGTTCTTTAAACTAAAAGTCATTATGTATTCTCAAATAGACCACTATCTTGTCTTATTTTTTAGTAGTATTAGTATGTTGCTGTCTCTTTCTTCTCTGAGGTCCTCCTCTCTTTCTCTTTCAATCCATGTGGCTATTTCTTGCTCTCGTTTTTATTCTTGGTGCTCTCTTCCTTTCCCAGGGATTTAGCTGCCCTTCTATGTATTTGATTCTAAAGTCTTTCTTAGTCTGGAGACTACCTTCGCAGGTGTTAATATCTCCTAGTTCTATCCGTTAATGCTTACTTATCGCCTGTCTCCACTAACTCTTAATACTCCCCCGGCCACTTTATTTCTTTTCTGGCCTATTGAAATACATCATTCACTTATTCCCTACATTCAATATTTCTTTCTTATCATCTATCTTATCCATGTCTCATGTATGCATAATTTTTAAGAGAAGTGATTTGGTGTATGTCTTGCAGGTAATGGATATATAACTTTTTAGACTAGATGAAGTTAGAGAAAGAAAAATCAAGGAATATTCAAAGGATGTTGACATAGGCAAGGGGGTAGAAACTGTTTAATTTTACTTAAATAGGAAAGATTTGAATTATATTTACTATTGTACATGCCCTGATTACCTGAGTAGATTATAAATTTTATTACTAGAGATACAAAGTCTTCTTGTTTTATCTCTATGGCACTTGGCACAGCATCCTGCATATAATATCACCCAATAAATGTTTGATAATTGAATACACCAGTTTAACTTTACTATCTTTTGCCATTTTGCAAACCATTGCTTTGCTGCATGTAAATCAGCTAAGAATTTCTTTCTTAATGACCAGCAACCATATGGCAGCTACTTAAAACCTGTCATTAAAAGTTTAGAGACATAATCCCAAATCATTTACTTAGTTGCTTTTTGTGGTTCTGTTACCACCATTTCATTTAAATATTTTTGAAGTTAATTCTATTTCCAACCTGAGCTTTTCTTATTGAATGAAATGTAAGTTAACCTCTCCAAATAAAACAGTGTGTCTAATTTTATTTTTAGTTTTTGTGTTTCTTTTTTTGACTTGATTGAGATATAATTTGTATTAGTCTGTTTTCACGCTGCTGATAAAGACATACCTGGGACTGGGCAATTCACAAAAGAAAGAGGTTTAATGGACTTTAATGGACTTACAGTTCCACGTGGCTGGGGAGGCCTTGTAATCATAGTGGAAGACAAGGAGGATTAAGTCACATCTTACATGGATGGCAGCAGGCAGAGAGAGAGCTTGTGCAGCGAAACTCCTGCTTTTAAAATCATCAGATCTCATGAGACTTATTCACTATTATGAGAACAGCATGGGAAAGACCTACCCTCATGATTCAGTTACCTCCCATCAAGTTCCTCCTATACAGCCAAACCATGTCATTCCACCCCAGCCCCTCCCAAATCTCATGCCATCACATTTCAAAACCAATTATGCCTTCCCAACAGTCCCCCAAAGTCTTAACTGATTTCATCATTATCTCAAAAGTCTGCAGTCCAAAGTCTCATCCGAGACATGCTAAGTCAATTCCTCCTATTAGCCTGTAAAATCAAAAGCAAGTTAGTTACTTCCTAGATACAATAGTGGGTACAGGCATAAATACAACCATTCTAAATGGGAGAAATTGGCCAAAACAAAGGGCCTACAGGCCTCATGCAAGTCCAAAATCTAGTGGGGCAATTGGATCTTAAAGCTTCAAAATGATCTCCTTTGACTCTATGTCTCACATCCAGGTAATGCTGATGCAAGAGGTGGGCTACCATGGCCTTGGGCAGCTCGGCCCATGGCCTTGTAGGGTATAGCCCTCCTCCTGGCTGCTTTCACAGGCTAGCGTTGAGTGTTTTCAGCTTTTTCAGTTGCATGGTGCAAGCTGTTGCTGGATCTACCATTCTGGGATCTGGAGGATGGTGGCCCTCTTCTCACGGCTCCACTAGGTGGTGCCCCAGTAGCGACTCTGTTTGGTGGCTCCAACCCTACATTTCCCTTCCTCATTGTTCTAGCAGAGGTTCTCCATGAGGGCCCTGCCCCTGCAGCAAACTTCTGCCTGGACATCTAGGCATTTCCATACATCCTTTGAAATCCAGGCGGAGGTTCCCAAACTTCAATTCTTGACTTCTGTGCACCATAGACTCAACACCATGTGGAAGCTGCCAAGGCTTGGGGATTCCACCCTCTGAAGCAACAGCCTGAGCTGTAACTTGTCCTCTTTTAGTCACAGCTGGATCAACTGGGATGCAGGGCACCAAGTCCCTATACTGCACACAGCAGGGGGACCCTCGGCCAGGCCCATTTTTCCTGCTAAAACTTCCAGGTCTGTGATGAAAGGGGCTCCCACAGAGGTCTCTTACATGCCCAGGAGACATTTTCCCCATTGTCCTGTGATTAACATTGGGCTCCTCATTACTAATGCAAGTTTCTCGAGGTATCTTAAATTTCTCCTCAGAAAATGGGATTTTCTTTTCTATTGCATTGTCAGGCTGCAATTTTTTAAAAACTTTTATGCTCTGTTTTCATTTTAAAACTGAATGCCTTTAACAGCACCCAAGTCACATCTTGAATTTGCTGCTTAGAAATTTCTTCTGCCAAATACCCTAAATAATCCTTCTCAAGTTCAGAGTGCCACAAATCTCTGGGATAGGGGCAAAATGCCAACACTGTCTTTGCTAAAATATAACAAGAGTCATCTTTGCTCCAGTTCCCAACAAGTTCCTCATCTTCAACTGAGACCACCTCAGCCTGGATTTCATTGTCCATATCATTATCAGCATTTTAGTCAAAGCCATTCAACAAGTCTCTAGGTAGTTCCAAACATTCCCACATTTTCTTGTCTTCTTCTGAGCCCTTCAAACTCTTCCAGCCTCTGCCTGTTACCCAGTTCCAAAGTCCTTTCCACATTTTTGGGTATCTTTTAAGGAGCACCCCACTCTACTGGTACCAATTTACTGTATTAGTCCATTTTCACACTGCTGACAAAGACATACCCAAGACTCAGCAATTTACAAAAGAAAGAGGTTTAATGGGCTTACTATTCCCCATGGCTGGGAAAGCCTCACAATCATGGTGACAGGCAATGAGGAGCAAGTCACATCTTACATGGATGGCAGCAGGCAGGGAGAGAGCTTGTGCAGGGAAACTCCTGTTTTTAAAACCGTCAGATCTCTTGACACTTATTCACTATCATGAGAACAGCATGGGAAAAACCCACCCTCATGATTCAATTACCTCCCACTGGATTCCTCCCAAGAAAACTGGGAATTATGGGAGTTACAATTCAAGATGAGATTTCGGTGAGGAAACAGCCAAACTATATCATAATTGATATACAAAAATTAAACATTTAATGTATACATTTTTATCAATTTGGTCTTATGTATATACCTGTGATACCATCACCACAATCAAAATGCTAAATAAGCTTTAAGAAATGCTGACTTTAATATTATTTGATTTCCTGGTAAGTCACATTTTCAAAGAGCCAGGAGGAATTAATATAGTTTCATTGCTCCCTAGCTAGTAGCACAGGAGGAGTAATCCCCTTTTTACTAATTGGTTTCCTTCTTCTCTCCTGTCTCTTTTAGGAATGTGAGTGGACTTATCACTGCTTTTAAAATTCTTTTTTTTTTTTGTTTTTTGAGATGGAGTCTCACTCTGTTACCCAGGCTGGAGTGCAGTGGCACGATCTTGGCTCACTGCAAGCTCTGCCTCCCAGGTTCACGCCATTCTCCTGCCTCAGCCTCCTGAGTAGCTGGGACTACAGGCACCCACCTCCATGCCCGGCTAAGTTTTTATATTTTTAGTAGAGACAGGGTTTCACCGTGTTAGCCAGGATGGTCTCAATCTCCTGACCTCATGATCCGTCTGCCTCGGTTACAATTCTTTAAGTTTTGATTTATTTTGCATTGTAATATAAAAATAAAAATGACTATGAAATAATTACCTTCTCTCTTGAAGGTAATTATTTTTGAAAAACATATAGAGTACTGAACAATAGAGAGCTCACTAAAGATATTTCCATTATTACTTGGTACAGGCAATTGTAGATATGTTGTTGTAGTTACACATTTCTGAGTAAAGAAAGATATGGTACTTGTCCATCGTCTTAGGCTTGACAGTTTTAGAAGGGGCTGATAGTATCTTTTCTTGAGTTCTACAAAGTTGAGTATAATGATTATAATGAAAATGGGCTCTAAAGTGTCAGAGAATCTTAAGTGCTATAAAGATTAGTTTAAGAATATTTCCTTAAATTTAGAGTGAGTGATTTTCATTAGACTTTACAACGAAAGTAGAATGTGTTGGATAGTGTTAGGTCCCATAATGATTTAGTTTAAGAGTATCTCCCTAAATTTGGAGTACGTGATTTTTATTAGACATTACAACATATTTGGGCAATTTTGGTAAACTTTGGGTCAAGAAGAATATTTTTGGTTAACACTTCTGCTGCTTACTATCTTTATGACCTTATGTACCTTATACTTAAACTAAGTTTTGATGTCATGTCTGAAAATGAAAATAAAATTACAGATCCCAATATTTGGTATAACAGGTGTGTGTTTATGATGGTGGAATGAGTGGATGAAGATATGAGCTGTATTTGAAAGTTATCCATTACCTGTGAAGGTAATTCATCATTCCTTATGTATAGAACATTAATGTGGCTGAGATGAATGGCTTGATCACAGATGGTTAGTCAAGTATCCAAATGGACAAATTCTACCAAGTAGCCAAGTTAGTGCAAAAGAACATCATAACTGGCATAACATGTAGATAAAAGGACTCTCTGATAGAAGATTGCTCAGAGATATTTAGTCTGAGACTAATCCTAGATTAATTGCATCAGAGACAGTGGCTAAGTATCAATCTAAGGCCAAGAGTGTGGTAGTTCAACCATTTCTATACAAGAACTAACCCAGCAAACATGTGATCCCTGAATTTCTAACCATCCAATGCATGCACTTAAAATAATGATTATTCTTAAAGAGGTGCAAATTCTGTGTGGCAACATCCTTGTTAACTTCATAAATATATTTATTTAGAGACCTACCATCTCTAAGAAGAGAAGATAAAATAATGTTTCAATATTGCCCATCAGAATTCAATTAACAATATGTTATACTATATGGAACATCAGTATTGCAAAACAAAACAAAATGAAAGCCCTTTGCTTTCAAAGTCAGAAAATAATTCCTACTGACACAGTATAGCAGGTTAAATAACAGTATCCTCTAAGGAGCTGAGTTCAGCGTTAGAGAGTGGAATTTAGAAATCAGAAGATGTAAAATATTTTTATGTAAAGAATCATCATTGCATCATGGGACATCGTAAAGCTCAGAGATAATCACAGAGAAAAAAACTGCATTAATAACACAAGTTGTTTGGTTAGAGCTGGCACTCCTTCCCTCAATGAAGCAAAGATCTTCATTGTCATTATCATCATCATTCCTCATCACCTGTTGAGTGCTTACTATGTCCAGGAAACACTGTAAGTGTGTCTCATATACTAGGCCTAGTATACTCATACTAACGTTATGTTTTATACTCATACTAACGTTATGTCCTAGGACTATTTCAATTTTACTGTATGAAAGTTTCACAGCTGGGCGCGGTGGCTCACACCTGTAATCCCAGAACTTTAGGAGGCAGAGGTGGGTGGATCACGAAGTCAAGAGATTGAGACCATCCTGCCAACATGGTGAAACTCTGTCTCTACTAAAAATACAAAAATTAGGTGGGCGTGGTGGAATGTGCCTGTAGTCCCAGCTACTCGGGAGGCTGAGGCAGGAGAATCATGTGAACCTGGGAGACAGAGGTTGCAGTGAGCTGAGATTGCACCACTGCACTCCAGCCTGGCAACAGAGCAAGACTGTCAAAAAAAAAAAAAAAAAGAAAGAAAATAAAAAATAAAAAAGCTTCACAAAGGCAGACATTTTAGTCTATTTGTTTACTGTGTATCCTCAGACCCTAGAACAGTGCCTGGCACATTGTATGTGCTCATTTAATATTATTTGAATAGATGATTGAGGAAACTGAGGGACTAAGAAGTTAAATAAATTGGCCAAGGTTATACACATAGTAAGTGAGAGAATTCAAATTCAAATTGAGGTCTTTTCACTCCACACAGATCTAATAAAATGAAATGCAACATACTAGATAAGAAGCATGCCTAATTGCTCCTCTGTAGCTGTTTAGGGCTTATGGGGCCTATAATAAGACCCTTTTTTCTCCTCCTGAACCCCAAGCCAAATAAAAACTAGACATAGAAAGCAGACTTCCAGAGATCAGATTATCAGTTTTATTACTAACAGGCTAGATGGGAGAATGTGGCTTAGATGTATGGTCATAGTCAGGCTCCTTAATATTTCACCCTAGGAGTTCTGGGGCCTGCAGATAGACAGACATATTCCTGATCACTGTTTTATGTATGTAGAGCCCCAGTAGTGCAGTCAGAAAGGGATACTCTTTCTGACCTATGCCTAAATGACAGGCCTGTGTCCAAACTTGTGTGCTTATCACGGGAAGCAAAAAACAAACAAACAACAACAACAAAAACAAAACAAAACAAAAAAAAAACAAACCCAGAAAACAGGACACAACTCTTCTGGGCAAGGGGATCTTAAATCAGAGAAAGTGGCAAAGCTGATCATGTTCAGTTTCTTTTCCCAATCCCTCTTGTCACAAAAGTTACTATTTCTCCCTCAGGAGAGGTATTTATGGGTAGTGAATAGTTATTTATGGGTAGTGAATAATGTCCCCTCTAGGGAGGGAAATGTCCAGTAAAATGTGAGAAGAGGGGAATAAGTGTTATTCCAGCAGTAGATCAAACCTTCACAGAACAGCAGTTATGTCTTGTTCATTCTGCTCATCTCAGAAAATAGAATATACTAATCTTGAGGCCATTAGATTAGTTCCTGATTGTCCTGCGATAACGTCTGCAGACCCAGGCTTCATGTGAATCTCAGAAGTGATTTTTATATGCGAAGTCTAGGTTTCTCAAAGGCATACTTATTTATGCAGCTGCCATGCACCCTGTAATTGCTTGATAAACATCAAAGAGATGAGCTGTTAGATACTATACATGTGGGAAGCTGTAAAACAGTGGCTTTTTTTTTTTTTTCTTAGTGAGTTTACCATATCCCCAGATAATTGCAAGTATGTTTTCTTCCTGGCCAGGGGTGTGGAGAGACTGCAGCAAACAGATTCTTGAATGGGAGATTCAGAGAAAATCAGAAAATTGACAGATAGATTGGCTTTGGTAAATCCATAGAGGGAGGCTAGACAAAAGGATAAAATTAAAGGTCTTGGGAAAAGGGATTAAAAGCAGAGCAAAAGAAAGCTGATTTTGATTTTCCGAGATGTCCAGCATTATTAAAGTTTTCTGAGGAGCACAATGGGGCAATGGTTGAAGATATTTATTTTAAGAGTTTAAGGAGTGAAGATTAACATGGTCAGGGGCATTGAGTGCCACAGTCCCTTAATGATTAACAGGGGGTATAGTGTTGGCACCTTATGTGCATTAAGAAATACTACATTTCACCAAGTTCTGTGAAGATGGATATGAGTCCACATGCCTCTTGAAGAGGTACTAAATTTGCCATTATGAGAATAATGATTGAGAAATATAAACAAGAGTGTTTTGACTACATTTTGTTTCAAGTGGTCTAGTATGTAACCTGATGAGGTGTGTAGTTAGAAAGACCCTTAAAGAGTCTTACTAATGAACTGCCATTTTAGTCAACCCAGTGATATTTTAAGGTAATACAGAAAATTATAAATAAATGAAAGCAAGATGGAAAACATACAGTGGATTAGATTGTAATGTATTTTCCTCCAGCTCTGATAAGGTTGTGCTTAGCATAGCCCTGATTATTTGGGGGTTCCTGTGCTTGGCAGGATCTTTAGCAAAGGGAGAATCAGAATTGCTACATATTGAAATGAGCTTCCCTGCAGGAAGTGCTAAAGTGAATGCTTGGCACTTGTAACAATTCTTCTCTAGTTTTCTTTGACTTAATAATAACTTTGATTTAAAAGGAAATTTGAGAATCCATTTAAGAAAAGTTATTTGCAGTTAAAGGGTCTACTGGGGGAAAAAATGGAGCATAGCCTGACCCCAAAGGATATATTATCCCTTTACTGAGTTTGCAAAGGAAAGGACAACTGCTGTTTAAGGCACCATTTAGAAACACAATCTGTTGGAGTATTTTTAAAGCATGATGGATGTTTAATTCTAAAAAAATATAGTTTAGTGCATTGAAATGCAAAGAGTCTGTTGACTGCTTATATATTCCTCTATGTTTATACCGCAAGAAGTGAACAATTACAATTATAAGGACTATTCAGGTTAAGAAAATGCTGGCAAAAAATAAAGTAAGACATTGGGATTGAAGCATTTAATATAAATTTTTAGCACTGATATGACTCACCAGGCAAATGAGAAAGAAAGTGAAGTGTTGACGTGGGTGGAGGGTGCCTCGGAAGGGAGTAGACTAGGATATTTTTATCAGAATGCACATATTAAGAGTCTACTCAGTTCATGGCTGCCTGTGAGGTCTGTATAAAGTGACTTAGTATGTATAATTATATCCAGATCTCTTCTCCTCTCATGGAAGTTTATAATCTGAGACACAGGTGGAGCCAGCCATGACACAGATGGGGCAAAACTGGATGACAAATTCAAGCTTAAAATAATGTAATGTGTACAAAAAGAGTGGCAAGCGGATACGCTGGCACCACAAGTGAGGGAAGTTAAAGGATTTCCTTGCTTCATGAAGCTGGGACTAAGTGCTAGCATTCTTGAAACTGTGTGTGACATCAAGAGGAATCAAGAGAGTAAGTAGCTGAGGGTCAGCTGATTCCAAACAAGCCGCTTAAAGGTTTTTTTAAAAGCCACCTGGCTCATTTTAAAATGATGAATTTACCAATAGTTTGGTTTTTGTGTTAATTGGAGGTCAAGAACAGAGATCAATCATTAGAGACACTTAGAAGCCATCCCCAAGAGAAAAATGAGAATCAGACTATGATGAGATGAATGAAAAGGATAACCAATTAAAATTCACCCTTGTTCCCTGTGTTTTTCTTGCCTTTTTCTATAGATATTATGAGCCAGTGTCTTGTTTTGAAACATTTTCTAAATTAGGATTAGATTCTGGAATAACATATTTTTTGATAATTACTTTATGCTTCTCAGTCCAGAAAGCTTAAATCCTTTCCTACACACAACAGAAACTCATGATTATGCAGAACTGTGTAGTAAAACAAGTTGCTACTTTCAACATGTCACAGCAGTTAACATCCAAGCTTTAGAGCTGGATATGAGTTTCAATATTGGCTCTGCCACTTACCTGCTGTGTAACCTTGGGCAAGTAACAAACTTTTTTAAATGTTGGCTTCTGCATTTGCCAAGAGGAGGAGTAATACCTTACCTCATAGGGTTTATGAGACAAAATAAAATAATGTGTGCAAAATACTTAGCAAAGCACTGGCAGGTAGAATGCAGTCAGTAAAGGACACTATTTTTTATTAATTCTTCATAAATTTATTGAATACATATTTATTGAGTGTTAAGTATGTGCCAGCAATTGTTCTAATCCATTGAAATTTATCAGTGAACAGATGAGATTCCTGCCCCTGTGAATTTACATCTTAGTGAATGGAGTGGAAATAAATAACAAACATAGTGAAGAGGTGAAATATGTAGTATGTCAGGAAGTATCGAATGCTACGGAGAAAATAAAAATAAATAAGAGCAGGGAAATAAGAAGTGGGAGAATTGGAAGCAAGATGAACAACTTTTTTTCAGTTTATATGGTGCTGTTAATATTAGCCTCATTGAGATGTTGAGATTTTGATGAGGGCTTATAGAAATTTGAAGGAGTCACCTATATGGATGACTGAAAAAAATAGCATTCTACAATAGGGAAGAGTGCATTCAGTTCAAAAGATGTGAAACAGGAGTATGCCCAGAGAAAGGAGGCAAAGACACAGAGGGTGAGATTAGCAGGAGATGAAGTCAGATGTGTAACAGAGAGGACAGCTCAGATACTTATGGCCTTGCTGGCCATTGTAAGAGCTTTGGCTTTTACTTCTGAGTAAAATGAGAAATCATTGCAAAGTTCTGGGCAGAGCCATGGCACGATTTGATTTTCTTATATCTTATCAGACCCAGTCTGTTTGCAGTGGTGAGAGTAGACTGTCTGGGCAAGGAGACTGGTCAAGAGGGCACTGCTTTTACCTAGGTGAGAGACAGTGGTGGCTTGGACCAGGGTGGGAGCAGTAGAATTCTTGACAGGTGATAGGAATCTGGATATATTTTGATGATGGAGTCAGCAGGATTTCCGATGGATTGGATATGGGTGTGAAAGAGGAAAGTCAAGGATAATTACAAGGCTTTGGCTTAAGCATCAGGAAGGATTATCTTAAATATGATTATTGTTATTTTGTAATTTGTGGCTTCTTGTTTTCCACACTTAAAAGAGAACAGTGAACACACTTGTACTTCTTTATATTCTCCATAGAACTTATTAAAAATGATATGCACAAAATTGGTGCTGAGTAAACAATAGCTGAAACTTTAAAGTGTATGGAGACAACTCTACTGCTGAGAGAAAACAGTAAGGCATGAAAAGACAGTGAAGACTTTCAGAGAGAAATTTCTTTTCCTTTACAGCTGGGTTAAACTTACTCTGGTCCTGACTTTTCACCTCCCATTACATTGTCTGATCCAAGCACTTTACCATAGACATTCTCCAAAGTCAATATGGATGCTCACATCCTTCTTGATTGCAGAAAGCAGTCTCCCCTTTTAAGAGCCTTAGATTGTTCTCTGGATATATAGAGACAAGTACTCTACAGTGAATGGAAATGGACAATGGATACAATTACCTGACAAAATAAGCCCCAAAGGGTCTGTCTAAAATTTCTCTTATGTGGGCAGAAGTGGATCTCCGTTATTCTCTTTATGTGTTGATATATCCTTAGGAACTGAAGAGAATTGCCACAATGCTTTCAGGAAATGATGCATTTCGTTTTTGTATTGGATTTATATTCTTGTGAACATTTACAGATGGGATACATAAAAACGTTCACACTGAGAGAAGAAGCAGACATTATTATTTCTGGGAGGACCAGAGGAAAAATAAATTATGTAGCTTACTTACAATTTCTGTTTTTTCTTCATAATCTGTGACTCACAAATACAAGCAGAATGTTGAGGCTCAACAGTTGTAAACAGAGTTCAGAAATGTCATGCCAATTCCAAACAGGAGAGCTTGGGTGAGGAGTATCAGGGCATACATGAAATACCCTGATTTAGTTGTAACTGTCCCTGAGAGTACAAACTGGATGTGTTTTCATTACAAGAAGTGCAAAGCCTCATTTATAGTGATTCTCTGCCTTTACAGCAAAAGTCTAACCGTCCCACGTTCTGAGTTCAGTGAAGGCAAACATGGGGCGAATTCTTTGATCTGTTAGCTGGGGTTGTACCATAGCTGCCTTTGAAAATTGCTTGGAGAGCTGAAACAGCAGCTTAAAAGACTACCAGGAATGGCAGGAACAAGTAAGTGGACAGGTAAAAAAAAAAAACCCAGTTTTTGGTAAAACCCCAAATGTATCAACTTATAAGTTTATATAACGAATACTTTTATAAGAAGATATGGTGACAACTGAATTTAGGGTAGGAAAAAAACGATCAACTATTCCTAATAGTGTATCAAAACAGATAAAGGAAAGGATAAAATTTGAGTGCAAATGAAGAAAGAATAAAGGAACTTGAATATTTACATTAAAATATTTTCTATGGATATGATCATGCTGAGAAATTAAAGATATGTTTTAGACTAATAAATAGTAAATACAGCTTTTCATTTCAGACATGGTCTGTAATCATTTTTCTTGGAAGATTATTTTCTTATCTATGTCTTCAATGTTATTATCCATTCATATATCTTTTAAAAATTTTGTCTGTAGAAAATATATTTCTTGTCTCTCTACTTTTTTGGTGGGAACTGTCTAAGAATATTTTATTGTCTGGAAAAGGTATGGACATAATTAGGATTCAGAGACAGATTTAGAATAAAGTAAAAGTGTTGTAAATTGCAAAGAATGCTGAGTTTAAGAACTTGCATTAAATTAAAGAGAATATTTCATGATCAGATCTAGGTGTAGCCTCCAAAACAATTTTGAAGGACTTTTAGAACATTCAATCATTAGCTTAATTTAATAGTTATCTTTATTTCATCCTTTCATCTCTCTCCCGTCTAGTGAATTTCTTTGTTAAATTTCTTCTATGAATTTCTGCACTCACTTTGAGCTCCAAACCCTATGCTGCATCTATTTTCTTTCTAAGTAAACTCTAGATCTCCTAGAGTTTCATCAAAGGAACTTATCATAAGTATTAATATTCACTATGGTTAATAGCCCCCCGTCTTCCTTTTTTTTTAAGTCTCCAACAATGAGACCATGTAATAAAATGAGTTGAAGTGATAGAAAGGAAAGGCTCCTAAAGCAGAAGAAAAATTAACAAAAAGACATATGCATTATAGATATAAGGATGGTCTGGAAAGCCTTTTTCTGGGAAGCTTCTCTGGCTCCCCAGCTTTGAGTTCAGAATCATGTGCCTCCCCTCCCCCTATCTCTTACCTCCTACACCACACCTTTGCACTTTTGATTATTTTTATGATTTATGCACACTTCATGGACATAATCTGTCTACTTATTTCTTTTTCCTCCATGACTATGTTATCTACATACTATGTTTTCTATTTGTCTTTTATCTTAGTATATTAAATAGTATAATAGGCACTCAATTTTTTTTAATTCTTTTTTTGGAAGGAGGAAAAAGAATGAAATCAGAAAGGACGTAAGAAAGAACATTCATTTATCCATTTCTCAGTGTCTTCATGTAGCTCTCTTTGGAAGTTTCAGATTTAAGATAAAGTGGTATAATTATTTTAATTTAAGTTTGAGGCAGTTCAACATCAAAATTAAGATCTAGATATGACAGAGACATATATAGATAGATGCATGTGTATTTATATACAGGTATGTATGTATGTGTATATATATACAAATATATGTATGATGTATGATATAGAACAAAGATAATATATACCTACATATATATCATACATATAATGAGATGAAAATTTTAAATGTTGCTATGTTTTCATAACTAGCATTGACTTCTTAACTGGACTGTAAGTTTATTATTATCTCTATATTATCTCCCAAACATTTAACATGAGGCTGGCCCATGAAGACTGTGTAGTACATATACATGGTTTGACTATACTGGGACTACTCAAGATACTGGTATAAGCTAAATAAAAATCCTTTTACTGGTTGTGTTTGTGACTAGCATTTTATTACTGTAGTGATTAGGAGAATGGGATTTCATATCAGAGTAAAATATTTCAATGCAGATCTGTCTCATCTTAGCTGTTGAATTTGGATGATGATAAAATGAATATAATTACAGTTCATGGGGGATCATGAAGATAAATTTTGATCATATATATAAATTTAATCTAGTTCAGCATACAGTAAATGCTTAATAGGTGGTAAATTCCTTTTATTATCACACATTTGGAATTCAAGAGATATGACAAGTACTTAAGGGTTGCTACTTAAGTTTCTAAAAGTTCTTAATTACATGTTAAGTATAGAGTAATCATAATATTTTCCAATATACATACATTCAAGAAACTACATTCCAGTAATATGTGGTAAAGTTAATCACTTTAGTAGATTTCATTTTTGCTTTTATACTACTTTAAGCTAAATTTATTTTTAAGAAGAAAGTGATACTATCACCAAATTAGAATATCAATAAGCTCTGTGTTATAAGTACTGAGTTTCTTTTTGAGACTGATCCAGGAGATCCAGGGAAAGATAGCAAGGGTTTGTACTATTGCCAACAAGGCTCTGAATGCATTTAACTTTGGAATGTTGTAGAAGAAAAATATTGGATTGTTGAAAATGAAAACCAAACTCTACTTGAAACAAAAGCAACCGATCTTAAAACCTATGTTTTTTAGCATCTAAATCTAAAACATTGCTTTAAATTTTTTCCCATATATGATTAATGTAATTCAGCAATGTACCATCATAACAATTTTCCTACATGTAAATTATACTAATTATCCATAAGTATAAATTTCACTTATTTCATATTTAAGTGTGATAGGATTTCTATAGCCTTATACTTTATTATAATATGATATCCAACAAGGAGATAAAAACAGATTCCCTACATAAAAGCCATATTTCAAAGATAATGTAACTACAGGCATTCCTTAGAGATATTCCAGGTTCAGTTCCAGGCTACTGCAATAAAGCAAATATCTCAATAAAGCGAGTCACATAAATTTTCGCTTCCCAGTGCATATAGAATTATGTTTACATTACACTCTGGTCCATTGTGTGAAACAGCATTATGTCTCAAAAATGTACATTAACTAAATATACTTTATTGCTAAAAAATGCCAACAATCATCTGAGCCTTCAGCAAATTACAGTCTTTCTGCAGGTGGAGGGTCTTGACTGAATGTTGTTGGCTGCTCGATCATCAGGGTGATGGTTGCTGAAGATTGGGATAGCTGTGGCAATTTCTTTTTTTTTAAATTTTATTATTATTATACTTTAAGTTTTAGGGTACATGTGCACAATGTGCAGGTTTGTTACATATGTATACATGTGCCATGTTGGTGTGCCGCACCCATTAACTCGTCATTCAGCATTAGGTATATCTCCTAATGCTATCCCTCCCCCCTCCCCCCACCCCACAACAGTCCCCGGAGTGTGATGTTCCCCTTCCTGTGTCCATGTGTTCTCATTGTTCAATTCCCACCTATGAGTGAGAACATGCGGTGTTTGGTTTTTTGTCCTTGTGATAGTTTGCTGAGAATGATGGTTTCCAGTTTCATCCATGTCCCTACAAAGGACATGACCTCATCATTTTTTATGACTGCATAGTATTCCATGGTGTATATGTGCCACATTTTCTTAATCCAGTCTATCGTTGTTGGACATTTGGCTTGGTTCCAAGTCTTTGCTATTGTGAATAGTGCCACAATAAACATATGTGTGCATGTGTCTTTATAGCAGCATGATTTATAGTCCTTTGGTTATATGCCCAGTAATGGGATGGCTGGGTCAAATGGTATTTCTAGTTCTAGATCCCTAAGGAATCGCCACACCGACTTCCACAATGGTTGAACTAGTTTACAGTCCCACCAACAGTGTAAAAGTGTTCCTATTTCTCCACATCCTCTCCAGCACCTGTTGTTTCCTGACTTTTTAATGACTGCCATTCTAACTGGTGTGAGATGGTATCTCATTGTGGTTTTGATTTGCATTTCTCTGATGGCCAGTGATGATGAGCATTTTTTCATGTGACTTTTGGCTGCATAAATGTCTTCTTTTGAGAAGTGTCTGTTGATATCCTTCACCCATTTTTTGATGGGGTTGTTTGTTTTTTTCTTGTAAATTTGTTTGGGTTCATTGTAGATTCTGGATATTAGCCCTTTGTCAGATGGGTAGGTTGTGAAAATTTTCTCCCATTTCGTAGGTTGCCTGTTCACTCTGATGGTAGTTTCTTTTACTATGCAGAAGCTCTTTAATTTAATTAGAACCTTTTAAACAGAATTATTTGTTTTCCTGTTATTGGGTAGTTTGGGTTTCTTTTATAGTGTAGATATGAGCTTCTTACCTGACTTATGATTTGTAAATATTTTCTCCCAGTCTGTGTTTTTTTCTCTTCCATCTGCTAATTGTTTCCTTTGCAGTGCAAAAGTTTTTTAGTCTGATACAATTCTATTTGTTTATTTTTTGCTTTTGTTGACTGTGCTTCTTGGGTCATATCCAACAAATCATAGCCCAGACCAATACTGTATAGCTTTCCCTTATGTTTTAATCTGGTAGTTTGATAGTTTAGAGTCTTATATTTAAGTCTTTAATCAATTGTGGGTGGATTCTTGTATCAGGGATAAGATAAGGGTCCAATTTCATTCTTCTGCATGTGGATAGACAGTTTTTCCAACATTATTTATGGAGGAGTCTGTCCTTTCCCCAAAATGTGTTCTTCAAACCTTTGTTCAATATCAATTGACCTTGGATATGTGGGTTTATTTCTGTGCTTTCTATCCTATTCCATTGGTTGATATATGTAGTTTTATGCCAGTACTATGCTGTTTTGATTACTATAACTTTATAATGTATTTTGAAGTCAGGTAGTGTGGTGTCTCCAGTTTTCTTTCTTTTGCTTAAAATTGCTTTGGCTATTCAAGATATTTTGTCATTTTATACAAGTTTTAAGATTGTTTTTCCTATTTCGGTGAAGAACAACATTAGAAATTTGATAGGAATTGCATTGAATCTGTAAATCACTTTTGATGGCATGGATATTTTGACAATATTAAATCTTCTAACTCATGAACATAAGGTATCTTTTCATTTATATGTGTCATTTTCAATTGATTTCAACAATATTTTATAGTTCTCATTGATCTTTTAGCTCCTTGGTTAAATTTACTCCTAAGTATTTTTATGCTATTGTAAATAGGACTCAGATTGTTCATTGTTAGTATATAGAAATGCTACTGATTTTGTAGGTTAACTTTGTAGTTTGCAGCTTTAATTAATTTATCAGCTCTGACAGCTTTTTGATGGATTATTTATGGCATTCTATATATTGTCAGTGAACAGATAAATTTTCACTTCTTTTTTTCCCACTTGGATGCCTTTTATTTTTCTTTCTTGCTTAATTGCTCTGGTTAGGACTTCCAGTACTGTTGAATAGAAGTGGTGATTGTGCACATACAGGCATTCTTGTTCAGGATTCCCAAATAGTCTATACTTTAAAAAATAAATGTAACATAATTAATTTGGAAAAATAAATGTAAACAAAGAAAACTACAATAATAAATATAATAAATATAATATTTAAGTATAATAAATAAAAATAATAAATATAATACATAAATATGCAACACGTTTTAAAAGCATCAGGAATCTTACACTAAGAGGATATGTAATATATTAAACGTATGTTTATATTTCACTTTTCCAAATCATTACAATATATCAAAGACAAAACTTAGAACTATACTAAAAAATGATTGTACCTAAACAAAATACTTGCCGAGTTTTTTTTATTATTCTTAACTCTTCCCGCCTTTATGGACCCTTTGTTGACTGTCCAAATACAGTACTGTATTGTTTGAGTCATCCTTTTTATCAAATGTATGTTGACTGCCTACTGGGAGTAGGATACTAGGTAAGAGGCAAGCGTTCCTTAGTGGTAGAATGGAGACAATTTTATTATCTAATTTAATGTTTTTAACTTTTACTAGAGAACACTAAGTACCATATACACAGAAGTCACTTAAGTATTTGTTGACTTTAATTCAATTGATGGATGACAAATGGCACATGTAGGTGTTATGGGAATCATCCCAGAAAGCGAAATGTCTTTGTTGTTGCTGAGAGTGTAAGGCAAAGCACAGCAATGACTAACTCATCTTAAAATGTGTGCGTGACATTCTAGTTATGATACAAGATGAGCAAAATTATTAGCATCGTGATCTTCAAGGGAAGTCATCTACAGCCTGATTTACTCTCAGCATTGTACATTCATGTCTTTACTGATATCACTGTTAAAATCTAAATTACAGGGATGAAGACAGTATAACTTATTGCTTGGATGGTTAGCACCAGTGAATATAATTGATATTTCTCTTGTGTCTGTAACTATTGTCATTTTTCCTTCTTAGGGTAAGCGAAGGATGTTTGTAGTTGCCTCTCATTTTCCCCAGAAGCAGACTCTAAAACATGGATTTATTTGGGAAATGGTAGCAGGAGGGACTAGAAGAGGGAGTGGCAAAGTGAGCCAGTTAGGAAAGAACGTCAATGCAAGGTATCCTAATGAGCAGCTTACTGTTCAGGACAACTGTGGTTTAGTACCACTGTGGACTCTTGGGGAGTGACGTGGAACATGCCTTAGGGTTGTCTCTACTTATGGGGAGAGAAAGCTGAGTTATATTTCTTCCATCTCCCATTAGTCACTAATTGCTAGTTGCTCTCAGGAACATAAACTCTGTACACTTCCAGTCTACCCTCACCACCAGAGAAAGCCCTCAGGCAGAGCATCACAGCTGCAGTAGAACACCATTGTATGTTTAGGAATTGTGATTGTCAAGGGAATATGGACAACGAGCTGACACTAGATACTAAATTGGTCTTACGTGGTGTATTAGTCCATTTTCACACTGCTATAAAGACATACCCAAGACTGGGTAATTTATAAAGAAAAGGGGTTTAATTGACTCACAGTCCCACAGGGCTGGGGAGGCCTCAGAAAACTTAAAATCATAGTGGAAGGGGAAGAGGCACATCTTACATGGTAGCAGGTGAGAGAGTGTGAACAAGTGAAGGGGGAAGAGCCCCTTATAAAACCATTGGATCTCGTGAGAACTCACTCACTATCATGAGAACAGCATAGGGGAAACTGCTCCTATGCTAAAATCACCTCCCACTAGGTCCCACCCTTGACACTTGGGAATTACAATTCAAGATGAAATTTGGGTGGGGACACAGAGCCAACCCATATCATATGGATATACAATATTTTACATTTTATTAATAGGATTACCTAAACTATAAAACTTTTGACCTGGAATCATTATTTATTATAATAAGAATGTATACATATATTTGGCAGCTAACTAGAAATTTATCTCCAGGAACATCTTCAACTTTCTTACCACTAGATTTAAAAATCTATTTCCATTTGTTTAAATACGCTCCTTACTCATTCCTGATATAATCAAGGATGTTCTCTCTTCCCTCCTCCTTCTGTGTAGTAGTTGCCAATCCCCTTTAGTTAATGTCCTGGCTGTGTGCTAGAAAATTTTCCTCTGTCATTGATCTTTTCTCTCTCCTGTATATTCAGCTTCTCCCTTTCAACCTCAGTCTTTCCCATCTGCCTTGCCATATGTTCAACTATCTTCTGCCTTAAACAAGCAAAGCAAAAAGATGTCTCTTTTCCTCCACCTTGCCCTTTTGCTAGAGTTCTCTTACCCTTCACAGTCAAATTTCTCACGGCTTTTTGAACATCTCTTTAGTCTTTTCCTCTTCTCTAATATCTCTCACACCAAGCTGGCTTCTGCACACTCCTTACTCTGCTAGTGACTTCAAGATCTCTAAATCAAGCAAATATTCCAGGCCTCAGACTACTGGATCTCTCAGCAGCATCAACTGTACATCACTCTTTCCTTCCTAGGAATGTGAATTGCCTTTGTAGCACTAATCTCTAGTCTTTGAGATACTGTATTCTCCTCTACTTTTAGTCACTATCTCTCTGTATGCTATTTTCTAGCCTAATTTCCTGGCTTACTTTCATTTATAAATTGTTTAAATGTTGGGACTGCGTCCTTTTTTATTTCTTGGTGTGTATTCCAATATTAGGTATATTCATCTACTTTTTGGACTCCAATTATAATAGTAACACTAGTAATAGCTAGCATCATGGAACATTATTATCTGGCATTGTTCTGTACTCCTGTCAAGCCTTAATCCTCACAGGAACCCAGTGAGGTGGCTTCTTTTACTTTTCTCTTTTTAGGGATAAAGAAATTTAGGTGCATAGAGGATAACTAAATTGCCCAGTTATTATTCAGTGGAATCATGGACTCTGGAGTATGCATTCACAGCCTGGAACTCCCCAATTAGATACAGATATACATAGATGGCAAAATCTTTTATATTACTTTGTATGTGTCAGCTATAAGTGATTTTATAAAGTAACTCATTTAATCTTTATAACAAGACCATAAGGTAGGTATAGTTATTATCTGTGTTGAGTTATACATATTATACAGATCAAACTCATTGTCCAAGTTCACACAATTACAAAGCGTGCATGTTAGCTGTGCCTGTTTCTTCAGATCCACCTTGTATTATTCTTCTACTCCCTCTCTGTTCTCTTTCTGTACTTTTTTTCATTTCCTCATGAGATCCAATTATATTTTATATCAATATCTTTGAATCTGCAGTTTCCCCTATGCTGGTTAGGCCTAATATTCTCTTATGTGTCTCACTCAAACTTACAGACTTTTAAAAGATCTTTATAATGCACCTCTTTATATCACTGGTATATAATTTGTTTAAGGAATCCTACCCTTCCTCTACCCCAAATTGAGTCAGGCTAAATGGTTGGTTCCCTCAACAAATATTTATTCAGAGCCTACTACGTTCCAGAAATTATATGTTCTTGGGAAATATCAGTAGAAAAATCTATCTTTGTTTTCTTAGAGTTTTTATTTTAAAATATGTATGCAATATGTAAGAAACTTATAGGGAATGTTGAAAATTAATGTTATTGTGGAAAAAGTGGGGAAAAACAGGGCAAGGTAAGGGAGATCTAAAGTATTGGGGATGGAGGGAAGGTGAAATTTGAATTACAATGTCCATTTCAGGCTTATCGGAAGACAGTGATCTTTCAACAAAGTCTTAAGTAAGTTACTATTTTAAAAAAGCTTAGAAAGTGTCAGGCATGTAGTTAACCCTATATAAATATTTGTTAAACATGAATAAACAGGCAGGGCTCTGTGGCTTATACCTGTAATCTCAGCACTTTTGGAGGCCAAGGTGGGAGGATTACTTGAAGCCAGGAGTTCAAGGCCAGCTTGGGCAACAAAGCCAGTCCCTGTTTCTAAAATAAAATAAATAAATAAAAATTAGCTAGGTGTGGTGCTGTGCACCTGTAGTACCAGCTAACCAGGAGGTTGAGATGGGAGGCTCACTTGAGCCCAGGAGTTGGAGACTGCAGTGAGCTATGATGTTGTGATCATATGACTTCACTCCAGCCTACGCACCAGAGTAAGACCTTTTCTCTAAAAATAAAATAAAACAGTAAGGTGAGAGAGTAAGCTATGCTTCTGTGACAAGGGCCTCGTAGGCAGAAGTAAATGTCTGTGAAATATCAGGCATGTTTAATGAACAGTCAAGAGGTCAGCGAGGCAGCAGTTAGTGAGGGCAATAACAGAGAAGAAACAAAGTAACAGGCTATGGTTATGAAGTGTTGTGTGGGTCATGAATATAAGGCCACAGCTTTTAATACTTGGAGTGAAATATAGAGACATTCTGGGGTTTTGTGAAGAGAATTGGCACAATCTGATTTCTGATTTAAGAGACTGTGGAAAAATACTTATGGAATGGAAAAGTAAGGACCTCCAAAAATCTGCTCCTGCATAAACGCAACAAGAGCAGTGGCAGAGGTTATATAATCAACCTTCTCAGTACTCTTGAAATTAACCAAAGCCATGCAACAATTTGAGGAGCATTTACAAGAAAAATGTCCTAAGCTTGTTAAACGCATTGAGCTTTGTGTCATTTTAACTTTCATTGTTTCATCTTCTTTTCTGCATTCTCCATGCACAACTTAAAAATCAAGTCTTGCAACTCTGTTGTGAAAAGTGGCAGTCTGGCAGCCACTGGATTTGACAGAATCGGGTTGGATCTTCCCCAAAACTCCCATCACCAGCAAACTGTCACCATTTGACCTGTCTGTCCACTCTCAGGGCTCATCTTTATTTGACTTGACTTAGCTTGCTCTTGTGGACAGCTCTATTTCCAGGGCATTTGATGAAAACAGTTAGCAGGTATTGTTTAATGTCACAGTAATTTTAACAGAGATATAAGCTGGGATTAACAAAAAGCTGGGCAAAATCTAAAGAAAAAAACTGAGGACTGAGATGACAATAGGGGGCTTTTAAAACCTCAAACCTATTCCTGGGAATCTAGAAAGCCTTGCAGAATTGCCTGAAAATGACTTAAAATGGCCTTAATCTTCCAAATTGGATGGCCTTCAGATTTTGCAAAAGCAGGAAGTGAAGGCTTAGGCAGAGTTATGAACTTTGTGCTGGAGTGTTGAAGATGTTACTTCCCCCTAATCCTTTCACCCCACAGAACCTTTGTGCAAAGGCTGGGAAACTTATTGGTTCAAAGCATTTAAGAAAATCACTGCTATTATTAGCAGAGACTTCAATGGCTGCAAAAGACAAAGAATACAGGCTTTACAGAAATAGTCCTATAAAGTCACTAAACAAAAAATAGCAACAGCAACAAACAGCAACATACACACACATGCACATGCACACGTACATGCACACACACCTTGAAGAGTGGAAGGATGTCTTATCTTTATCTTTAGAGTTATCATATAGTATTTAAAGTTTTAAGTTTTCAGTAAAAAACTATGACCCATGAAAAGAAACAGGAAAATATGTTCCATATACAGAAAAAACTGGAATCAATATAAGTTGTCCTTTAGGAAACTTAGATATCAGAATTACTAGTCAACAAGTTTAAATGATCTTTTCAATGAACTAAAGGAAACAATGTCTAAATAATAAAAGGAAAGTATAAAAACAATATCTCTCCGAAAGAGAATAATGACAAAGAGATGGACATCATATATTTTTTAAAGGATCTCATAGAAACCCAGGATATAAAAACCAACAGAAATAAAACCTTTAATAGAGGGATTCAGTAACAAATTGGTACAGTCAGAAGAATCAATAAATCTAAAAAAGGTTAATTGAGATTATTCATTCTAAGGAACATAAGAAAAAAAAGAAGAAGAAACGAATACAGCCTTAAAGACCTAGAGAACACATAAAGCATACCAACATTTGCATAATAGAATTTCTAGAAGGAAAGGAAAGAAAGGACAGAAAGATTATTTAAAGAAATAATGGTTAGGAAGTTCCCCAATTGGTGAGAAACATTATTCTGTGCCTCCAGGAAGCTCAACAAAATCAAAAGATAAATTGAAAGATGTATCTACAAAATACTAGTAAATTAAATTCAGCAACATGTAAAAAATTATACACTAAACCAAGTTATATTTATGCCAGGAATGCCAAGTTGCTTTAACACATGAAAATAAATTGCTGTAATATCCAATATCAACAGAAAAAGGGCAAATGCTTCATGATCATCTGCATAGGTGAAAAACAATAATTTGACAAAATCCAACACTCATTCATGACAAAAATTTTATAAATTTGGAATAGAATAGAATAGAAGGGATTTAATTTATAATAAAATTTTCAAAATAAGCAAATCCATAGAAACAGAAACTGAATTAGCAGTTGCCAGAGCTTGTGAGAAGGGAGAATTGGGAAAGACTGCAAATGGATGTGGGATTTCTTTGTGGTGATAAAAATGTTTCAAGTTTAGAGAGTAATGTGGTATAACTTTGTGATGATACCAAAAAGCACTAAATTGTACACTTTAGAAGGGTGTATTTTATATTACATAAATTATATCTGAATAAATCTGTTATTTTCTTTTAAAAAAAGAGACTGTAGGGGTGAATGAGTGCAAGCAGTGTTCCCAGAGACAGATGATGGTAGCTTTAAGAGTCATAACAACAGAGGAGGTAAGAAGTCTTTGGATTGTGCCTATCTTTGAGAAGAGATTTACTGTTGAAAAGAGAGAAGCTGTGAATAAAACCAATATTTGTGACCTAAGAGTTAGAATAAATAAAATACAATAGGGAAGGCTGTAAATGCCATGATTTTGGAGAGGAAAATTAGTTTTGTTTGAGACATGATAAGTTTAAAAACTCTACTAGATAGCCAAGTAGACAGCTGTATATAGAAGTCTATATTTTGGAAGAAAGTTCTAGACTGCAAATAGAAATTCAGAAGTCCTTGACTACATGAAATAAATCATCAAAGAAGTATAAATACAGAACACCAAAAACTGAAATTTGTGGCATTCCGATATTATTAGGTTAGGAGTTAGGAGTGAAGGATTTAGGGAAGAAGTAACCAGTAAGGTTGGAGTAAAATAAAGTGATTACGATGTCCTGGAGAAGAAGTGAAGAAAATGTTTCCAGGAGAAGTTCCTTTATTGTATACTCTGATAGCATATATCATGTCTGCAATTGTATATTTATTTGATTTTTTGCATAGTATCTCTCTTTGTTAGGCTATAATAAGCTTCATTATGATAGCAGAGGCTATGTCTACTTTAAATGACTGTGAACTAAGAGTAAGAATTTATTTAGTTAACCAGGATTTATTAAGAACATATACTATGTCAAGGGCTATTCTGTGCTATGGCTTTATCTTTCTGAGCAAACAAAACCCCAGTCTTCATGGAACTTAACTTCTATTGGGAGGATATAGACAAATACTATTTTACAGAACTTTCTGTGATAATGGAAATGTTCGGCTCTTCTATCCAGTATAGTAACATAGCCACATATGGATAAAATATGACCAGTGTACTAAGGAACAAAATTTTAAATGTTATTTAATTTTATTTAATTAAAATTTAATTTAAATGGCCACATGTGTCTCATGTCTACCATAGGAGTAGATATATATGGCAAACAGAAAACAATAATAAATAAATGAACCTGTAGAGCTAGGGAGAGATTTGGAGTGGTTGTAGTTTAAGACAGAATGACAACTTTATTCACTCACTCACTCACTTACTCATTGCTATATTCCATTGTGTTGGGAACTATATACCCATCCATAATGAACAACAGGAAACAATAAACCTGATTAGCCTTAGAGATGGTGAAAAGAAATCTTTCATCTCATCTTAACTGCCTGAGCTATATTTTGAAACTGCAGTGGCTTTAAGTCAGAAAACTGGTCCAACCTTTCTACTTCTCAGTAGCTGTCTATTTATACTCTCAAACTCCAAGAAAATAGTAAGACTAGAAGGTCAGAAATGGGTAGGAGACATTAGCCATAGAAAATAATAGCCTGAGAATTAATCCAAGAAAAAACATCTATGGATAGGAACAGAGAGGAAATAATCTTTTTTAATGGGAAATTGCAACTTTCCAAGATTTTCAGTCTTAAATGCCTACAAAAGTCAAGTAATTGGCACACATATGGACGACAGAAAATCAGATATTTCTCTTCCCATTTATTGTGGATACCTCACTTTGGGAAGAGATATATTGAATTTATTCCCAGAATTTATTATTAACTTTATAAAGATAAGCTTTTTAAAATAATAATGAATGCCTGATTTTTATTTTCACTATTATTTAAAATAATTATTGAAGATTGGCTAATGCAATAACCTAAAATACAAGTAAGAGTAGGATAAAAGAGGTTAAGTTTTTTTCCTAAATATGCAGATGATTATGTACTTAGAAACTTTACTGGCTCAATTGCATGTGAATCAAATTATAATTAGTTTTCCTGGATTCAACATCACTGATGTGGAGAACATTTTCCTAGAGTTATTTTCCATTCCTAGAATAACATCGTTACTGCCTAGATCAGACGATAAATGGTCAATATGAATTCACTTCTTCTTTCATATGATGCACACAAAAACTTTCAGAAATATTTTTATGATTCTCTTTTCAACTCTACATGTACTATTACCACTCTCTTGAGAAAATCAGTTTTAAAATGGTGTGTATGTGTGTGTCTACGGTGGAGGAGAAAGAGAAGGAGGATCTGGTACAAAGAATATACCTATCAAATGTCCATCAATCATTTACAGAAAGGATTTTGCTGTTGCCAAATGTTAGAAATTTTTGTTTGGAAAGTTTGCTTGCTATTGTGTGTTATATTATCCAGTACAGTTCAGCTATTATTGTGTTTGTCAAAATCTTTTTTGACAAGCTTTTAAAAAGAATATTTTCCACTTACTCTCTTCATGTCCTTACCCTCCATTTACTTTCCAAACCTCTTCATTTGTTTTATGTCTTTATAGTTTTACTGAACCTACTCCTTTCCAGGCTCCACACATCCTCTAACAGTCAAACCAAAGGGCCTATCCCTGCAATATTACTTTAAAACAAACAAATTATTTCCTTGACTTCTACCATTTGCTAATCTCAGTCTCTTTTTTTTTTTTTTTTTGGTCTTAACAATGGCATCATCTTCCAAACTGAATACGCTATCTTCAGTCTACTTTGTCTCGGCTTGCCCTCTACATAAATGTGACATAATATATCTGGTTACATAGCCCTGGCCACAAAATTCTCCAAGCCAAAGTCTTTCAGTGAATCTCCTGCTGCCATGTATATAAAGACAACATTCGTATTATTGTGGCATATCAGGTCTGTTTTGATACAACTCTGCCTTTCTTTACAACCTCATTCCATCCTCTGTATATACATGTTAACCATGTTTATGAGTGAAAGTTAATTATTTGTGGGACTTGACTTTTGCACAAAGGAGTTTCCCTGCCTCGGATATTTACTTTGCTCTTTGTTGGATTAGAGGATGCTCAGGACCATTGAAAATTACAAAAGAGTGAAACCTCCATGTCTTTCTCCAATATGCTTCTATGGGCATTGAGATACTGTCTTTTTGGTTTGGTTGCAGCAGACATTTCTTGTATTACAAATTTTTAAATGCTTTTTTTCTATTATGTTGTGGGTCTTTCACAGGCAGATGTTTTTCTTTACTCACTTTTTATCCTCAACCATCTATTTTAAGTGAATCGTAAAATAAATCATAATTGAACATCAATTTTGTTCTTTCATAGTTTTGCAAAGATTTTATAAGAAGTTTTATTGTTATTCTATACTACATTTCCCAGCAAAAAAGCAATTTTTCATTAATTAAATACTTCTTGAAATTATTTATACGTGCATTTTGGATATCTTTTCAGGCCATTTATTTTTTCTATGAATCAGTTAAAAAAATCAGAGAAGTAACAGAAGAGTAAGATTAACAGTGACCACCCCCATCATATCTTAAGATTTTGTCAAAATTGATTAGGATTAATTTTAAAAGAATGAAATATTAGGAATACATTATGTGTTCCTCAGTACATGTCTGCAGGCTATTTCCTGTTCTCTTTCACCATCCTGAATTTGATGATTGCTCTAAGGATTATACATTCTTCTATGTATGCCACATGCATTACTTATTTCTCCTAAAGTACCTGTTATCAACCTTGTATTTTGCCTCTGGAGAAATCTGTACAGAACATCCTCTTACTTTTGCATATTACTCTTGGTATTCTCATGTCAGCTATTTAGCTGGTAAACCATTATTTTGGCTGGTGGATATTTCTGCTAATGGTAAACCATTATTTAGCTGGTGGATATTTCTGCTAGGAGCTGCTTAACTGTTCAGACTTCAATTTTGGTTTGCAGTGAATCAGTGCTGTCTTCAAGTACATTCTTTCCCTTTGCTCAGCTTTGTTACTTCACTGGAAGCCTATTACTTATACTCTCAACCTGCCTTTGTCAATGGAAATGGACTCTGCCTTCACAACTGATGGGCATCTTTTCCTCATGACTAGTAACAGCTATGCATGACCATTTTTAAAGTTGATGATATATTTTGGAAAAAGATCGATATTCTACATGAATTAAAATGAGAAATAATTTGTTCAAACATACAGCATGTAACATGTGATAGACATTGTAGTAAGCCCTCATGACATAATAGTGAACAGAAATAGTGCAGTCCCTGTTCTTTGTGGAGCTTAAATCCTGGATGGGGAGACAGACCAAACACAAGACAAAAAGCAAGAAGAATATATTAAGGCATTAAAATAAAGGCAAAGTTGAAAGGTCCCATAAAAAGAAAGTGTCAGAGAGCAAAAATGAGAGAAGAGGGCTTACATTACATAGAGGTTTGTGAACTCCTGCTCTGAAGAGAGACCATTTAAACTGAGACTTAAATGCAAAGGAGCAGTTAACCAAAGAGAAAATGCGAGATAATGGCCATTTTGAAGGCTCTGAGTCAGGACAGACTTTGGTGTGTCAACTAAGAGTGATCAGGGCCAGGCACGGTGGCTCATGCCTGTAATCCCAGTGCTTTGGGAGGCCGAGGTGGGTGGATCACCTGAGGTCAGGAGTTTGAGACCAGCCTGGCCAACATGGTGAAACCCCATCTCTACTAAGAATACAAAAACTAGCTGGACGTGGTGTGCGTCTGTAGTCCCAGTTACTTGGGAGGCTGAGGCAGGAGAATCACTTGAACCCTGGAGGCAGAGGTTGCGGTGAGCTGAGATCGCACCACTGCACTCCAGCCTGGGCAATAAGAGCGAAATTCCATCTAAAGAACAAAAACAACAAAAAAAGAGTGATCAAGACTGAAGAGTGAATCATGGTACCTAAAATGCACAGAGACTCAGGTTGCCACCAGACTGTAAATTAACTTGTTTACTCTGTAACATACATCTGTTCAATGGATCAGAATATTGTAACAGGCACTAACAGCACAATTCCACCTTGTTCCAAATCCACATGGGAAAACAAACCTGAGCAGATGATACTATAAAATGTCTTGACGAATCAGAGTCACAAGATTAGAATAACCTGTATTCTACTGGAAATAGCCTACATTCATATAATCTCCCTAGCCTTCCTTCCCCTCCATTCCTTTCTTTTCCCTTTTTCTTTGTTCACTTCCCTTTCCTTGTCTTATAGAAAGCCAAAATATAACCAAAGATTGAGTTTTGATCATAGAATTCTAGAAGATTGTGTTAGATGTATCAAATATCTATATTCATTACACTAAAATATTTCATTAGCCCATGTTGGTTGTTTACAGCTCTGTGCATCCATCCATATTGAAATCTGACCAAAAAAACCAAAAAACTCATTGTTAAGAATACCTTTCCCAGACTTAGACACTATTGGATGTTCATCGTCAGTGTTTGGCTTGCTGATTTTCCTTTTTCGGAACTTCCATAGCAGGACAATATCTCCCCAGTGCATACATTATTTAGCTATGTTTATGAAGTCAGTAATCCATGAAACCATTTCTTTTTCTAAAAATAACTTTTTATGTCTATGTTCTGAGTCTTAGGTGTTTCTCTTACTGCTTGGAGTTTTGAGGCTAACCTTATTTTTCATGTCAGTTCTTAGCTGACACCTCCCTATAGCCACTAGGTACTGATACCCCTTCACCCTTTACTTGCCATTTGGCATATAGGGAATGCCATTCATATCCTTAGCATCAATACATTCACACATTTTTGTCATTTCTTGGATTCTAACTTTACTACTTAAACTAAGGAGAATCATTTCACTTTCTTCTCTTAGGGTAAAAGCTACCTTCACATTTTAATTTCTCTTCTCTGGAACATTTTAGGTCAACAGCTATAACAAAGTTTTATTCAGTTACTAATTGAATAAATGTAATAGTGTGATTAATTTGGTGTGGGTAAAAGGAAAAAAATGTCGGGTCTCATTTCCACACTTGCTTTCTAGTATATATAAATTCAGGTTCAGCATCAGCTACATAATTTGTGATGCCCAGTCCAAAATGAAAAATACAGGGCCATTTGTTTAAAAAATAATTAAGATTTTTAAAGAGAGCACAGATAGACCATTAAATGAAGCATGGGACTTTTCTGAACTCAGGGTCCTATGGTACTTTGTATACACAGAAAGCTGCTCCTGAACAGGTCTTTGGAGTAGGTGGCATCTGAAATAATTTTATAAATTTATTTTCTAATGCTTTTATAATAGAATTTCAAAAATACAGTTTTTGGGATAAAATAGTATATACAACAAAGCTTAATGAACATATTTATTTGGAGCACTATAACTATGCCTTTGGCACGGAGTATTCTGGTGAATAGAAACATGCATTTAATAAGAAACAAACTACTGTTAGTTTTAAGTTTATAATTGACTATGGTATAATTCTTTGATTTAGTTTGAATACTCAGAAACTAGATTGCTTGGGTTATAAATCATTGTTTTATCTACTCTACTAGCTGTGGGTCTTTGGCAAGTTTGCTTACCTTTCTTTGAATCATTGTACACATGCATAGGGGTAACAGAGAATCTACCACATAGGTTTGACATGCAGATTATAATATTTCAGGTGCTTTAAAGAGTACCTGGTATGTAGTAGGCATTCAAAGTCTACCCCGTTTTATCAATATCCTTTCTATTTTTTATTCTTGCCTTAATGGATACAAAATCCCAGACATAGTTTACTCTAATGGTTGTAAATTAATGTCTAGTATAATACAAAAAACAATTCATGTTATTGTTTGTGTAGAATTACAAATCTGACAGCTAATGGATAAGACATTTAGCTCATGATGATAAACATTAATGACGTGTTTTTTTCTACTACAAGAGCAGTGAAAATATTTTTGTTTTTTGATCTTTCTTTGACCTTTTCCCCATCACTATTTGGCTTATTTAAAATAAAAGATCTAAATTACCTGGTTGATAGAGCAATCCAGTTAATTGTATTACAGTTATTATGTTACATAATTTTAGAATCCAATTTAGTTCAGTCTTAGCATTTCAGGCATTCTTAAATACATTTAAAAACAAGCTTCTTTGAAAGTAATCTGTTATTTTTTATTTTTATGTCACTGAATGATTGAGCTTTTTATATTAATTGGAATTATGTTTATTTATAATTACCAAACTGTTTTGTGCTGTATGGAGAAGATATACTGATTTACAATCTGTAAATTGAGTCTCTACTATCACGAGATACTGAAATATTTAGTTGAACATCGAATGTAGGATTATATCAAACAATACCATGGTTTATTTTTATTACTGGTAGCACATTTATTATAAACTATTTCACTTAAGATGTTTCCTAATAAACTATTCATTTTGAGCAATATAAATGAGGATGCGCTAATCAGGTATGGATTCCAAGTAAGAATGTCATAATACTTCTATGCATTTTGCAGTTAGGATGGTGAAAACCAATGAAATAACTGAGCATTATAGTCATTATGGTTGCGAAAGTTGACAAGAAAGTAAAACCCAGTACTCCCGAATTTGTGACACAGCTTTCAAACCATACCGTGTACTCAAACCCTTCTCTCTCCTGTGGCTCTTATTATATAATATCTATATTCAATCTCTTTTCTCATATTAGACAGTATTACTGAAGTCTTCACTAACATCTACGTGACCAGTTTTGGCCCTGTCTCAGATACAGATATGGTGAGTTTTTCATTAAATAGTATTTTTACTTCACATAATGGGGAGTGGGGGGTAATTTCAAATAAACTAGCATTTTTAGTGTTATAGAATTATGTATATGTCTCATGTCTATTTAGTCTACTCAAATACATGGATAGTTAAAGATGTTTGGATCTATGGTTTCCATTTCCAACTTCAGTGTTTGGATTAGCCCTATGTATTTTACGTCATTTTCAAAACATGTCTACCTAACTACAGTGTAATAAACAATTATTTAAATAAAATTAATTGTATTAAGAAGAAACATTTTCTAGGAGGATTAAGGCAGAATTCTGGACTTCCATAAGGAAAGTGAATATAGTTTCACAGATAAAGACTTCTTACAGAATTAGGTCATGGTCAGTGTATCACATTTAAAAACAACAACAACAACAAAAAACCCTTTGATTGGTATTGAGCAAAGTGATTGCCTTGTTATGCTATCTACATACATACAATACGTATAATCTGCACACATAGTAGGTATATATAAATCAACCTAAAAAAATTAGAATGTTGGTACTCTTGGATTCTATGGAACTGGTATTATTTATTTTTTCTTTAAAATGAGACAGGCCTGGTGTGGTGGCTCACAAATGTAATTGCAGCAATTTGGGAGGCTGAGGTGGGAGGACTGCTTAATCCCAGGAGTTTGAAATTAGCTTGAGCAACATAGTGAAACCCCATGTTTACCCAAAAATATCAAAATTAGCAGGGTGTGATAGCACATGCCTGTGGTCAGAAGGCTGATGTGGGAGGATCACTTGAGCCCAGGAGGTCGAAGTTGCAGTGAGCTGTGATCCTGCCACTGCACTCCAGTCTGCATGAGAGTGAGACCCTGTCTCCAATCAATCAATCAATTAAAATACAATAAAATGAGATAGATAAGTGAGGAAAATTGGTTTGATGTGTTAGGTACTGGTGGGCTGGAATCACCAAAGATGAATTATTGATGAAGCATTAAAAATTTAATAATCAGTCCTTCACTTTTACTGCTAACTATGGTGCTCTGTAATAGACATTTTTGATGAAATTCTTCCCTTTCTCTGATAACTCAGGGGGAAAGTTGACAAGGTTGGACATTTTCTACCTGGATAAACAAACAAAACAAAAAGTATTCCATTTTTATAGGCTTTCATAAACATTATCAGCTAATTTAATAGGAGCTCCCTACGTTTCCGTTAGAGAACCTAAATTCCACTTTTATGTTACAAAATATGCTGTTTATTCCATCAGAGCCACACCTCTGACCTCAGAGATTTCTTATCTTGACCTGGGTGGCTGAAAATGTAAGGCCCCATGTGGTTGATGGGTGATCCCCACCTCTTTGGAAGTGGTTGATACTAAATGTTGGCAGTCCATTAAAATTATTTGAAACAGGAATGTCAAGATTTAAGTGCTTTTATTTTTCTCCTTCAACTCTGGGTCTTAGGCACAATTCTGGTACAAGAGGAAAAAATCCTATTCTTCAGCATAACCCTTCTTTTTCCCTGGCATTATTGTATATTTTGACCTGAAATATTAATCTGCCTCTTTCCATGGGTCAATTTAAGTGGACAGATCCTTATAATGATGACAGAGACAATGTGTTTTAGCAAGAGTGTGCATTCCAAATGTTATTGTTTGGCTATAGATATAATTTTGTCCTAGTAAATACTCTGTCTTAGTGTAGCTTGTCTTAAATGTTCCCAAATGTTAGAGACACAGTGCAGATAAACACCTAACTTCTATCTAAAATCAAGTAGAGTCAGAATTTTGTTAACTACTACATTGAGAAATTAGCATATTATATAAATTATTACTCTTAAATATGGTACTTTGTGTCTTATTATCAGCCAAAACAGAAAGGCAAATGATATAAGACTCCCAAATATCAGTACATTTTCAATATTGTAGTTTTTTCATGTTGTAAATTTCAGTAGTAGCAGTTACTGCATTGAAATTTTAGCTTTGATTTTTGCAAAGTGAATTATTTTACCTAAAACATCTCTCTCTCTCTCTCTCTATATATATATATATATATATATATATATGCATATATACATACATAAATGCAAACATATCTATTTCTAGCAAGACATGTTTGGTATTTGGGGATTTTACACAAATTCACATCATACTTGTTTGCCAAAATGTACACAGACCTTTGTTTTCCAGTGATGATAATAGATTAGATTAATTCTCTACCTCTCCTTGTTGTGACCACTCTTTGGGATTGCTAACGTATTTAAAAAGTTGGTAGTTGATGTTAGGTATATAGTCATTAGCAATAGAACACATTTAGCTACTTTATATCTGAATTGAACTAAAAACAGCTGTGCTTTATCTGTAAATTGAACCCAAGAACTTTAAAATTTTTTAGCAGACTCAAGATATGCTTTCTTATTTGGGGGGATTCTACCACAAGTTATAGAAAACATTAAAATATACTCACACTACCAATATAGGTTGCATTGAGTGGAATTTCAGTTGATAACATTTAAATAAAAAACCACTTACTTTGATTTTTTAGTTTTCTTTTTATATTTCAGAATACATGCGTGTGAGTGAGTATGTATATGCACACCCAAATATAGATATATTCTCAAAAATGAAATGCATATTCAGCATCTTAGTAGGTTTTTGAAAATCTTGAAGGCCCTAGACATTTTCCCTAATAATACATTTCCCTTAATTCATCTAGCCTAAAAAAATTTCTATGAGATTGCTCTGCTCTTGTCAGATTTCCTACTTTATTTCTGTCTTTATTTACCTCATTTAGTCAGGCTTGCCAACAGTTGTTTTAGAGGAAGTCTAGTTAATCACAAAGCTACCAAATGGGAGCATACTATATAAACACAGTCCAGTCACAGGACATCACAGGGAAAATCTGATATAAAGAATTATTAACTAATAAAAGACAGCTAAATTCTTTTTTAAACATTGATAAAAGAAGATTTCAAGTGATAGAGAATTAAGAAATGCAGATAGAATATCTACTTCTAGGGCCACAGTGTCACCACTTCCAAAATCAGAAAGAAACTGAAGACTGGAAAGAACACCCTTTCCCTCTAAGACCTGTGAATTCTGACCTCACTGGAGGGATACTGCTGCTACAGGAACGTGCAGCTACTGGTGGTGAAGAAACATGTGAGGGTATATGCTGAAGCTGGTCCACAGAAATATGCTTCATGGGCTGAAAACTCATAGCATGTCAGTCGTTTGAAGCTGTGCCAAAAAATGACAATGCAGCTGACCCAGAGAGACCAAGAAAGAAAAGCTCCCTTCTCTTGTGACTACATTGGAGTGTCCCTCCAGCACCCTCTATTGACAAAACCTGACATTGTATTAGCTGGCAGAGGAGCAGTATTTATAGGATCCATCAGGTATCACAAAGGAAATGAAAGAAGGGTGGATTTGGAGTTGAGAGGCAGTACACAGATAGCTGAAATACTAATAGTGTGTAATACAGGGAAGATGTAAACTGAGGACCAGGAGATAGTTTGATCACTCAACAGGTACTGTTGATATTTGTCCAAATCTAGAGAAGAAAGATGCAGCTAGGAAAAATTAAAGTTGAATAACTTATAGACACAAGTAACACAGACACATACAAACACATGCATTTACTCACATTGTAAGTCTATTAGGGAAGATAGTGCTCAATTAAAAAAATATACATTTTATGGAGAGAAAGGATATGGTCTTCATGATGATCAAAATGAATGATTTCCATGTTGATATTAGTTTTACTGGAAATCAAGATAAGTAAGGAGGCAAAGTTTGAATTTATGTTTAGTATGGATGGAGCAATAGGTTGAGCAATGAGACGTGGCTGTGACACTCTAAATAAAAAGAATGATATACCTAATGCTAGATGACGAGTTAGTGGGTGCAGCGCACCAGCATGGCACATGTATACATACGTAACTAACCTGCACAATGTGCACATGTACCCTAAAACTTAAAGTATATATATAAAAAAAAGAATGTTATCATGATGGGAAGGGAAAACATAGCCATATTATTACCCACAAGTCAAAGTGGATGTGGAGATATCTAATGAATACCTTACAGAAGCAATTTGTTAATAAGAAAAAAAATAAAGAACAAATTTAGTTTTACTTTTAGTAGCTTAGCTGATACACTTTTATTTCTAATCAGTGTGCACGGTCAGTAGCAAAAGCTAAATTCCTAATTTCTCTTATTCAGGTCAGTGATGTAGATTTGTTATGACATTAGCCTGAGAGAAAAAAAGCAGCATAGCAAAAAGAATTATGAACCAAAAGAATATGCAAACACACACACACATGCGTGTGCGCACACACACACACACACACACACACTCTGCTATCTTGGAATCATTAAGTAGTGTAATTGTCCCAAAAATGTTGTAGATCTAAATTATAATTAAAGATTCTACTTTAAGTTTCTGCAATTAAGTTAAAAATATTTTATTTCAACATAAGGAGGTAATTAATTTTTGAAATGTATTAGTAGCTCACAATTGACCAAGTTTGTAGTAGGCATGAATATTTTAGCAATTTCTAACTTGCTCTACTGTTTTTTTCCCTTTTTCCTTGGTTTCTATATAGGATGTCTTTCTTATATTAGTAAACATTTTCACTGTGTGTGCATATTATTAAGGTATAGGTATTATAACTACCAATTATTTAACCTAAACCTAGACTGAGAACCTCAGCCCAAATGGTTGTCTATTGTGAAGTGTTAGGGTTAGAGCTTGGACAGTGAAAACTTTGAAGTAATCTTGAAATATCTGATACAGAGTTTACCATTAGGCTAAGAAGCAGGCAGTCTGGTAAGTATGACCTTGGTTTCTTGATTATGTTGATTTCTCCAGTTAATACTTTTCTTCCTCTGCAAAAACACAGAGTGCATTATCTCTTAGAAACTCCAGAAGCTACTGGGATATTAATTAGTTCAGTAGTTAATATCAAGGAAGTTTAGAGAGTTGTGAGTTTTAATATCTGGTCAAAATTGACACTGAACTTAATCTGTTATCCTTTATCAGAAGTTGCCATTTGTAAATGTAGTTCATTAAGAAAACCTGTGACAAACATGGCAAACCCTTTGTATCAAAAGTAAATTAATGATGTTTACTCCCTTTAAAGCCAGCATGTAGAAGCTGGTTGCTGTAAGGTTATTGACATTTTGGAAAGTTAGAAAATAGACACTGGGAACATTCATTCATTCATCAAATATTTTTCAGCACCCTCCTAGAATTTATAATAATATTCCCCAAAATGTGATTTATAGATACTTAGATTGTAACCATTTGAATTATTTTTTAAAATAGTTGTTTCCTGGGATCTTCCTATGATCTATGGACTCATATTTACTATTTGTAGAACATGAAAGTCTGTATTTTAACATGATAAGGTATTTGACTTTATGCTAAGGGAAGCACAAATATATTATAAGATTGGTGAAGAGGCGGAGGAAGGTAAGAGTTCTATGATCCAATAATTTATATTAAAGGATAGGGAAAAGGAAGACTAGTTAGAAATCTGTTTTACTACAGGCAAGAGATGAAAGTGGATTGGCCCAGGGCAGTGGAACTGAAGATGGAGAGCACTGAAAAGATTTAAAAGTTCTCTGTGGGGTAGAATTGGTGATCTGTTGGATATAAGGGTGGAAGAAGAAGTATAGAATGACATCTTGGGGAATTGGGTGAAAAGTGGTACTATTCACTGGGATATGGAACACAGCAGGAAAAGTTTTGTTTGTCTTTGTTCTGTTGCTCGGGGATGAACATTTATGTTTTGCACATGTTGAGTTTGAGACTTTAATTGGAGATGTCTAGGTAGCAGGCATAGATCTGGAGCCCAATAGAGAAGCCTGGAGTACAGATGGCTTGGGGGCCATCTAATGGTGGTTGAAACCATAGGCATACATAAAATCTTACAAGGAAAGAGATTAGAACAAAGTAGCCATCTTACTTTCACAGAAACTCTAGAACACCAATATTTAAAGGACAGGAAGAGGACAAAAAAATGGAAGAAGAGACTGAGAAGGAGCAAATGTGGGTATCTGTCAAAATGAAGGGTGGTTCCATTTTCTGAGCTAGGCTATGCTTTGATCCAAAAAAAAAAAAAAAAGGCAGAGACCACTGTCTTATTCCTTATCAGATGCAGTGCTGTGCTTTCATCAGATATCTGTGCTACAGCCCTCTGCCAAAATGGGATTCTGTAGAGTTAAGGTGAGATGGCTTATTTGGTAACTGGGTAACTGTATGAACCCGTGTGTTTTGCGCATAGTAAAACATCACCTGGGGGTGGGGAAACTGTTCCAGAAGGGTGCAGGTAGAAGTAATTTGACTCCATTCATTAGCTTTCTTGGGGAAGGAGGGTTGTAGGAACTTAGTACATGCAGTCATAGCTTTCTTGGTTTTCTAAGGTCACAAAGTAGTATTCCCTACCACCCTCCCCATTCTTTTGTAAAAACTAAATAAGATTTATTCCTATCACACTATCAATATCACTTTTAACATAATTGGAAAATAAATTCAAATATCCTAAAATTCACAGGGAGCCAAAGTAAGAGCCTGAATAGCCAAAGCAAATCTAAGCAAAAGAACAAAGCTGGAGGCATTACACTACCCTGATTCAAACTACCCTACAAGGCTGCAGTAACCAAAACAACATGGTACTGGTACAAAAACATATAGATTAATGGAACAGGCTAGAGAACCCAGAAATAAAGCCACGCACTTATAGCTAGATAATCTTTGACAAAGTCGACAAAAACAAGCAGTGGGGTAAGGACTCCTTATTCAATAAATGGTGCTAGGATAACTGGCTAGCCATATGCAGAAGACTGAAACTGGACCCTTCTTTTCACAATATACAAAAATCAACTCAAGATGGATTAAAGACTTAAATGTGAGACCCCAACCTATAAGAATCCTAGAAGAAAACCTAGGAAATGCCATTCTGAACCTAGGCCTTGACAACAATTTCATGTTGAAGTCCCTGAAAGCAATTATAACAAAAACAAAAATAGACGACAGGGACCTAACTAAACTAAAAAGCTTCTTCATGGGAAAGGGAACTATTAACAGAGCAAACAGACAACCTACAGAATAGGAGAAATTATTTTTGAACTATGCATCCAACAAAGGTCTAATAGCCAGAATCTATAAAGTACTTCATAAGTGAAAAACAAACAATCTCATTAAAACATGGAAAAAGGACATGAAAGGACATTTCTTAAAATGACACACATGGAGGCAACAAGCATATGAAAAATGTTCAACATCATTAATCATTAGAGAAATGCAAATCAAAACCACAACAAGGTACCATCTCACCTCAGTCAGATGGCAATTATAAAAAGTAAAAAATTAACATGTTGGCAAAGTTTCAGAGAAAAAGGAGTGCTTACATACTGCTGGTGGGAATGTAAATTAGTTTAGCCACTGTGGAAAGCAATTTGGAGATTTCAGAAAGAACTTAAAACAGAACTACTATATGACCCAGCAAGCTTATTACTACATACTATATACTTATTACTATTCTACTTTTTAGTAGAATATAGATTGTTCTACCAAAAAGACATATGAACTATGTATGTTCATTGCAGCACAATTCACAATAGAAAAGACATGGAATCAACCTAGATGCCCATCGGTGGTGGACTGCATAAAGAAAATGCGGTCTGTGTACACCTTGGAAAACTATGCAGCCATAAAAAATAATGAAATTATGTCCTTTGCAGTAACATGGATGCAGCTGGAGGCCATTTCCCTAAGCAAATTAATACAGGAACAGAAAACCAAATATGACATGTTTTCACTTGTAAGTGGGAGCTAAACATCAAGTACACATAGACAGAAAGATAGGAACAATAGACACTGAAGCTTATTTGATGGAGAGGGAGGGGGAGGGTTGAAAAACTACCTATGGATACTGTGTTCACTACCCGGGTGACAAAATAATTTGCACATCATACCCCAGCAACATGCAATCTAGTTGTGTAACAAACCTGCACAGGTACTCTCTGAACCAAAAATAAATGTTGACAAAAGAAAAAAAAAACTAAATAATAAACAACTGTGATTTCTGAACATGTAGTGATTTTTAAAATAAAAATTTCAGAGGTTGCATGTTTTTTTCCTAGGTTTCAAGTTTTGAGGCTGTCTTTGGGAAAGCCACAAAGAACTTGTATGCCTAGATTAAGAATAATAAATATTATCCACTGTTGCTACTACCATATATTTTCTAGGGGATATCAATACATGTAGATAGTTGACAGACATCAAAAGTCTCAGATCCCATGATGAGGATTTTAGCAATGGTTTCTCACAGTACCAGGAAATTGTGACTTTAAGAATACCAGTACAAGAGAGCATTACAAAAGTAGGGAGGGAACATTGTGTCATCTATTACGGTAAAACCAAGAAAAGGTTTTTAAATATGTCATTAGATTAAAAACAGAAGTATTTGCTGATTGTGGTAAAAGCAACCAGATTGCGGTGGGTGGAGGCAAGTGGGAGGTGAGGAAATAGAGAAAGAGTGGAGGTAACATTTTTAAGCAGCGTGGTTGAAGAGAGGAGGCGAGACAGAGGGCAGCAGCTATACGGCATTATAACTATCAGTGAGGCTTTTATTTTTAAAGATGGCATTGAACTTCTCACTGTTCCCTGAACATGTCATTATATTTAACAACTCTCTGGCCTTGCACATGTTTTTTCCTGTTCTTGTTATGCTTACCTCCTCCTTTGCCAAATGGAGATATTTGATTTAGTCAAAGCCAAGTTCAAATTTAATTTTTTTTTTCTGATTTCTTTCTAGGTTACTCCAAGTCACCAGTCCTCTTTATCCCTGTGCTCCACCACATGGCGTTCATACCTTTTTTTTTTTAATGATGTTGTACACAGGCTTATGAAAATCTTCCTAACTTTTTTATTTTTATTTTTATGGCAGTCTGAGCTACTAGAAGGCATAACTTGTGTCTGTACATTTCAACGAGATTTCCTAAGTATACACTCAGTGCTTCTCACCCTGTTAGGAACTGAAATAAGTAAGTGTAGCCCTCAAATTGCTCACAGGGTATTAGAGGACAGCTAAGGAAAATAGTCCATTTTAAAACAGTACGATAATGCTTTCAATGAAGTATTTATGGATTAATGTGGTATCAGAGGGGATGTGGGTGGTAGATACGGAGTTTGGTACGGTTTTTAGGGAAAAAAAAGATATCTGAGAAGAACAAATGAGGATTGGCTAGCTACACAATGGAAAAACAGTATTTTAGCACGAATTGGAAGAGCTTGTTGAGTTTAGTAAAATGTGAAAGTTCAGTATAACTGGAGCCTAGAATGCTCTTAGGAATTTTGGGAGAGATTAGGTTAGAAAAGTATTCCGAGCCAGACCATAAAGGCCATAAAGACTAAGAAGACCATAGTGACCCCGTAAAAAGTTATAGCGATATGCCCAAATGATACTTTAAAACATGATGCTTTCTGTTACCAGACAAATTATAATTGCATGCCTTTTTTGGTATGTGTTGACTTTCTTTAAAATATAATTATTATACTATATACATTCTGTAAAAGACAACAATATTTAAAAATAACTATTATAGTTAAAATATAACTATTTTATAAAATATAACTATTTATATAACTATAAAGTATATTGGTGATTAGTTTAACATAGTTACCTAGATGCACGCGTGCAAACACACAAATGAAAGTCACTTGACACCTGCGAATTTAAGGATTAGGGTATTGTTTGCAGATTGCTGCCATAAGACATCTGAGAGCTTTTCTGCCATCTGCCTCTGCTAATGATGCCTTTCTTCTTATGTCTCATCAGAAACATTATGGCTCAGTATCCTTCATACTACATTAAATTTACAATGACTCCCCTTATTCATTTATTCATGGGCAAAGTATTGTTTATTTCCTATGTTCCAAGTAGCTTTTTAGATGCCGGTGACACAGCATTGAAGAAGGTGGTCACGATTCTTGTTCTCAGTGTGGACTAAAAGTTGTCCAGATATAGGGAGGGGATAGAGAAGACTGATCAACAGAGGTTAGTGAGTTTGCATAGTAAAATGCAGCATGATAAATCAGAGGCCTGACACATACTTATGTCATTATTGTGGCAGCATAGAGGGGTGCATGTGTTGGGGCGTGGGTGTGTGGATGTGGTGGGGGATTATTGTAGGGTGGCTAGAGAAGTAGAGAGGAAGAGATCGTGCAGGGCCTTGGAGGCTGTGAGAGTGTTTTTACTTCACCCCCAGGGCTTTAGAGATTCAGGTGACTGAAATCAGCAAGATTTTATTATTTCAAACTCCCTTTCTCACATTACGGCAATGCTTCAGTGCATACCATAGCTTAAAGAGTCCAGTCCAGACTAATTTCAGCATCAGTCTCTTAGGCCATCTAGATGTTCTGTCCTTTTCCATGCCTTTTTCACAGGTAAGGGATATACTGTGGAGACAGGCCAAGATCTACTCTTCCTCTTCTTTTTCTGTGTTTTTCAAAGTTGATGCAATGGTAAGGGAGAGTAGTAAAACGGGAACATACATTTTTACTGAACTGGTTCTATTGGTAGTTCTCTGTTAGCAATATATGCCGTTTGTATGGTTGGTGGATGAATACTGGATCTCCCATGGGGCATACTTGTGATGTCTTCTCAGTGACCTCCTTATTGCAGTCACCAAAAACACAGGTGGCTTATTCTCCAATGGCATTCTTTGTGGTATCCTGTGTGGCCTCTGCCTCTGGAACTTTATGACCTTTAATTGCTGGTTGTCTCTACCTTGTCTGGCCACCCTTTTGTTGAGTATGGGGAGAGGGAGAAGGATCTTTTGAAGATGATTTATGCCAGACTATCTTCCTTGGTGTCCAACCATTTTCTGAGAACTTTGCAAATATTATCTCACTTCATCCTTACAAGAGTCCTAGGAAGTAACTTCTATTTTTCTTACCATTTTACAGATAAGTCAACTGATATAAAGAAAGGTTAGCCAACCTGCTCAAAGCCAGGTACCCTGATCTACCCGACTTGAGAACTTGTGTTTTAACATCTATTTCTTATTACTTAATATGTATCATTATGATTATTTGATTTTGTGTTTGAGTTAGTTTTAATTGTGAAAAGATTTTTTATTATGCACATTTAAGATGTACATTATATTTTAGTGCACTTATAATAGTAAGTGGCTACTACAGTCAAGTAAAATTAACATATCCATCATCTTGCATAGTTTACTTTTTTTCCAGTAAGAGCACTTACATTTCCAGTATACAATAATTATAGTCGTTATGTTTTACCTTAGATCTGTAGACATTCATCCTATGTATCTAAGCTTTATACCCTTTGATTGACACCTCCCCATTTTTTCCCTCTTCACATCCCACCGCAGTAACTGCCAACATTTTATTCTATGTATTCAAACAACCAACGTACCTTTCTCTCTTCCTTTTTTCCACATGTAAGTGAGATCATGCAGTATTTTCCTTCTGCGTCTGACTTATCTTACTTAGTATAATGCCCTCCATGTTTATCTATATTGTTGCAAATGATGGGATCTCCTTTTCTAAGGCTGAATAGAATTTCATTGTACATATATATTATGTTTAAATAATTTATTCATGCATTGACGGACACTTAGATTGTTTTTGTATATTGGGTATTGTGAATAATGCTACAATGAGCATGTGAATGCCAATATCTTTAAAGGTCATGATTTCATTTCTCTTGGGTATATACCTAACAGAAAGATTCTGCTTTTAACATTTTGAGGAATATCAATATTGTTTTCCCTAATGGATACACCAATTTACATCCCCACCAACAGTGTACATGGATTCCCTTTTATCTACACCCTGGCCAACACTCGTTATCTCTTGTCTTTTTGATAATAACCATCCTAACAGGTGTGAGGTGATATTGATTTTAATTTGTAATTCTTTGATGATTAGTGATGTTGAGCACCTCTTTATATACTTATTGACCATTTTGTGTTTTTATTGGAGAACTGTCGATTCAGATTCTTTACCTATTGAGTTGTGTGAATTCCTTATGTATTTTGGATATTAATCTCTTATCAAATATATAATCTGCAAGTATTTTCTCCCAATCCATAAGGCTACCTTTATATTTTGTTGATTGTTTCCTTTGCTGTACAGAAGCTTTCTAGTTTGATGTATGTCGACTTGTTTATTTTTACATTTGTTGCCTGAGCTTTTGGAGTGATGTTCAAAACACTCATTGCCAAGATCAATGTCAAAGAGCCTATCTTCTCTTCTAGGAGTTTTATAGTTTCAGGTCTTACCTTTAGGTCTTTAGTCTGCCTTGAGTTGATTTTTGTGTATGGGATAAGATAGATGTCCAATTTAATTCTAGTGCATATGGCTATTCAGTTTTTCCAACATCAGGTTTTGAAGAAAATACCCCTTTCAGAAATTCCAAAACTCCAGTCTCAGCCCTACAACTTAGTTCTTCCTGTAACTTCTCATAAGCCATGAGTAATGTCCATTTATTGATCTATGAAAGAAGGAAATTTTATTCTGATATTCTGCCTTCAAGGGTTGTTTTATGTATGGTATAATGAAAAGACCATGGTATTTAGAAACACAGAATTTGAGACCAAATCTTGCCTCTCTGTCTTTTTTTTAAGTAAATATTGCTTTTGAAGTATTTTCCACTTGTGAAATTGGTATAATTTTGCATATGCAATGAGGATGTTATGAATTTTAAATGACACATATTATATCAAAGTAAATTGCTGTCTACTATAACTATGAATCATATTGAATACTTCTATTATATATATTTTAATTATCTTCTGTTAAAATATGAATCTTTAGTAACATTTTCTAATTTGTTAGTGAAATTTGCCTGGCCCCTAGTTCCAAAAAGAATGCCCAAACATCTTACCTCCACAATGTTTTGAATGTGCAGTAGCTATGTTGTTCTGCAACTGTAGTTTGGTGAACTTCTTTGTATAATAAGGCTTGTACTAATTGGGTTTACTGGCCCTTTGCTGATCTGTTCTTAAGATTCTCATTGTTTTTGCAATTTTTGCAATGCAAATACTGTGCTAAATTGTTATCTAGCCCCGTTTGAGTACCAACTGAAAGTATTCGAGCTTCATTATTCTTGTGTATTCCAAGAGTGATATTTTTTACATTGTTGCATACCTGCTTCATAGACTACATGTTCTTCATTATAGAAGAAACACACTGATTGGAATTTACTCAAGGGAGACTAGCCTTTATTAGCCACAAGAGTATAATGTAATAAGTAAATAAATGTAGAAAATCAAAGTAAATGAGAAATCACTCCAGGAACAGTCCTACAATTTAGTTGTGTTTTAGTGAGTGGATAAGATTCTTCAGGAATTGGCTATAAGTACTGATTTATAATTAATGTAGTCAGGCAGTAAAGAATATGATGCCTTCATTAAGTTAATGTGTCCTTAAAATCAAGTTTATATGATAAACTGTGCAATAGTTTATAGAGAGTGATTTCCTTGTTTCCAGGACAAATTATGGATATAACACTTAAGGAGTTTACTGTAAATGGAGATTTTTAGTAGTGGCAAAAACATTTGACTGGAAACTGCATCTTTGTCTGGGTTCTGTCACTAACAAACTTGAAAACAGGAAATTCATTGAATTTATCTATATTCCCATCTGTGAAAGGAGGAAATTGGGTTAAATTTCCTGTAAGGAATTTTTGAAATCTTGGAGTGTATGGATTTTTCAACTCTTCAGTGTAACCCAACAGTCAGTCTCACTTCTCCTGTGTATAAGCCATAGGATACATGCAAGCTGATATATCCTTGCGGTTTTTTGTTTGTTTCTTATTAAATTTGCACTTTAGTTGTATGTGTATTCTCCACTGCATTGTGTAATTCATCCTTTTATTATTAATTTCTTTTAGAGTCTCAGTTGATGGATCTAAGCCTTTAAGTTTGTATGAAGGAGTTAGACCGTTTTTTATTTTTTTGGTAAATTTCTTATAAAACACAAATCAGGTAATAACTCTGTTAGTATATATTCATGAAAGTCTGAAGTTAATTTTAAATGCACTTTTCAAGAATATCCTTTTCAAATACTTAGATTGTGCATTTTACAAGCATTTAAGGGAATCACATGAAAATAATTTATTTGGAAATCTTGTACTTAGTGGCTATGCAAAGAATATTATTTTATTGAAATGTCTTCTTTCCCTGTCTTTTTAGTCTAGAAAACAAAACATACAAAAACTGGTTAGTCAGCTATATTTGTTTATGTATCTATATATCTATACCTATATTTTACACTAATATATAAAAATATAAAATATGGACCAAAGTGAACATTTAAAAATAAATATTTATTTTAAGGACTAATTATTATATTTATCAAAGAAGTACATTTATTTTTGCTCCCACTTAAAATTTTTATGATATTTCTAGTAATTAATGTTTAAATGGTTTATTATTTTTAATATTTTTTAATATTTTTCTTAAATAGATTATGTTGCAGCAATTAAAAGATTCTAAATTTATATCACATTAATACTTGCCTTTACAACTATTATAGATTCAAATTTAAGAAATGTGTCATTGGCTATTGGTTAGTGAATTATGATGTTCATATTTAAAAATCCACCCATCAACTTTCGGTATTTGTCTTTGTGTTCCAGATTTTTAGTTTTTAAAATGACTTGTTACTTGCAATGATCTGATACTATCATTGACCAGTATTTTAAATTACAACATGTGTTTAAGATGAAACTTATTTTTATAAACAGTGGGCATAAACCCATATTTTAAATAGCCTCACTGATAATTATAAATTTTTTTTTGAATTTTTTTTAGAGTTTATTTGTTTACCATTTTTTTTTACCTGGCTCATGTAGGGCTCATATTAGGCAGAGTGTGGTATTTCTTTTTCTTGTTTCCCACTTTCGTTTGTACAATTATTATTTTCTTCCATGGTGTTTTATCAGTAATCTTCTGAATCCAATTGCCTATTTTCATTAGAGCTAGTTTAATCAAAAATAAGTATTGTAAATTCACCTAACTAGGCACAATCACGGTACACTGATGACAAATGCATTCACTACCCCATTTCCTGCTGTTGTGCCTTCTCTTCCCATAGAATGCCTTATAAACATGACCTTAATTTACTTATTTACATTCTTACTCTTAATAATGTCTATATCGTTCCATATTATAAAGCTTCATTTATTTTTATATTTAAAGTGATATATAAAAATCGAGATTCTAATATTTTCTTCCTGCACCCAAATGGATACACACACTTTACTTTGTAAGCCGCTGTCCTAAGCTGATTACCCTGCTTCCACTTAAAGGCTCACCCTTCATTTAGGTATAATACAGTTGATAATAGTTACATTTACTAAGTTATAACCAACCTGCTTCCCTGAGATTAGACTCATGTGACTTTCATTGAAATTTCAGATGACCTCAAACTCTTTATTCATTCACTAACATCTTTTACTTTTCTCTCACAGAGGCCTAGTCTGTTCAGTTGCAATGATGAAATACTGGCTCAAGTTCTTTACCCCTTCCTATAGCCACATTTTCCCATCTCATTTTGTAGTGCCCTCTCACTGAGAGTTGGGGTTACCTACTACACCAAGTATCCATCAATTTAACTATGTAAATTGCTTTAGCCAATGGGCTGTTAAAACATATTACACAAGCACTAGCTTGAAATGGGCTTGTGCATTGGAGTTTGTTCTTTTGTACTTCTGCCATTGTCAAGAGAAAGAAAAGCCAGTTGAGCCCAGTGGTCTGTGAGAAAATGACAGACAACCCAAAAGGAAACTGAGTAGATGAAGTGAACAGATAATTTATAGAGGAGAAAACTAGAATTTTTAATAAACATGAACATATATTATTTATTACTAATTAACAGAGAAATCCTCGTGATTGCACCATGACCCATTTCACACTAATCATGTCTAAAATGAAATATACTGTCTCTACCAAGTTGTACATAAACAAGAACATTTATACACTTCTAGTGAGAATATAAATTTACACACCACTTAGGATTTCAATTTAAAAATATCTTGTTATTTTGAAGATGCACATACACGAAATTCCAGTAATCTTACTTACAGATTTAGTCTAGGGCAGTGTCAGCATACTACAGCCCATGGGAAAGAAGCTGTCAGCTGCCTATATTTGTAAACAGAGTTTTATTGGAACATAGCCATGCTCATTCATTTATGCAATCTATGGTTGCTTTCACATTGCAGTGGCAGAGTTGGATAGTTGTGATGCTAACCATATGGCCCACAAATTCTAAAATGTTTATTGACTAACACTTAATGGAAAAAATTTGCTGACCTCTGTTCTAGAGTAACTCTTCTTATACCTTTGTATTACAAGTGTTGAACAAGAATATTTGTAGCAATATTGCTTGTGACGGTGACAAATTATAAATAAGAAAAATAAGGATGAGGAAAAACGATGATGATATTGTGAAGTTTGTCTTCCAATATAATACTATAAAGCAGTAAAAATGAATCAAAGGGCTAGATATATTGCCATGAGTAAACCTCAGCAAAGTAGCTAAAAGATGCAAGTGTCAGAAAAATATACAAGGTATGATACTGTGTATATGAATGTTTAAAATGTGACACACTATATATATATGTGTGTGTGTGTGTGTGTGTGTATATATGTACTAAATGTGAAAGTACATGTATGGGAAGGGTGTACACTAAACTCAAGATACTTATTTCCTCAGAGACTAGGGGGCTGTGATTGAGAAGGGATAAACAGAAGAGGAAGGGCTTCAATAAGATTTGTGATGACATTTCTGCTAGGTGATGGTTACAAGGTGTTTGTAATATTCTTTATACTCTTGTGTATGTCCGAAAAACAAAAAGAAAATAGAACACAAATGAAAGACATGGTCCCTTTCTTGAAGATTTATAAGCTATTTGGGAGGCAAAGAAGCAAATGTATAATTGCAATAGATGATCTTGAAAGAATGAAGGGCTCTACAGAAATACAAAGAGAGCTGGCTATGTTTTTTTGCAGGTGTTCAAGGGACTGAGGCAGGTGGAGAACTTGCTCTATTTGAGGAATGTCAAGGAGTGGGGATTGTTACAATTGCCTAGAGCATAACATGAGTTTGCATGGTGAGGGTGGGAGAAAAAAGACTCAAACTATGTTAGATAGATTGGCAGGGCACACCTAGGACACTGTGAGCCCTCAAAGATAAATAATAATTCTGGAAACAATTTTTAGGAAACTTACATAATTCAACAAGTAAAACCAAACAACCTCATTAAAAAGTGGGCAAAAGACATGAACAGACACTGCATAAAAGAAGACATACAAGCAGCCAACAAACAGATGAAAAAATGCTTCACATCACCAATCATCAGAGAAATGGAAATCAAAACCACAATGAGATACTATCTTATATCAGTCAGAATGGCCATTATTAAAAAGTTAGAAAAAAAAAAAAAACAGATGCAGACTAAAGTGAATACTTACACACTGTTGCTGGGAATGTAAGTTAGTTCAGCCACTGTGGAAAGCAGTCTGGAAATTTCTCAAAGAACTTAAAACAGACCTACCATGCAACCCAGCAATCGCATTACTGGTTATATATCTCAAAGGAAAATGAATCGTTTTACCAAAAAGACACATGCATGCATATGTTCATTGCAGCACTATTCACGATAGCAAAGACATGGAATTAATTTAGATGCCCATCAATGACAGATTGGATAAAGAAAATTCGATTCATCTACACTATGGGATGTTAGGAAGCCTTAAAAGAGAACAAAATCTTGCGCTCTGCAGCAACATGGATGCAGCTGGAAGCCATTATCCTAAGCAAATCAACGCAGTAACAGAAAATCAAATAATGCATGTTCTCACTTATAAGAAGTGGGAGCTAAACATTGGGTACTCATGGACATAAAGATGACAGCGATAGACACTGGTTATTGCTAGAGCGGGGAGGGAGGAGGTCAAGGGTTGGAAAACTAACTATTGGGTAACATGCTAACTCTCTGGATGATAGTATCCCAAACTTCAGCATGACACAATATGCTCATGTAACAAACCTGCACATATGCCCCCATATCTAAAATAAAAGTTGAAGTTATTAAAAAATAAAATAAATAAGTAAAATACATCATTAAAATGTACAAAAAATCACTTGCAACTTCCTGTTTGTAAATTTTAAGTATCTCCTATGTGATTGACCTCCAGAAAATGACTGTCATATCAATAGCTTCTGAAACAGATAAAACATAACCTCATTTTACAGAAGTGAAATATAGAATTTGAAGTTTTATAAAAAGTGTTAAAATTCATTAATTTTGCCTGGAAAAGTAACCAAGAATCATATGCAGTCACATTAGGCTAGTATTTGAGGAATCCCAGTTAAAAAAGAAATACTTACGTGAAACTTGCAGTGCAAAGACTCATCTCTTTGTTCATCATTTTTTTAATTTTAGAGTTCCATTTAATGTTTAGAGTTAAGCATTAAAAAAGATAACTAGATGATAGTGAGCCCACGCTCACTAGGTTATAGAATATTCCCTTAAGGATTAACAGCCCAGAGCCTCTGTTCATTTGCTACTCACATGCCAGTACCTAGGATTTTCACTTGTTAGTATCATCACAGTTTCAAGTTTTGAGGGATCACTGGGATTCATGTATTTGATTCCGATTTGTACAAATGATTTTCTATTTTATAGTATATGACCTTTTTATCTGTTCTTTTTTGCAAACATTAATTTAGTAAAATTGCTATCGCTGCATTGTTTATTTTCAAACATGTAATGACTATGGTTTTGTGCTCAAAGGACAGTTTCTGAATTTCAAATCTCAGGTGTGTAATTGAGCATTTCAATTATTTATAGTATGTTTATACAAATATACACTGACAAAAAATTAATATCCAATGGATTGTAAACAGTATTCACAATTGTGCATTGTATATCTCATTTAAAATGTGTACGTTACCTTAAGAATGATAGGGTAAAGATAGAGAGAGAGGTAAAGAGAGAGAGAGAGAGAGAGAGAAACAGAGTTTCACGTAAGTTAAAATTTGGAGAAAAATAATAGAGGACATGATCACTAGCGGGTCTGTAACAATATTTTAAAGTACATTTTAACATGAGGGAGTTTATCTGCAAGATAGTCATAATTTAAGTATTCTAAAAACTTGTAAGGTGCTTGTATTACAACTAATGTCATAAATAAACTTTATTGAAATTATCTCCTAAGACAGTCTTGCTAACAATATCATGTTCTCACCATTTTTTAGGATTAAAAAATAAATATGATAATTTACAGTTTCTTTGGCAACAGGAGATGATGATTCATACAGATCTGAAAGTGTGCTTAAGTGTTGTGTTTTTTTCTTTTTAATTTTTTAATTTTTCTTTTTAATTTTTTCTGTTATGTTTTTTCTTTTTAATTTTTAAAAATTTTATTTATTTATTTATTTATTTATTTATTTATTTATTTATTTGCTACTGGGAAAGCTGCCTACTCATTTTTTCTTGAAATAGGCTACTTAAAATAATTCAACCAGACCCTGCTCAAGCTTATCCCCTCTCCAAGCAGCTCTAAACTACAGGATGTAGTGGAGCAGTTTGACTGAGACCTTGTTCAACTAAAAGAGGCCAAAGTGAATTTACTTCTTCTTTTCAGAAGAATATATAGCTAATAGTATACACAGACGTACTTTATCCCATTGTATGTGGCAACATGTATTGATAAGCCAAAGGAGTAATCTTTCTGATTAAAAATGTTTTCCTTTCAATATAGCTCTCTCTGTTTAAATTAATTAGAATATTATTTTGGAATTTTACCGTGTCTTGTGTCTACAACATTTACTATTTTCAAAAAAATTCTATTTTTTATTTCAGGAATATACAATTGATGTTTTCTTTCGACAAAAATGGAAAGATGAACGTTTAAAATTTAAAGGTCCTATGAATATCCTTCGACTAAACAATTTAATGGCTAGCAAAATCTGGACTCCAGATACCTTTTTTCACAATGGGAAAAAATCAGTAGCTCATAATATGACAATGCCAAATAAGTTGCTTCGAATTCAGGATGATGGGACTCTGCTGTATACCATGAGGTATGTTTTTAGGTTTGATGTGATGTATTTATATACTGAGAAATTTTCATGTATTAAACAACCAGCCAATCTAGCTGTCAAGTATTAACAAAGTTGAGTGTTTTCTAACAGATTATTGAAGTACCAATAATATGCTTTGCAAATGTTTTGATTTAAAAAACTATATAAAATAGTATTTTTGAGTTTGAGTCTCATCTTAGTTCTTTAAATGTTAAGAATTGCTTTTATTATTATGAATTGATGTTTTTCATTATTCTTCACGACATTTTTATTAAGTACATTTTTAATAATGATTTGAATTTTACTTGTATCAACATATAATTTTAATATCTTATCAGATATCCCATCAAAATTTTTGTTATTTCAAAGTAAGACTTTATTTATTTATTCATTTATTGAGGCGGAGACTTGCTCTATCACCCAGGCTGGAGTGCAGTGGTGCAATCTCGACTCACTTCAACCTCCGCTTCCTGGGTTGTAGTGATTCTCCTGTCTCAGCCTCCCAAGTAGCTGATACTACAGGCACGTGCCACCATGCCAGGCTAGTTTTTGTATTTTTAGTAGAGACGGTGTTTCGCCATGTTGGCCAGGCTGGCCCCGAACTCCTGGCCTCAAGTGATCCACCCACCTCGGCATCCCAAAGTGCTGGGATTACAGGCATGAGCCTCCACGCTCAGCCTAATTTAATATCTTAATTTTCCCTATGAAGTTACTCCAAAGAAAAAATAACTTTAATTTAAATTCAGAGAGAAAGCTTCATTTAATAAGGCTTACAAGTATATTGGATACCATAAACATGTACTAGATTGAACCATATGAAATTGCCATTTTGTAACTCAAAAAGTATCCTATAGCATTGTTTATATGATTTAAACTGTAATAAAATTTTCTTGCAGAATAAATAGTTGTTGATCCTAAAACCTATTACATCTTAAGCATATTCATGAATTAATTTTGTAAAATAAGTTACTTGTATTATGTAAGAAAAAAATAACAAATCTAGTAAGATTATGTGGAATCTAAAGTTAAAATGTTTCATAAAAGATTTAAAACAGACATCTGACATCAGCATTATATATAGACAGAAACACGTATTCCAGTTATTTGATGTATTGTCATTTCATAAGATAAGTGTTAGATTTTGGTTATGAAAGTTATTTAAGAAGGGACAACAATACAGTCCTATGCTATTTCTGATCTTTAAAGAAAAAATTTCTTGAGGACTCATTACTAAATGTTCATTGCCTAAATGGAAGTGCTAGCTAGTCTTTCTGCCTCTGTCTCTCCCTTTGAATCTTGCAATATATTCAGATGCAATGCCCCTGTTGACTTTGTACATTGATCATTTCTATTAACTAAGGCAATGAGTAAAACTTTAGGGTTTAAATAAAATGCAGGCACAGGACATATATAATTTTGGAATATATTGTCTAAGGTTCTATTTAAACATTTTCTTAGAATTTAAGCCATAACAAATTGTGGTCACATTTGCTTTGCTCATTATAACAGATTTCTCTATAAATTTTATTTAGTACCTGCTATATCCACTTTGTCTTTACATGAAATGGAATAATTGGAAGTTTGCATTATATCAAATTTTCTATGACTACTCTTTGTTGTAATCATGTAGATACAGAAAAATATATATTTAACATTCGTAATTTGTGTTTATAATTTAGCCAACAATCTAAACTTGATAAAGTTATTTCTAGGAAATACATCTGTATATGTATTTATATCTAGCACTATATGTATAGCTGTGAATATATATGCAGTATACAGTAACAATTCACAATTCACATATGTTGAAGGGAGCTCCTCTGAACTAATATTGAATCCTTTGATCAATTTTGCTCTGTGTTTGTTGATGAGGTAATGGAGACAATAGCATTCTTTTAATGATAGAGATTTTTTTTGGCCCTTAAGATTTCAAGTGTTAATAGTGAGCTTAATGAGAAAGGAGCCATTTAAAATGCATATGTAATTTCTTCACTTCTTAAGAAACTAAAATGGCTAAAGTATATTTTTAATTATTATTTTCAGTTATACTGAGAATTTGTATACGCCAATGTCTTCCGAGGGATCACCTAAACATGAATGAACAAAAGATTATTTAAATATGAATGAGCCTACTGCTGTGATTAATGCTCTACCTCTATCGAGTCTGTTGAGAGTAATGACGAGTGATTTTTCTTGACTTACCAATATACTTAAACAAATAGTGAAATTTTGACTTTTAGGCTTACAGTTCAAGCTGAATGCCCAATGCACTTGGAGGATTTCCCAATGGATGCTCATTCATGTCCTCTGAAATTTGGCAGCTGTAAGTACAGGGATGAAGTTACATGTTTTGGGTCAATAATATCAGGGAAAGTCAGCAGCACTGCTCAATTGTCTAGTTTTTTTCTCAAATTATGAGATGATTGACAATTGTCAATAAGACTTGGAAGTAAAAGCCATGCTAATTGTCCTTAAGGAACATCTCTCAAATATTATTATAATTTAATCATGGTGTTAAACAATTATGACTTATTTTTACTACTATGTGTTTTAGTACATGTGTAAAATTAGACCAGGAGTTCCTTGGAGGTTAGGACTGTAATTTACCTTCTTTTTCAAGTGCTAGAATATTAAAAACTCAAATGTTTCTTTTTCATCAACTAAGAATGAATTGGAAAGGATAGATTCTATAAAGTGGCAATCAGCCTGTTGCAAATGACATGCACAGAAGCTTAGTCTGTGTCATTGTCTTCTACTGTAACTAATGGAAGGATTTCTTTTTTATTTCTTAAATTAAAGGAGATAATGTAGCTGCATTGCTACATTCTGGCACCTTCTATGTACATAGGACATTTCAGAAAAGGGTCTGTGCAGTTGGCTCTTCTTTAGGTCAGAAGGGTTATATCTTGTATGTCAAGCAGAAGCATTCATTCTTCCAGAATAATTGAAAAGGAGGAAGGTCAAATCATCTCCCTAGGCCCACATGACATTCTGGGTAGGTTCAGCATAAATCCACGAACACAGCTGAGCAGCCTCCCTCTTGTGTGAGGGTGTCCTATTGCCTGACCTTTTTAGAGACTGTGCTCTTTTTGGCACCCTCATCTTTGTCCCTTCTGAATAGCTTTTGACTTTTTCTTCTCTGTTGAATAGAAATACAGTACTCTCATCTGATTAAAACTATGTATTGCTGAATAGTATGCCTTCTCCTCACAAACTGTATCAAGCAAAAGAAAACGGAAGAATGGTGGCTCATATGAATGCAAAACCCTCTAATTATTTTGATGATCATACTTTTGTGGTACAAGAACTGCAATCTTGTTTGTTCTTGCAAAAGGTGTCAGGTCTCAATTTTCTTTGAGAATCTTCTCTTTATTTAACTACAAAGGCTTCTTTTATTGTCATGGAAACCATAACTTCAGTATTGGCATTTCTTCCAACATTATTTAAGATAGTCAATCATGTTATACAATGTAAACACGATGCTGAGAAAACCACAGCAGATGCAGCAGAGAAGGACTTATTTCCATTACATAAGAGGCATTATAGAAAAAATTGAAAAGCCTTGATACCAAAGAAAAGATTAATTCAAGATGTAATCATGTTGTAAAAAGGACTTTTTTTTTTTCAGTTGACAAGGTATTGTCATTAAGGCATCAAATATAAATGATGTGATGGATGTCTCGATTCTGAAAATGAAATAAGCACACTTGAAAATATTTAAATGAAATTTAAAAATCTCTTATACTGCATCTACAGAGTGCAGAAATATCGCATGCTTGAGCATATAGTTTTCTGTACCCAGAAGGAGCTATGAGCAACAAATAAAGTTTGCTGCTAGGCATTTTTTGTTTAAGTAATTAGCACTAATTTTGTTTTCTTCACATTTATTTTCTGACACTCTGAATAAACAATTTTTATGTTATTTTATTGTCTTTGCCTGTAGTAGGTGCTTGATGCATAAGTATTAAAAGTATGGACACCAGTGTGGAGTAATATACAAGCCAAGCCATAGCTGACAATGTTGGCATAACAAAGTTTGGCAGAAACAGCTGTGACTTTTTCTTCTACTCATTTATTCCTTCCTTACTTGAAAGCCCTCTTCTTCCCTACCCCCACTCCACAAAAGGATTGTATTTCAGGAACTTCGTCAGTGTCCTCAATCAAAAGAAGCATTTTTTTTCTGTGTGCTTACAATTTTAAATTCAGTCTTGTTTTGTTTTATTCCTATTGCCGCATACCTTTAAATTTTTCCTTGTTGTTTAACTTGATTTTAGAATTTCTGAATGAAAGTCTAGGGATATTCTATTCATTAATCCAAAAGAAGCTGTAAATTGTCTTTCAGATTAAAAATTGACAGCTAAAAATAATTTTGAAGTATTTTTCCTGGTAACCAAATATTAAGAATCAGTTGGTATACATCTGCTTAATGCAACATAGGACTCAAAAATGGGTTAATTAACACAAACAAGATTATTTAATGGCAGCTTAATTTACAAGTGGAATTTATAATGAATTTTGTAAAACTTTCTCTCCTTTGATACTTTATTGAGAAACATTATTATGACCTCTCGGCTTATATGTGTGTTAATGTATATAACTCGCCCTCTTCGGGAGAGGCTTTAATCTGCTTTGCATAAATTTCTGCTGCATTATTTTCACCAGACACAAAATCTCAAAACTATATTCTTATCTAAATAATGAAGTGCAGTAACTGCTTTTTCAAAAGACATGTGAAGAATCAGTCACTTTCTTTAATAAACTCTTGAGCTTTTCTCTAGATTTCCATCTTCCATAGCAGTAAAGAACATAGTTCAAATATTATGACTTAATATATTAATCTAGTAAGAGTGAATTGAGACTTTTTCTTCTGTGTATCAGGCACTGTAGCAGGTCCTGGAAGTACAGGCATGAATCAGACAGAGTCACTGCCTATCAGTATCTCATTAGTGCCTTAAAAATGTCATCTCTTTTATAGGGTTTCATTTTTTCTTATTTATGTTTAAAAGAAACATTATAATTCAAAAGTGATGTCGTTCCGCTAAAAAAAAAAAAAAACTTCATAATTTATTGACGACTACAGAGTATTGTGAGGCCCTTCCAACGTAAAGTAGATCATTTGATGTATCTTTTTGTTAAATTCTGTGCCATTTGAAATTTTATTGAAGAGAGCGCCAGAATATGTATTCATGGGGGAAACAAAACAAGCTACTTGATCTACAAATGAGTTCCTAGTTATTCACATTAGTAGTGTTGTTGTTTAATGTTCTCGGTGTAATCAATCATTAATGGTTAATGAATTGAAATTACTTAATTAGAAAACTAAACCTTAGAATAATTAAAATTCATTCATATCAAATCATATGGACATTTCTCTATTAAAAGTATATACATATATATAAATATACATATACATTTTTAGAATCCTATTTCAAAAATTGCTTCACATAATGTAATTTAATTGTGAATGTAGGTGACTATATATGTAGTGATAATGGTGTTTCACTGATACTAACATTTAGTAGCAACATTCAGAAAACCAGACAACATTGCCGTTAGACAATGCCAGGTATGTCATTAGAAAACACAAACTCATAATCATTTACTCTATTGTTACTGATGGTTGAGTGGAAATTGATTTGCGATCACAGACTTTAGATCAATTTCAGAACCAGAGTCACCACAGTATGGTGCTATTAAAGCTAGGAAAGTTATAGATTGCAGAGAATGAGATTTCCAGTGTCCTAGAGAGCTGGAGGTAGAACTGTTGCCAGAGACAACTGGCCCTTTCTCTCCCTTAATTGATAACGTGACTGTGATGCTGAGTTTTGCTCAAGAACTAGGGGTAACGACATCTCTAAACATTCTCATGAGTAAAAGTGCGTAGAAGTTCTTCAGAAGGTCAGTAGTATAGAAAGAATTACCTGTTACTCAACTGTGGAGGGACTCTGCCTGCATGGAGAGGTTATCTGTTCCCCAGTGGGGCATAGAGATGTAAGAAAATGCCACTGTCAGAGAAAGGCTAAGACCAGATATGTTGCCTGCATGCCATCTCTGAAGTCATCTTACTTCTGCTAATTTCTGCATCCTTGGCCAATAAGTCAGGAAGTTATGTCTGATCTGGTTGCAGTTTTTCCTCTTCCTGCCAATCCATAGTTTAACTGGGATGCTATGAATGTGTAGGCTAGTGATATCTGTGTGCATTGATTCATTTAAAAACGAGCATGATTTTAAAAGGATTTGCAACTTGATGCAAGTATAGCGTTATTATTTATCTTATATGTTCTATAATAATTACTTTTTATTCTAATGAAATGCATTGTATTATGATAGCTAACTCATTTAACTCTTAACTAGGCTACATTTATGTCCAAAAATTAATATAATTTTGAATTTTGATTTTTATCTTATGAGTGATTGCTATTTATAAATAAGCTAAACAGCTTATTTTACCACAGTGTCTTCATATGCTACCTTTGGCCTAAAGGAGATGTTATAATCATCTAAGGGCCCAGTGATTCTAACAGACTCTAACAAGAAATTTGCTCTTCACCTTTCAAAGTGGTTGCAATGAATATACTGTCATGGTCATGATCATCTCTTTTGGTCTACTTCATAACTCTCATATTGAAGTAAATTCAAATGAGACATTTTTGCCCTAAATGTGATGTTTAACTATTAATATTGAAAGTATATAGTGATTGTATGAAATACACAACCGTTCGTGTAGCACTAGATTGATGGTTCTTACTAAAATGCTTAAAATATTTTTTCTGATTTCCTATAGATGCATATACAACTTCAGAGGTCACTTATATTTGGACTTACAATGCATCTGATTCAGTACAGGTTGCTCCTGATGGCTCTAGGTTAAATCAATATGACCTGCTGGGCCAATCAATCGGAAAGGAGACAATTAAATCCAGTACAGGTTAGTAAAATTAGTCTTTAAAAAAGCTGGTGCCTAAGAATATTAATAGGTTAAAGGACTTGGAAGTGTGTCAGATTGCTTAAAATCTTTTGCTCTTGAGGTCCAAGAACTAGCAGCATAGGCTGTGCTTGGGAGCTTGTTTTTTTTTTTTTTAATTATACTTTAAGTTTTAGGGTACATGTGCACAATGCGCAGGTTAGTTACATATGTATACATGTGCCATGTTGGTGTGCTGCACACATCAACTCGTCATTTAATATTAGATATATCTCCTAATGCTATCCCTCCCCCCTCCCCCCACCCCACAACAGGCCCCAGTGTGTGATGTTCCCCTTCCTGTGTCCATGTGTTCTCATTGTTCAATTCCCACCTATGAGTGAGAACATGTGGTGTTTGGTTTTTTGTCCTTGCGATAGTTTGCTGAGAATGATGGTTTCCAGCTTTTTAGACATTTGGAATCTTAGGCCCCACTCCTTATTAAATCAGAATCTACATTTTAACAAGATTCAAAGATTAATAGTTGCATTGAAGTTTGAGAAACACTGGCCTAAAATGCACTATGTATTTGCAACATATGTGTCTTCTCAGAGTAGTAAATTTTAATTTTTACCTTCTGACAAATGATTTTTTTTTTTTTTTTTTTTGAGACAGAGTCTTGCTCTGTCACCAGGCTGGAGTGCAGTGGCACGATCTGGGCTCACTGCAACCTCCACTTCCTGGGTTCAAGTGATCTCCTGCCTCAGCCTCCCGAGTAGCTGGGACTATAGGCGCACCACCACGCTGAGCTAATTTTTGTATTTTTAGTAGAGACGGGGTTTCACTTTGTTGGCCAGGATGGTCTCGATCTCCTGACCTCGTGATCAGCCTGCCTCGGCCTCCCAAAGTGCTGGGATTACAGACGTGAGCCAGTGCGCCCGGCCAACAAGTGATAATTTCTTTAGTTTTCTATTTTTTCACCCCTATTCTAGATAATTTATGACTATTCAACTTTTGATGTTGATAATTACTACAGGCCTGTGTGGAAAGCTGATTCCCTCTCTGAAGGCCGCCTTCCTTTAAAAAATAATAAATAAATAAATATTAAAAGACAAAAAAACAAAAACAAAAAAACCCAGCTGTGTGGACTAATTATCTTACATTTTGGCAATAATTAAAACCCAGGGAGCAGAAAGGAAGGTAGATATGAGGATTAGATAGAAGTGACTGAAGCAAATTAGCACAGACATATAACAGTGAGAAATTCAGAATTGGCAACAGGGTTAAAAGTGGGAAAATGTGGGCCAGAAGATCAGTCTTGTAGATGTGGCCAGACATCAATACTTTTGGAGCCAGAGAGCACTGAGTTAGAACAATCAAAAACAGAGACGAGGTTTATACCAGTGGGAATGAAGGGCCTAACCAAGTAAAATAAACTGTTGGCAGAGAGCATTTATGAATTCTGAATTCCTTTGGTCAATAAGCATGACTTAGAGAGGAAAACAAATACAAATTGAACATCTCTAATTTGAAAATCTAAAATCCAAAATGCTCCAAATTAAAAAAAAACAAAAAAACCTTTTTGAGTGCTGACATGATGCTCAAAGGAGATGCTCATTAGAGCATGTTAGATTTTATATATTTTGATTAGGGATGCTCAATTTGTAATAATGTAAATTTTCCAAAATCTGAAAAATCCAAACCCTGAAACACTTCTAGTTCCACGTATTTTACATAAGAGGTACTTAATCTGTACAATATCATGGGACGTGAGCTGCAAGTTTCTTGATACTAAAATTTTCTTCTAAACACTCATGCTATGCTAAGGAGGCTTTTAAAAGTGATATAAATTTCCTGACATGTATGTGATATATTATTTTTTAAAAAATCAGTTTTTGTTCTACCTCTGATCCCTTCTATTTCCTAAATGTTCAAAGTATTGACTATTACTCCTTGAGCTTCTTAAATTTTTCTTCCAGGTGAATATACTGTAATGACAGCTCATTTCCACCTGAAAAGAAAAATTGGGTATTTTGTGATTCAAACCTATCTGCCTTGCATCATGACTGTCATTCTCTCCCAAGTTTCATTCTGGCTTAACAGAGAATCTGTGCCTGCAAGAACTGTGTTTGGTGAGTGAATACACACTTTGCAGTACAGCACATTATGTTTCATAGCATACTTTCAAAAACATTATCTCTCTTGATCCTCAAACTAATTATTTGTAGTAGGTGGGGCGGGGAGTATTGTTTTTGCCTTATAGGTGAAGAAGTAGGCTCAGAGTGGTAACATAGTGCTACACTGTTAATAAGGGATATAAGGAAAGAAAAGTACTCAAATATTCTTAAAACACACTTAGTCTTCTTTCTGTTAAATCATACTGCTGTTCAACATTTGTCTGTACTATATTTACACAAGGTGAATTTTCTTTTTTTTTTTTGCTCAAAAAATGATAGCTCTTTATTGTTGCTATGATCAAACACCTACTATGTATTTTCAATAAGCACTAAGGATACAGAAATAAATAAGGCATGGGGCCTGCCTTAAAGAGGCATTTAGACAGATTTATAGGCCAAGAAATACAATGATGTGTTCTAGTCACCATTACAAAAGTCAGCACAAGGTAAAATAGGGGCTGAAGGAAGAAAGTTGGGGGAAAGTTTATAAAAGTCTTTAGGAGGAGATGGCTGTGAACCAAATGCTAGTGAATAGGTACCTCCCAAGAAGAACAAGAAAGAGGGTTCTCTAGGCAGAGAGAGCAGTTTGAGCAAAGCAGGAGAAGTGCAGTAGCCCATCATATTTACATGTGAGCAGCTTGGCACATATAAGCCAGGAGAAGAACAGGTGGAAAAAGGTATGGTAAGAAAGACGGGAGGGGATTATTCAAAATGTATTTTCCCTAGAATAGCATTTTGGAGCCCCCTATAAGGAGAATTTTCTTAGAAGTTTTAATTTATAGTCTCACTACCATATTTCTAGGCTTTCTATATTTTTCTGTTGTTTTTAGATGAAGAGTGATGATCTTAAAACTTTAAGTTAGAAACAGGTAGAAAGGGAGGGAGGAAGAGAGACCTCATTCACTTTTACTAGAGTGTTTGATTTTCTTGAATAAAACTAGGGAGGGGAATTTTTAAATTTAGAGTAATGGAATTCCATATAGCTAGACTTTATATGTTTATTTTGGTTTTGTTTTGAGATTATTAAAGATATTAGTACTTTAAATGAGAGAGAGAGGTTAGTGTAATGCCTCATGCCTGTAGTCCTAGCACGTTGGAGGCCAAGAAGGGAGGATCTCTTGAGACCAGGAGTTGGAGACCAGTCTGGGCAATATAGCAAGACCCTGTCTCTCTAAAAATAATTAGCCAAGCTTGGTGGCACACCTATAGTTGCCACTACTTGGGAGGCTGAGGCAGGAGGATCGCTTGAACGTGGGAGATTGAGGCTATCGTGAGCTATGATCATGCCGTTGCACTCCAGCCTGAGTGACAGAGAAAGACTATGTCTCAAAAAAAAAAAAGAATAAAATGAAAAGGAGTGGTATATTATTCATTCCATGAGTTTATTTAATAACAAACTTCATTTTCTTGATTGAAACTATGCAGAGGAATTTGGTTACTGCTTTTTGGATATATAGATATATGAATTGGGCCAAGCACGTTTTGTAACAAAGTAGATTACCTTTTTGTGTTTGGTCCACTCATTCATTTAAGAAAGTTTTATTGAGGACTTATTTTGTTAGATACTGTACCAGGCCCTAGAGATGCAAATATGGTAAAATATAGTCAGTGAATTCAATTACTTGGTATAGGGGATGGCACCATATAACCAGGAAGGGTAATAAGGTAAAGGTCTTGTAAAAGAGGCGTAGACAAGTTATAGAAAACAACAGCATGGATCCTTCCTAGAGCTGAGTAAGTGGCTGAGTTACCATTTGAGCTGAGACTTGGAAGATGAGTAGGACTTTCCCAGGCAGATGAGATGGGGCAAGAATCCTAGCTCAAAAGAATAGATTGTGCAGTGACATTAAGGGATGAAAGACAATGGCATGTTCATTGAAAGGGAGCTGTTTCAGTGGCAGTGGAGACATAGATAGAAAATAGTTTGAGGCCTAGATGAGAAGGGCCTTATAGGTCATCGTAATAAAATGTACTTTTATCTTAACGGGTTATAGCAAGTCACTATGGTGTTTTGGACCATAACATGTCTAAAGCTGTCAGAACAATGCCTAGCATTTAATACATGGTATATAATTGTTAGCCGTTCTTTTTCAAAACCATTTTGTTGAGGTTGATTGACATGTAAAAATCTGTACATATTTAATGTATACAACTCTTTGAATTTGGGGAATAGAATACATCTGTGAAACTATCACCACCATCAAAGGTATAGATGTATTCACTACCTCCTCAAATTTTTTCCCACCTTCTTTATTATTATTGAGTTGAGTGAAGGGAGGGAGGGTAAGGATACTTAACATAAGATCTACCCTCACTGCAAATTTTAAGAAGACAATACATTGTTAGCTATAGTCACATGCTATATAGTAGATCTCCAGATCTAATTTATCTTGCGTAACTAAAGCTATTATTCTTATTATTAATCTGATCCTACTTGTATTCTAGAAAGATATGACATATTTGCAGAGGATGAATTGAAAAATATAAATTACAAGAGGTAGGGGAAAAGTTAAGAGGCTACTAAAATAGTTCACATGAGAAATTATTAGGCTATTTTAAAAGAAGACAGTATAAAAAGGAAGAAAGAAAAGGATCAAAAGATGTTTGAGGGAGGGTATCAATGGATTTGGTGAACATATATAACAATTATAGAAAAAAGAATAATTTAGGCTAACATGTAGAATTTTTCTTGGATAATTTAAGTGGATAGTGTTGCTATTAATAAAATAAAAAATGAAGACAGAGGGCAAATAGGAAAACTGATTGTAGTTTGAGTTATGTGTATTTTGATGTTCCTTATAGTATCAATTTGATGTTCAGTAGACAATAGAAATAAGTATCTGGAACACAGATGAATAGAAGAAACTATTGATAAATATGACAATCGTAAGTGACAAGATGATAGAACTTATAAGTCTAGAACTTGTCTCCAAGAAAAATTAGGTGGGTGAATATGAGATTAGAGGACAGAATCTTTAAAAATCCTAAAATTGCAGAATAAAAAGGAACTAATTGGAATGACCAGAAAATAAGGAAGGAAACCAGGGGATGACAATTTTCTAAAAGGAAAAGATGTTAATTTCAACATCTCAAAACGCGCGCGCACACACACACAGATCCATACTGAATATATGATATCAAATGTATACCAATAAGTCTAAAATGCATTGAATGAATTTGACTAGTAGAAGGTTACTGATGGTCAGGAATTAAATTAGTAAAGTTGCTTTGGAGTGAAATAGGATTGAAATGGAAATAAGAAATGAGAAAGGAAAAAAGCTGAGCATATAATAAATTTGGAAGAAAAAGATTAAGACAGCTATAAAGAAAGGTGAGTCATTGTTATCATTATTACTATTATTAATACATAATTATTAACATGAAAATTTGAACAACATGGGGAACTACTTTATAATAAGCCACATGCTATTCATGTTGCATACTTCTTTACTTATTATTTTTCCAATGAAGTAGATTGTAATATCTCTTTTCTAAGGAGGAAAGAAACGAGACTCTACAGTTTTAGGTATCTCGTCTAAGACCTTAAAGCAGAGCTTTACTCCAAGGCTTAAGTTCATTAAACTACATATACTGCTGTCATGACTGTCCTTTAAGGGGGAGGGATCAAGAAAGAGTAAGGAAATTGAACATATCTATAGAAGAGGGAAGAATTTCAGATGAACAGGTACCTAAAGAAAATACTTGTAATGTGGTTGGGTAGACAAAAAAAAAAAAAAAAGAAAGAAACCCAATTCTCCAACATGTAATAAGCAACGCAAAGCAGACTTTGTTGGTACTTTCCTCTTTCCAAATTTTTGTCTGGCTGTTTAACAAACACATTTTTTTTTCAATCTTGGAAATATGCTTTTTATTATTACACTATTGGAGGAACAAGTTTGCTTAGAGACTATGCCACTAACTATAAACATGATTCAAATGGTAAATAACCTCAAGATACTATAGTGAGTTAAAATTGCAACCAAGTTGTGTAAGATTAATAATAAACTGTTTTGCAGACCACATTTGATGGGAAAATTTTAGAAAGAACTAAACAAACACAACATGCATCAGAAATAAAGGAGTAAGAAGAGGAGTGAATGAAGAGGATAGTAAAAAGAGCAATTTTTAAAAAGTGTACGCACCTATATAAATTTTTTTAAAATTCAGGAATAAAAATTTTAAATTAGGATATGTCTGCCAAACCAAATTTAACTTAGGGTTATAAACATTTGCTTGTTATTACAATGTCATTCATGTTTCCTTTGTACTAATATTACATATGCTTATGATCTATTTATTCCATTTTATTACAGAATATTTGAAGCTCAGTGAACAAAAAGGTGATATTTTTATGAGTCAAAATTGAATTATATAGAATATAATTCTAATAATCATAAATATATGATTCTAATAATCATATAATATATGTATAATATATGATCTTTTAAAAGCTGTGCATTTAAGACATAATATGCCCTCACTATATTTAGCAATTAAACCTAGGTATTATACTAGAATTTTATAGAAAATTCCAAGATAATAATGGTCTACAATTTTAGTTGCTACACAGTTTTCAATGTGAGTCACATACAATATATTAATACACTAATATCTTCACCTGTTAGTGCCCTAAACATTTCTAAAAAAGCTCCCCTTCCATTGTTCTCTTATGATGTTTTATAAATGCCTATATCATGGCACAAATTAAATTTCATTATGGTAATTTTTCATACATGCATTTCTCATTCTTCAGACTGACAGTTTCTACACACAGTTATTAACATAGAGCCTGGGACATTCTAAGTGCTATAAAATATATGATAAATAAATAACGGATAAGTGGGTGGAGGAACAATAAAGTGATCTATAGCAATGGACAATCTCTCCAAATTAAACTCTCTAAATGAACGATATCAAAAAATTAGAACAAGTTCAATTCTAAGCATCATCAAATGCATTTCCACTATTGTGAGTACAATAAAACAAAACAAAGCCCACATACACCCATGCATATACAGAACTGTAAAGATTGTCTCTGTAAGAAAAATATATGTTAAGAGTTTTAAAAGAACACATAGGAAATGTAAACAAAGAACACTAATAAAAAGATGAGCACAACTACAAAAAGATAATCTTGGAATAGTAAAATTGGGAAACAAGAAAACACAGAATAGACAGTGAAAGAAGAATAATTACAACGCAAAAACAGCAATTACACATTCCTCTCAAATGAACCATGAAACATTTGTTAGAATAGAACTGATATTAGGCTATAAGGAATTCTCAATAAATTTTAGAAGGTTGAAATAATACAAAGCCTCTTCTCTCAACACACTGGAATAAAGCTAGAAATAACTGTAGAATGAAAACTGGAAATTTTACCAATATGTGGAAATCAGACAACACACTCTTAAACAACAAATGGATTAAATAATAAATCACATGGGAAATTATAAAATACCTTGAGGGAAATTAAAATGAAAACACACCATACCAAAACTTACGAGATGCAGTGAAGTCAAAGCTCAAAGGAAAATTTGTAGCTATAAATGCCTACATTAAAAAATATGGAAGATCTCAAATAACACTCTAAAGGAATAAAAACATAAGGACAAACTAAACCCAAAGACAGTAGAAGAAATGAAATAATAAAGATTAGAGCAGAGGTAAATGAAATGTAGAATAAAAGAAAATGTCATCAACAAGACCAAAGGTTGGTTCTTAGAAAATATCTGCAGAATTGACAAATCTTTAGTTAGACTACCTCAGAAAAAGAGAGAAAATTCAAAAAATAAAATCAGAAAGTAGGGACATTACTAGGGATTATTAATAATGATATCACACCAACAAATTAGATAATCGTATTAGGGTTCTCTAGAGTGTATATATCAGTTCTCCATATATATATATATATATATATATATATATATATATATATGGGATTTTATTAAGTAGTATTAACTCACATGAACACAAGGTCCCACAATAGGCCAACTGCAAGCTGAGGAGCAAGGAGAGCCAGTCTGAGTCCCAAAGCTGAAGAACTTGGAGTCTGATGTTTGAGGACAGGAAGCATCCAGCACAGGAGAAAGATGTAGGCTAGGAGGCTAAGCCAGTCTAATCTTTCCACGTTTTTTTGCCTGCTTTATATTCTGGCTGCACTGGCAGCTGATTAGATGGTTTCTTCCCATATTAAGGGTGGATCTGACTCTCCCAGTCCACTGAATCAAATGTTAATCTCCTTTGGCAACACCCTAACGGACACACCCAGGATCAATACTTTGCATCCTTCAATCCAATCAAGTTGACACTCAGTATTAACCATCACAAGTCCACCGTTTGTCAACTTGATGCAATACACATCTCCTGAGATCATACATAGTCTTCAAATAAAGACAATAATAAGGTCATAATTACACCTAAGGTAATACAACTATCTTTCGTACAACCGGAAATGCACCAATCCCCAACCCAAATGCCAATACATCAAGTTAACAATATGAGGTCAATAAATCTTGTACAGCATGAAAAACGAAAATGAGAACAAAATGAAGACATTTTCTTTGTACAGGTGTATACATGCACAAACATTTTTAACAAACGAAAGAGGAAATGGTCATGACAATTAAGTCCTTGTGTCTGCAACTGGCCAAGTGGTCATAGTTGGTATTGATGACTACCTTCTTCTACTACCCATCCTGTATTTCCTTTGCCTTCAGCAAGCACCTCAGCAGGTTTTTTTTTTTCTTTTTTTTTTTCCCCCTGATAGAGTAATCCAAACCTTCATTCCTGAAGTGGCTGGGCCATTTGTAGTCCTGGATTGGGTTGTTATAATTTCCCATTGACCTTAATCACAGGGCATGGTAATATTAAGAGACACCATAATGGATCTGCTGTATTACATGCATGCTCTTCCTTACCTCTACTATGGAGCAGTAGACTGATTTCATCTTGATAGACCCCAGCCAATAATGTACCTCCCTTCTTATTCTGTTGACTTAAAGATAGCAGGAACCCAAAGTGTCCAGGTGGCAATCTTAACTTCTAGTTCAAAGGAATCATTGATGTTTCCTCTGGTGCCAGCATTCCTCCCTCTGGAACTAAGATCTCTAGGCCAGCAGAACATAATGTCACGGGAACAGGAAGCAAAAATTTTGCTAATGGATCACTAGGAGTGATGGTGAGTGGTGCCACTTCTACTTCCACCCCTTGATCCTGGACCTACGAATCCTGGCTATAGGCAAAACAGTATCATATATGAGATGCTGATTCAGAGCATACACGGCCTTCTGGAGAACTTTGCCCCAGCCCTGCAAAGTATTGTCACCTAGTTGGCTTTGTAATTGTGACTTCAAAAGGTCATTCCACCATTCTATCAATCCAGCTGCTTCAGGATGATGGGGAACATGGTATAAACAATGAATTCCATGAGCATGAACCCACTGTCTCACTTATTTAGCCATAAAGTGAGTGCTTTGGTGAGAGACAATGCTGTGTGGAATACCATAATGGTGGATAAGGCATTCTATGAGTCCATAGATGATAGTCTTGGCAGAAGCATTGCGTGCAGGATAGGCAAACCCATATCCGGCATAAGTGTCCATTCAAGTGAGAACAAACATCTGCCCTTTCCATGATGGAAGAGGTCCATTAAAATCAAACTGCCACCAGGTAGGTGGGCTGATCACCCCGAGGAATGGTGCCACATCGAGGGCTCAGAGCTAGTCTCTGCTGCTGGCAAATCGGGTACCCAGCAGTGGCTGTAGCCAGGTCAGCCTTGGTGAGTGGAAGTCCATGTTGCTGAGCCCATGCATAAGCTCCATCCCTGCCACCATGGCCACATTGTCCATGGACCCATTGGGCAATGACAGGGGTGGCTGAGGAAAGAGGCTGGGTGGTGTCCATAGACAAGATCATCATATCCACTTCATTATTAAAGTCCTCTTCTGCTGAGGTCACCCATTGGTGAGCACTCACTTGGGATAAAAATATCTTCACAGTTTTTAACCACTCAGAGGGGTCCATCCACATACTTCTTCCTCAAATTTCTTTGTCACCAATTTTCCAATCATGCTTCTTCCAAGTCCTTGACCATCCAGCCAAACCATTAGCTACAGCCTATGAATCAGTATATAATTGCACATCTGGCCAGTTTTCCTTCCATGCAAAGTGCACAACCAGATGCACAGTTCGAAGTTCTGCCCGCTGGAAAGATCTCCCTTCTCTGCCGTCCTTCAGGGATGTCCTAGAACTTGGGCTGCAGTGCTGCAGCTGTCCACTTTTAAGTGGTGCCTGCATATCATGCAGAACCATCTGTGAACCAGGCCTAAGTCTTCTCTTCCTTTGTCAACTGATCATAGGGAACTCCCCATGAGGCCATCGGTGCAGAGAGAAGGCAGGGTAGCAGGAGTGGAGACCATAGGCATTTGAGTCACTTCCTCATGTAATTTACTTGTGCCTTCAGGACCAGCTTGAGCCTGATCACATGCATATCACTTCCATTTGATGATCGAGTGCTGCTGTGCATGACCCAGTTTATGGTTAGATGGGTCAGAAAGCACCCGGTTCATTATAGTTCAGGTTGCATGGTGAATTGATGACCCATAGTCGAATGTTCATGTTCTACCAAAGCCCAGTAATGGGCCAAGAGCTGTCTCTCAAAAAAAAAGAGTAGTTATCTGCAGAAGATGGCAGGGGCTTTTCTCCAAAATCTTAGAGATGTCCATTGGGGTTCACCTATGGGGGTCTGCCAGAGGCTCCAAACAGCATCCGTATCTGCCCCTGACACCTCAAGCATCATTGGATCTGCTAGGTCATATGGCCCAAGTGGCAGAGCAGCTTACACAGCAGCCTGGACCTGTTGCAGACCCTTCTTCTGTTCTGGATGCCACTCAAAACTGGCAGCCTTTCAGGTCACTCAATAAATGGGATGGAGTGACACACCTAAATGAGGAATGTGTTGTCTCCAAAATCTAAATAGGTCCACTGAGCAATGTGCCTCTTTCTTGGTTGTAGGAGGGGCCAAATGCAGCAACTTGTCCTTCACCTTAGAAGGAATATCTCAAAATACTGGACCCCTAGAAATTTTACTGAGGTAGAAGTGCCCTGAATTTTAGTTGGATTTATTTTTCATCCTCTGGCATGCAAGCAAGTTCAGTGTATTTGCTACTTCTTGGTTGCTGGTTGCAATCAGCATAGTGTAATCAATATAATGGACCAGTGTGATATCTTGTGGAAGCCAAAGTGATTAGTTTCTGTCTGAATAAGATTATGACACATAGCCAGAGAGTTGATATACCCCTGATGTAGGAAAGTAAAGGGGTGTTGCTGGCCTTGCCAGCTGAAGGCAAATTGCTTCTGGTGGGCCTTATGGACAAGAATGGAGAAAAAGGCATTTGCTGAGTCAATGGCTGCATACCAGGTACCAGGAGATGTGTTAATTTGTTCAAGCAATGAAACCACATCTGGTACAGCAGCTGCAATTGGAGTCATCACTTAGTTAAGCTTATGATAATCCACTGTCATTCTCCAAGATCCATCTGTCTTCTGCACAGGCCAAATAGGAGACTTGAATGGGGATGTGGTGAAAGTCACCACCCCTGCATTTTTCAAGTCCTTGATGGTGGCACTAATCTCAGCAGTTCCTCCAGGGATGCGATATTGTTTTTGATTTACATTTTTCTAGGTAGAGGCAGCTCTAATGGCTTACATTTCGTCTTTTCCACCATAATAGTGTTCACCCTACCAGTCAGGGAGCCAATGTGCGGGTTCTGCCAGCTGCAAAGTATGTCTGTGCCAATTACACATTCTGGCAATAGAGAAATGACCACAGGATGAGTCCAGGGCCTGACTGGACCAACTGTAGTCAGACATCAGTTAAAACTCCATTAATTCCCTGACCTCCATAAGCCCCTACTTTATCTGGAGGACCACAGTGACGTTTTGGATCCTCTGGAATCAACGTCAACTCAGAGCCAGTGTCCAGTAGTCCCTGAAATGTCTGATTATTTGCCTTTCTCCAGTGCACAGCTCCCCTGATAAAAGGTCTCCTTGGGGAAGAATGGGAGAAAGATTAATGGCATGAATTGTCGGTAGTGTGGTGGGGTCCCTTCTCAAGGGGACCCCCCTTCATTCAAGGGGTTCTGGCTCTGTAAACTGGCTTAAGTCTGGAAACTGATTGAGGCACCATGATTCTCTGTTTTTATAATTCCAAATTAGTCTTTTGTCCATTCAACTTGAAAGTTTTCTGCTTATATAAACTAAATAGGAATGCAGTAGGCTTTCTATAAATTTCACTTATAGAGTCACCATGATTAATTAGCCAATGCCAGAGCTCTACACGATTCAGATTATTCTGATAGCTGCTGTGCCTCTGCTGTCCATTACAGTAGCTCCACCCACCTTGCCTTTGAGGGTTGAGTGCCACTACTTTACCCCTGCCAACTTGGGATCCAATTATTCCCATTATATTTAAATTTTGTAGTTGAGTGACTGCAATTGTCACTGTTAGATCTGACATACAGAGAAGAGCAATTACAGGGCTCTTCAAAGATGGAGGTGCTGCCCTCACAAATCTATTTTGCAAAGCATTGGTCAAGGGTATGTCTTCTAGGCCCTCCCAGCTGGGATGAGTAGGTCTAAAGTGAGTAATCCACTCCACCATCCCAATCTCCCTAAGCCTTTGGATCCCTTCCTCTGCATTAAACCAAGAGAGATCAGGCATTTCCAGCTCACTCACAGTGGGCCATCTTTTAACTTATATTTCAGCTAAACAATCAAATAAACTCTTAGAACCTTTTTTAACTCCCTGAGCTGCAACATTAAATGCAGAATCTCTACTTAGTGCGCCCAAATCGACAAATTCAGCCTGATCCAAATCTGTTTCTTCCACCATTATCCCATTCATCAGAGTTTACAAGCTCAGTGTTCTCAGCTTCCTCAGGGTCCTCCTACACATCTTCATTCCAAGTTGTAGTGTCCCATTCTTTTCTAATTAATGTCCTCACTTTAACAGTAGACACCTGGTGAGGCTGCACATGCACCTTTCGTTGCAGGTCAGCCACTTGCATGATAAGAGCTTGTGTCTGATTTTTCACCATTTCAGCTCTTTGTCTACAGGAGATAAGACTCTCACTCAGGGCAATCTTAGCGGATTTGAGGCTCAGTATCTGCTTGTGAAGCCTGGAGTTAGAATCCCTGAGTTCATCATTTGTTTTTCATCACTTTGTCCAGTGAACTTAGGAGCAGCCAACCAACTTCTTTATGTTTCTTGGTTCTCCACATTTAGTCAAAGGTATTATGTGTAGAATCCCTAAAGTCCTTGCCTCTCTCTAGCCATGAATCAGGAGTGTCAAATGCACTCATTTGGCGTAACTCTCTAAACAGTTCATGCCAAGGATCATCAGTGTTCTCCATACTATTAGAAGTATAGTCCTCAGCATTTTGAGGTCTAATTATATTAAACAGTCAACTCTAGAAATCCGAAAACCAATGAAAGAACTGCATCCTTAATATTCTATTTCTCTGTAAACACTCCTGGCACAAAAGTCTGTATTAGTCAGGGTTCTCTAGAGGGACAGAACTAATAGGAGATGATATATATATACACATATATATGTATATGTATATATATATATATGTGTGTGTTTATTAATAGTATTAACTCACATGATCACAAGTCAGAAGGTCACACAATAGGCTGTCTGCAAGCTGAGGAGCAATGAAGCCAGTCTGAGACCCAAAGCTGAAGAACTTGGGGTGCGAAATTTGAGGGCAGACAGTGTTCAGCCTGGGCGAAATATATAGGCTGGGAGGCTAAGCCAGGCTAGCCTTTTCACGTTTTTCTGCCTGCTTTTTAATCCAGCCATGCTGGCAGTTGATTAGATCTTGCCTACCTAGATTAATGGTAGGTCTGCCTTTCCCAGCCCACTGACTCAAATGTTAATCTCCTTTGGCAACACCCTCACAGACGCACCCAGGATCAATACTTTGCATCCTTCAATCCAGTCAAGTTGACACTCAGTAACAACCATCACAATAATCTTGGACACATTCCTAGAAAAATACATTCCTAGTAATGGGCACACTCCTAGAAAAACACAAATTAACAATCCTGACTAAAAAGTATAGAAAAACTCAACAGACCTATTATAAGTGGAGAATTTCCATAAGTAAGCAAAAACCTTCCAACAACAACAAGTCTAGAACCAGAGGGCTAATATTTGTTTAATTCTACCAAATATTTTTAGAAGAATTAACACCAATCATCTCCAAACTCCTCCAAAAAATCGAAGTTTAAAGAACACTTCCTAACTCATTCTGTGTGACTAGAGTTACCATCATACCAAAAACAGACAAAGATACCTGAAGAAAACTATATACTAATATCCATTATGAATATAGATGCAAAATTCCTTAACAAAACACAAGCAATGTAAATCCAACCACACATTAAAAGATTATACACCAAGACCAGTGGAACTTAGATAAACAAGGGTGGATCAACATAAGAAAGGCAATCAATATACTATACCACATTAATGTAATATTTCAAAAGGAATAACAAATGCCAAAAAACACAAAACTCACATTTTATCAGGAATTTGTCACATAGTCACAAATTAATTTAGAGAAGTGACATTTCTGAAAGGTCACTTCTCTCCCATTAATTTCCTTTATGTTTTTCATTACTATATAATTATTCCTTGAAACTGTATTCCTGTATTATATATATGCCAAAATAAACCAAAGTAAAAATTACTAGAGCTTAAAAACAATTTTAACGATATTGTAGAATGCAAGATCAATGCACAAAAATCAGTTTGATTCTTTACATCAGAAGTGAAAAATTCAAAAGAAATTTAAGAAAATAATATCATTTATAATAATATCCCAAAGAATAAAATTCCTAAAACTAAATTTAACCAAAAAGGTGAAAGACTTGTCCACTGAAAACTACAAATCATTGCTGAAAGAAAATATAAAAGATCTAATTAAATAGACATTCTACGTTAAGAGATTGGAAGATTTAATACTGTTAAAACAGCAATAATCTCAAAAGAGATCTACAGATTCAGTTTAATACGTGTAGAAAATTCAATGGCTTTTTTTTTCAGAAATTCAAAAACTAGTTCTCAAATTTATATGGAATCAAAAGAAGCCTGAAAAAACCTAAACAACATTGAAAATTTAAGACAAAACTGGTATACTCAGGCCGGGCGCGGTGGCTGGCGTCTGCAATCCCAGCACTATGGGAGGCTGAGGCGGGCGGATCACGAGGTCAGGAGATCAAGACCATGGTGAAACCCCGTCTCTACTAAAAAAAAAATACAAAAAATGAGCCGGGCACGGTGGCGGGCGCCTGTAATCCCAGCTACTCTGGAGGCTGAGGCAGGAGAATGGCGTGAACCCGGGAGGCGGGTCTTGCAGTGAGCCGAGATCGCGCCACCGCACTCCAGCCTGGGCGACAGAGCCCGACTCAGTCTCAAAAAAAAAAAAAAAATAAAAATAAATAAATAAATAAATAAATAAATAAAATAAACTGGTATACTCAACACTTTCCAATTTGACAACCTACTACAAAGCTACAGTAATCAAAGCAGCCTGGTGCTGGCATACGAACAGACACATAGATCAATGGAATAGAATTGAGAGCCCAGAAACAAACCCAAACATGTACGGACAATTGATTTTCTTAGTTTTTAATGTAACTTTTATTTATGTTCAGGGGAATAGTGCAGGTGTGTTATACAGGTACACTTGTGTCATGGGAGTTTGTTGTGCAGATTATTTCATTACCCAGGCATTAAGCCTAGTACCTATTCGTTATTTTTTCCTGTTCCTCTCCCTCCTCCCACCCTCTACCCTTGGAAAGGCCCCAGTGTGTGTTGTTCCTCCCTATGTGTCCATGTGTCCTCATCATTTAGCTACCACTTATAAGTGAGAATATGCAGTGTTTGGTTTTCTATTCCTGCATTAATTTGCTAAGTATAATGACCTCCAGATCCACCCATGTTCCTGCAAAGGACGTGATCTCATTCTTTTTTATAGCTGCGTAGTATTCCATGGTGTATATTTACCACATTTTCTTAGTCTACCATTTGTGGGCATTTAAGTTGATTCCATGTCTTTGCTATTGTTACTAGTGCTGCAATGAACATGCACAGGCATGCATCTTTACAATAGAATAATTTATATTCCTTTGGGTATATACCCAGTAATGAGCTTACGGGACAAATGGTATTTCTATTTTTAGGACTTTAAGGAATCACCACACTGTATTCTACAATGGTTGAACTAATTTACACTCACACCAACAGTGCATAAGCTTTCCTTTTTCTCCATATCCTGCCAGCATCTGTTTTTTTTTGTCTTTTTAATAATAGCCATTTTGACTGGTATCAGATGGTATCTCATTGTGATTTTGATTTTCATTTCTCTAATCATCAATGATGTTAAGTTTTTTTCATATGATTGTTGGCTACATGTACACCTTCCTTCAAAAAGTGTCTGTTCATGTTTTTTGTCTACTTTCATTGTTTTTTTTCCTTGTAAATTTGTTTAAGTTCCTTATAGATGCTGGATGTTAGACCTTTTTCAGATGCATAGTTTGCAAAAATTGTCTCCCATTCTGCAAATTTTCTTTTCACTCCGTTGATAGTTTTCTTTACTGTGAAGATGCTCTTTAGTTCAATTAGATCCCATTTGTCAATTTTTACTTTTGTTGCAATTGCTTTTATCATCTTCATCATGAACTCTTTGCCTGTTCTTATGTCCAGAATGGTATTACCTAGATTCTCTTCCAGGCTTTTTATAGTTTTGGGTTTTCCATTTAAGTCTTTGATCCATCTTGAGTTAATTTTTGTGTATGGTATAAGAAAGGGATACAGTTTCAATCTTCTGCATATGGCTAGCCATTACCCTAGCACAATTTATTTAATGGGGAATCCTTTTCCCATTGCTTATTTTTGTCAGGTTTGTCGAAGATCAAGTAGTGTAGGTACGAAGCCTGTTTGCAGTTGACATCATCCTATTTCTGAAAAACCTCATAGTCTCAGCTCAAAAGCTCCTTAAGCTAAGAAACAACTTCAGCAAATTCTCAGGATACAAAATTAATGTGCAAAAATTACTAACATTTCTATACCCCAACAACAGTCAAGCCGAGAGCCAAATAAGGAACATATTCCCATTCAAAATTGCCCAAGATTGCTTTGGGTAGTATGGTCGTTGATATGGTTTGGCTGTGTCCCCTTTCAAATTTCATCTTGAATTGTAACTCCCGCAATTCCCACATGTCATGAGAGGAAACCAGTGTGAGGTGATTGAATTATGGGGGTGGATGTTTCTCATTCTGTTCTCATGATAGTGAATAAGTCTCATGAGATCTGACAGTTTTATATGGGGGTGTTTCCCTGCATAAGCTCTCTCTTTGCCTACTGCTATCCATGTAAGATGTGACTTGCTCCTCCATGCCTTCCACCATGATTGTGAGGCCTCTACAACCAAGTGGAACTGTAAGTCCATTAAACCTCTTTATTTTGTAGATTGGCCAGTCTCAGGTATATCTTTATCAGCAGTGTGAAAATAGACAAATACAGCTATTTTACCAATACTGATTCTTCTTTTTTTTTATTATTATTATACTTTAAATTTTAGGGTACATGTGCACAATGTGCAGGTTAGTTACATACGTATACATGTGCCATGCTGGTGCGCTGCACCCACTAACTCGTCATCTATCATTAGGTATATCTCCCAATGCTATCCCTCCCCCCTCCCCCCACCCCACAACAGTCCCCAGAGTGTGATGTTCCCCTTCCTGTGTCCATGTGATCTCATTGTTCAATTCCCACCTATGAGTGAGAATATGCGGTGTTTGGTTTTTTGTTCTTGCGATAGTTTACTGAGAATGATGATTTCCAATTTCATCCATGTCCCTACAAAGGACATGAACTCATCATTTTTTATGGCTGCATAGTATTCCATGGTGTATATGTGCCACATTTTCTTAATCCAGTCAATCATTGTTGGACATTCTTATCCATGAGCATGGATAGCTGGGAATACAGGTTAAATTCATGTAGAACCAAAAAAGAGCCTGAATAGCCAAGTAAATCCTAAACAAGAACAAAGCTGGAGGAATCACGCTACCTGCCAACTGATTTTCAACAGGGTTGTTAGAATTATTCAATGGGGAAAGAATAATCTCTTTATCAAATGATGCTGTTATAGCCAGATAACTGCCAAATTCAAAAGAATGAAGTTGGACCCCCTACCTCACTTAAGACACAACAATTAACACAAATAGATCAGAAATATATGACATCTCAACATAGCACATAAAATATAAAACTATTAGGAAAAAAATAAGGATAAATCTTCATGACCTTGTATTTAACAATGAATGAATTCTTAGATCTAACACCAAAAGCACAAGCAGAAATAAATAAATAAATTGTTTCTTTTAATCATGAAAAAACTTTTGTGTATCAAAGAACATTATTGAGTATGTAAAAAGACACCTTACAAAATATTAAAATCTATTTGCAAATCTTATATCTGATTAGGGTTTAATATCTAGAAGATATAAGGAGCTCTAACTCATAAACAAAAATATAAATAATTAAATCTAAAAACTGGGCAAAGACTTGAACAGACTTTTCACAAAAGGAAGTATACAACTGACATATAAGCACATGAAATTATGTACAATACTACTGGTCATTAAGGAATTACAAACAAAAACCACAGTGTGATACATTTCATAACCACTAGGTTGGCTATATAAGTATTTGAAAAATATATAGTAATCATTGTCAAGGTTGTAGAAAAATAGGAATCCTTGTATATTGCTGGTGATAATTTAAAATGTTGCATCCACTGTGAACAAATTTGATGGCTCCTTACAAAGTTAGACAGAGAATTACCGTAAGACCCTGCAATTCTACCTCTAAATATAGATCCAAGATTAATAAAAATATATGTTCACACAGAAACATGTACATGGATGTTTACAGCAGCATTATTCTCAATGGTCAAAAGGTGGAAACAATCCAAATTTTCATTAACAAACGAATGTACAAAATATAGTATATACTTACAATATGATATTATTTATCCATAATGAGAATTAAGTGCTGATATATGCTACAACCTGGATGAACCTTAGAAATTCTATGCTTAGTGAAAGAAGCCAGACAAAAATGGTCATAAATTATATGATTCCTTTATATGAAATATCCAGATAGACAAATCCATAGAGACAGAAATGGTTCAGTGGTTGCCAGTGGATAGGAGTGGAATAAATGGAGAGTGATTACTTAATAGAGACAGAGTATCCTTCTGGGATAATAAAAACAAGTTTTGAAACTAGAGAAAGACAGTGGTTGCAGAACACTGTGAATGGATAAATGGCATTGAATTTTATAAGTTAATTGTATGTCATATGAATCTCTCTTCTGTAAAATAATTTTTAAAATTCATGAGCTTAAAATATAGCACTGAATTTATATTCCAAGGGCATCCCAGGAGTAAGAAGAATCTTCTCAAATATCTACTGAAAACTTTGCAAGTTATTGCACCAAAACCAAAACCATAGGTATGGCCAAATGTGAAAATAAATATTTTATGCAGATGACTTAAAAAAAAACAAGATTTCATGATTTTCAGAGCACAAATAATACAGAAAAATAGTTTCAGGGAATAGTTATATAGTAATAAAAACAGAGAGGAAATAAACAGGACCAGAAGTGACATTTTAGAAAGACCTAAATTAATTTGCAACTATGTGACAAATCTCTAATAAAATAATGAATTATTTGTTTAATAAAGGTTATAAGGAAAATTAAATACTGCATTGAGGTAAATAAAGACAGAAATTTCCTAGTATAAGTCAAATAGTTGTATATTTCGGAGGGAGTCAACAGAAGACTCTACCCATCCTAGTACAGAGTTGAGATAAATAGATGAATAGATATTTAACTTACAATCAGCAGAAGGTGTTTAGTGTCAAGGCTGCCAGGTTATCTGTAATAAACATACAAATGTTTTTAAAGATTGATGATAAATATATATAAAATAAAAAATCCAGACTATTTGAATATAAATTTTGTATGAGTTCTTTACAATATCACTTTAAGGATTCAAAAATCATACATTATGTAAGTTGAGGTTGTCAGGTGATAAAAGTATTCTATGAGTTATTTTGTGTAAATAAATATTGTGTAAATAAATAAATAAATATTCTGTATGAGCGTATGTGTATGCATGTGTATATTGGAGGGGGAAAGTCAAAGATAAACAAAAATGCTAAGACCTGCCTGGAATGAGGCTTGAAAACTGTCCAGCCTCATCCTTCAATGTTTTCTGAGGTTTTTTTTTTTTTTTTTTTGAGGGTGAGCAGCATCATTGGATTATTGCATAGAAGTTTCTTAAGAAAAGTTTCTACCTTCTTTAAATTTCTCACTTTAAATTGACAGGTTCATAAACCCTCTCCCTGATGAAAGATAATTAAATCTCCTGCACTTCCCCTAAGTCCAAAGCTTTACGTTGTGGGTAATCCACACAAGTTTTAATAAAAAAAATACTACTCTTTAATTTTTTAATTAATTTTAATGAATTTTTTTTAAAAAATTAATATGCTCTAGAAGACAGATGTCAAATTTTTCAACCTCTGAGGTCTTTATGGCGTTCATGCTGTGAATAGAATAATAGAACAGAGCAAATAAGACAGTAGGCAGAGAAGTTAAAATTAGAATGTGTATGCCTTGATATTAGAGACTTTGCTCCATTATATTGGGTTTCAGCTATTCATTTTCTGGTATATTTCATTTATCTCATGGATATTTGGAGCCAGCCTGATTTCTTTCAAAGATATCCTTGTATTTTGCAAAAGTAAAAGCCTCCTTTCATATTCTCTGTTTATCCAATTCATTCAATAGCAACAGATACTTACTAAGTGCTATTTACATCCTTGAACAAAAAGTAAGCCCAGCTCCCTTCATGGTGAGATTTTTGCTCTCTGTTGACAATATAAGAAAGCACTTGGGAAAACTTTTACCTTAGGTGTTATGCTTTCGAGGTTCCTGAGACTAGACAATGCATTAACAGTATACAAACCTCATTTTGTTATACATACATATAGCTTAACTTGTGAAGTTATGGCTTCTGAACTTTTTAAAGAACCTTATATAAAAAACATAATTGTGATGAATAGTATTATCTCTATATTTAAAGCAAAATCACTTATTAAGTTTTGGATAAGTTTATATGAATTATGAACTTGTATTTTTTCTTAATATTATATTGAGTATATAACAGAGTTTTTTTTTTTTTTTTTTCTATTAAGAACTCAAATCAGGCCGGACTTGGTGGCTCATGCCTGTAGTCCCAGCACTTTGGGAGGCTGAGGTGGGCAGATCACAAGGTCAGGAGATGGAGACCATCCTGGCTAACACGGTGAAACCCCTTCTCTACTAAAAATACAAAAAATTAGCCGGGTGTGGTGGCGGGTGCCTGTAGTCCCAGCTACTAGGGAGGCTGAGGCAGGAGAATGGCATGAACCCAGGAGGCGGAGCTGGCAGTGAGCCGAGATCATGCCACTGCACTCCGGCCTGGGTGACAGAGTGAGACTCCGTCTCAAAAAACAAACAAACAGAAAAACTAAGAAACTCGAATCAAACAATAACATCTGTTAGGCTGTAGATTTTTGGTGAGTACAGAGAGTTCAAATGCATTTCGTTTCATACAGAATTCAAGGTACATTTGAAGACATTAGCTACTTCTTTTATATCAATTTTAGAGTAATTCAAACTCCAAAAGGGCTATGTTTGGATTGATCATTTTTCTCCTTAGTTCTACAGATAGCCCTGATTCATTTCGACTTTTTATACCAGAAAACCCAAATACAGTTGTTTGAATGCATAATACTTTTCTTTTCTTTTCCCATGTGGAATAAGTCCACAAGTAGTTGGTCCAAGGCTAGTACGGCAGCACCATGGGCATCAGGCATTCGGTGTCTATTTTCCTGTTTTGATGTCCTTAATTTATGGTTTTGCTTAATTCGTGGGTTACAATGGCTGTTGATACTCCAGTCATTATACTCATATTACAGGAAAGAGGAAGAATAAAATGAGGAAGGGTAAAAGACTTCTTCTGCTCTCAGTTTGCCATAAAATGAGCTTTCCAGATGTCCCTCTTAATAATTTCTGTGTGTCATTAGCCTAGTGTGGTCTTACAACTGGAGAATCTGAGAAATCGTTATTCTTAAATAAATTCAGTTTTCTACTCTCACGGGTTGACTATCTATCAGATTGATAGCTAGTAGTTTCTGCCACAATAAAAATAAGTTGTTATAAAGGCCATAAGGTGATTAAGAGCACATACTTGGCAGCCAGAGTATCTTGGTTCAAAACCTGGCCTTTTTACTACCAAACTATGTGGCGTCTGGCAAGTTTCTTAACCCCTCTGTACCTTAGTTTCATCTCTTTGTAAAACTGGGTTAGTAACAATAACTTTCTTATAAGGTAGTTTAGGGAATTAAAACACAAACTTGTGTGTACACACTCACATTTATTCATATACGGACCACTTAGTGGAATTCTGGGCAAATAGTAAACGCTATGCAAGTATTTGCTATTATTATTATTGTTTATTATCGGATACTAATTCTCTACTTCATGTCAAAAACACGTTTAAAGGATGGTCTGATCTTTAGTGTGAATAACAATAATCATTTTGCAAAATGGCCATTTCAGAAGCTATGGACCTCTATAAACTTCTGGGAAAAACAGATCTGGGCAGGAATCCAGCTTCTTTGACATCATATCATTAGTGTTTGATTTTGTTTGAAGGGAATTTCAGAATCTTTGTCATTCTGTTATTTAAGCAAATTATGCTAGTGTGGGTTCAGTTTTAGTAAAGGCTGTTTCAATTGTAGTGGAATAAAATCCATGTAAAGTTGTCTTATACCTGTCTGTTAATTTTATTCTTATTAGTCACAAGTTTGTCTAAGTATGCACAAGAAACACCATCTCAGATATGTCTCCCGTCCCAAAGTCCCATTCTTGGGTCTTGTTGGTTAGACATAGGACACATGCTCTTCCCTGATACAGTCGTCCTGGCTAGTTATACACTTATTAGCAAGACTTGGGTCACAGGCCACTCCTTGAGCCAGTGGGAATTGTCAAATTCACCCTGAAGAGGGAAGAGGAATATTCCTCCAATGGAAAGGAGAATAAGAGGTTGTCATTAGAAGGATTATCATGCACCCTCACTCTGCTATTTGTATATATTTTCTTTGATGATGAACTTGCTTTGTACTTCACTGAGAAAATTGAAGCAACTAGAAGAGAACCTCCTTCAAATTCCACAGCCTCATGTTTCCAAGCTCCTATGCCGACATACTCTGCCTAATCATGTTTCTGCATATTGCCAACCCTTCCGTCTGTGCACCAGGATGCATTCCTTCTCTCCTGCTTGAGAGCATTATTCCAGGAATGCACCTCTCCCTTTCTAATGCCATCAGTGTCTTTGATTTTTTACTTGATCATCTCTAGAAGAAAGATAAATATGGCATTAATTAACCAGTCCTCAAATAAAATTCCCTTGACTCTTCTAATGCCCTGGCTAATGTCTCATTTCTTTGCTCTCCTTTTAAGATGATTTACTTGAAGGAATTTGCTGTTTTTACTGTCCTCAAAGTTTCTCCTCCCATGAGCTCTCAAATCCACCTAATCAAGCTTTTGTCTCTACTACTCCAACATCATCCTGGCAAGGTCTGCCACACTGCTAAATACAATGGCCAAATCTCAGGCCAATTTACTTGACATATCAGTGGCCTTTGACAGAGTACATTCCTTCTACTAAATGAGAAATGCAATGTCTTGGAGATAATTTAATTTCCTCATTCTCTTTCTAGGATAACCACACTCCCTAGATTCACCCCCAACTTTTCATGCCTTCTTAGTCTCCTTTGCTGGTCCCTATCTTTTCCCAGAGCCCCTAAATATTTGAGTTCATCTGGCTCAAATTTTAGCCATTATTTTTTCTATCTATACTCTCTACTTTATTTATCTCAGCCTTTATTGTGACTTTCTGCCATTTCTGTGTGACAATTACCAAACTTAGAACTTTTGTACAGATCTTCTCCCTTAACTCCAGATACATACATCCAATTGTCTTCCTTATGTCTTCATTTGTATGTCCAATAGACAAACTCAATCTGCACAAAACTGAATTTTCAAACTTCCTCCCCTCAAAATCTGCTCTACTTGTAGCTTTGCTCATACCCTAGACTGAACCACTATCATATCTCCTTTGGATTACTGCATGTCTGTCTTAGCCTGCTCAGACTGCTATTAAAAAATACCATAGATAAGGTGGCTTAAAAAACAGAAACTTCATCTTCTCTTAGTTCTGGAGACTGGAAGTCGATGATCAGGGTTCAGCAAGATCAGTTTCTGGTGAGGGCTGTCTTTCCAGCTTATAGATGGTCACCATCTCTCTATGTTCTCATATGGCCTTTCCTTAGTCTATGTGCAGAAAGAGAGCAAGTGAGCTGTCTGGCATCTCTTCTTATAACCACACTAATCCCATTTTGATCAGGGCTCCACCATTATGACAGATTCTTCTATAAATTTATGACCATGTTTAACCTCAAGTACTTCCCTAAAGGATCCATCTCTAGAAATAGCCACATGAGGAGTTAAGACTTTAACATATGGATTTGGAGGTAACACAGTCAGTCCACAGTACTACACTAGACTCTTAATCGACTCTTGCTTCCACCTTTATGGAACTCTATGCCCAACATAGCAGTCAGAAGGATCCTTTCAAAATGTAGGTCAGATCAATGTCATACTTGTGTTACAAACTTTATTGGCTCTCCAATATACTCAAAGTAAAAGCCAAAGACTCTTCAGAAATCAGTAAGTCCTTATGTGGCGCAAACTCCCTTCCCCTCAAAGTTGAACTTCTGCCACCCTTCCTATCCCTTGCTCTTTCCCTAACATCCACACTGGCCTTCTTTTATTCCATGACCATGCCAGACATTCACCTATCAGCTTTGTTTCCTTGTGCCTGGACCTCTCTTTTCTCAGGTATCTGTGTAGTTCACTCCTTCACCTCCTCAGTGCTTTTCTCAATTATCATCTTCTCAAAGAGACCTATTTTCCAACCTGACTTAAAATTGCAAACTGTCTCACGATTTCTGACTCTTCTGCTCCCCTGGCCCTAATCTATTTTTGTACTCCATTGCATAGATCATCTTCCAACATTATATAAATATATATATATTCTGTTTGATTTCTGTTTTTCCCACTATACTTTAAATTTCAGGAGTCAGGCATTTTTATCTCATTTTTTAAAAAAAAACTTGTAAGCCTAGAAGAATGTCTGGCATGTAGTAGGTACCTAATAAATATTTGTTAATAGAATAGATTGATACATGCTGGATAAGAAAAAAAATCCATTCGAAAACTTATACAATCTATAAGTACTACTTATATAATCTATAAGTAGTGGAATGCAATTTCCGTTTCCACTATAATCCACTATAGATTATAGTATATTCCAAAAGAAAATCAAAGAAATCTAAATTCTTAGAATTAATAAGTGGTTTCATCAAAGTGACTAGAACCACTTAGCACACATGATCCCTAAGTTTCCTGCATAATAGCAATCATGAGTTGGACTATTTAAAGGGGAAGACAGTAGTGAACAGAAACTATGTTAGGATAGTCCAAATAATGAATCTGTAAAACTTTACTGTGAAATATATATTTGAATGTATGAATATTTTAATATATAAAGACATATTTCCACGTAAGATTTTTTATGACATATCAATATGACTCTGTTTAATATAACTCTTTATATGGAAGAACACAGTTGTGATGCAAAAAATAAAAAAAATTTAAAAAAAGAGATGAAAAGAGAATATCCATTGCCAGATTTTGTCATATAAAACTACAGTGCTTAAAAATTTTATATAGGTGTGAGACAATAAGTAAGTGGAAAGTGATTTTAGATAGTCTTGTACAGAGGTAATAGATACAGACAGATATATAGATAAATAAATATAAATTGGCTTATACATTCATACACAGATGATAAGTAAACACCTACATTCATCAATTCAACGGGAGTTAAGTTAGCAAGAGCAAATCTATATAAATGCAAAGTGTATATCAGGTAGTTAGCCATAGGAAATCAGAGTGCTGTATCAAAAAGAAGTTTTAATAGATATCGGACAGAAAATAAATTAAATTTACTCATTGCAATTGATTAGCTGACTATGAAGTTTATGGGAAACACGGCGCACAAAGCTGCTGTCACTCTGACACTAACTGTAAGTTCTGGGAGTTCCCAAAACCACTTTCTGTTTTGATAATTCACTTTATTATACATATAGTATATAATATAAAACCAAATATTAAATATATAATTATTAAATTATCATCTTATGTTATCAATATATCTGCCTCCTTCATACCTTTATTGATACCATTACTCTTTTATTTCCCATCTCTTATTTTTACCTTCCCTTCATTCTATTTCCCTCACCATCGTCTAATCTCTACTGTTAACATTTAATTCTACTCTGGAACATTCCTTTTTCCTCCCAACTAGTTATTTAAAGCTAGAAATACTTGTTTTCAGTGTAATTGGTGAGTGAAAGCCATGCTTCTTCATATAGTCCTTGAAATCTATAAGGAAATGGGCTCACATACTCATTATATGAAACACAGCTATATATTGTATGTGATCAGAAAAATTGATAGAAGAAAAAGAACATTTCTTTACAACTTTTGGGAAACAATTTTGTAGGCAGAAAGTCCTTAATAATGATATTATTGTACCATAAAGAGGGTCATGATCTGAAGCAAGCAATATAGAGTTAATCTTTTAATAATAAGACAAATAGCCCTATAAGCACTTACTACCTGTTTGAAAGAATATTGCACCAGGAATGAAGGAAGCTTATGTCAGATTCTGACCTCATGTTTAGCTTGAGTAAGTTATACTACCTCTCTAAACTCTAGATTTTCTCTACTTTAAATTGATGTACAGCATATGCTATCTACCCCATAGGGATCCTAAGATGATCCATGGAACCATATGTGTGAAGGGTTTCTTAAATTTAAAGTCAACATATACCTTTGTTTTTTTAATTCAACAAACAGAAAGTTTGGATATTTTCTGAGAACCAAGGACACTGTAGAATATACTATGGATCCAACTATTGTGTGAGTGTGTATAAGTGTGTGTGTATGTTTTTCTTGAATTAAAATTTCTTTATCCTGGGCTCTTAATCTTCAGAACTAAAAAGTTTCAACTACTTTCCATATTTGTATACAAAACTACTTCTTACATTTTTTATATCTGACTATCTACTGAGTAAGATAGAGTTACATGAGACATGAAAACTGTCTAGCTAGATAGATAAGTAGATATAGATTACATACACAAAAATACATGTATGAATTTGCATATGTATATATGCTAATATTTTCATTGATTAAAAATAGGCAATGAAATATCAGGAGATCTGGTAAAGCAGGGACTCATATTCTTGCATTGACAACCTTCAACTGGGACTGAATAGCAGCAGCTGCCTTTAGACGTGCTCTCTAGCTTGCTGCAGCCCTTTCCACACTGTTGCCCACATTACCAGTTTATCTTTCCTGCCCGGTCCCTGTGGACATTTGAATTTGCAGCCCATGGATAAGGTCATGCAGAGATAGGAAAGGACATTCTGTAAGAACTGATCAAAACAAAATAATGCAAAGAGAGAGACAATCAGAAAGTCACATGAGTACAGCTCCAGCTTGTCCAAGCTAAAGAGTTGAGGCAGCCTTAGACGGAGATAGATATAGACGGTTTTAATTGGAAAAGTAAGTGAGAAGGTGGCAGCAGGAGCAGAATGCCTGGGTGGTAGTAGGATAGGAAATCAATGAGTACATAACCTGTACAGGGCAGAAACTCATTCCAAATCAGTCTTCCACAAGGCATGGGCTGGGAGTGCTAACAGGAGGCACACCTGGCATCCCAGAATTGACTTTGGCACAAGGCAGCACTTGATAATCAGATGCAAGCTGCCAGCCCACCAGCAGCCCTCCTCCCTGCTGTTGTCAGAGTCTCATCCCAGTTAGCTCACTGCCAATTAGGAAAGTGTCTGAAGCAAAATACATTAATAAGCCATGGCAAGGAAAATTAGAGAGCCTTGATTATTCTAGTCTAGAGGCAGCCTGAGAAGTTGTTTCAGGAATATAGGTGGCCTGACTTGATTTGTAATTCACACGAATTATGAATAATGAATTGTGATAATAATTCACACGAATTATTATCTCCTCACAGTAAGGACATAGGGGGGAATTAAAAGTATATGCAATTGTTTTTTGGTGATTTCTTTTTAATTTTTAGATTTTGACCAGGACATGCAGTTATGACCATTTAAGTCATGAGAGAAGGAAACCCACTCCTACTTCCTACACTAAAATTTATATAGCAATAATGATGGTAAAAATAAAAGTAGCATTTATTTAATACCCTTTATATTCCATATACTCTGTTAGACACTTCAGATTAACTCATTATTTAATTCTGAAAAAAAAATCCCCAGTTAGGAAAGTGACATTATCCCCATTTTCCAGACAAAAACATTGAGACACACAGGTGTTAAAATCCTACTCTATTATCAAACAGCAGGTCAGCACCAAAGAGAAAATTTGACATTAGATCTCCCTGACTCTAATGCTTTCACTTTTTCTATTACATCATTATGACATCAAACTACGCTCTTTTTTTTTTTTTTTTTGAGCCTGAAGTCAGTAATGCTCTTGGTGACTTCTTTATGTTTCTGTTTGAGAGTCAGAATTACTAAATCTCCATCAGAACTTGAGGTGAATTTTAGATTTGAATTCTCCTAGTTAACTGTTATCTGTCAGCAGCTGCTTATAGAAGGATTTCAGATTCTTTGCCCTGTAGTAGAAATTGTCACTATCAGATGATACTACAACAACTAATCTTATAAAGTGGCTTTTCCAAATTCAGTCTTGCCCAGGTGTCGTATTGTACATTTTTAAGGGAAATTAACCTAGTTAACCCATGTCTAGGTTAACTTTGCTTAAAAATGCCTATGTCCCTGTAATCTGAGTGAAGAATTTACTGCTTTTGACTACATTCAGTAAACCCATTTCTCCATAACGTACTCTTTCTTGGAACTCATCTGTGACAGCTTTATAACTTTATTGAATATATGAAGCATGTTTCAAGTGTTTCAAGAGAATAGTTTTTTTGTTCTTGTTTTCTTTGGATTTGATTATTTTTGGTAAGAGTAATGTTTATTTTCTTCATTTAAGCTTTAAGAAATGTAGAAAATATCGACTTTTCCACTCTCATTATTCTACTTTTTATAAGGCTAAGGTTATCACTAGATAGTAAAATATTTACTTTCACTGCAGCCAAATTTTGAGTGCATTTTTATTGTTTGTTTTATAACTCCCAAATAAATAATAAAAGCTATCCTTTATTTTCAAATAGGTTTTTGTATTTCAAGAAAATAATTTCCAGTTGGGTGAATTTTTGTGATAAAAATTCTCTAATGATGTACTATTTATCACAAATAACGTATCTCCTCAGTTAAATCACCTCAAGGAGCTATAAGAAATCATTAAAACTATTAACATAGGACCAGTCACACTGCATTTTATGGCAATGAAACTTACAAGAGTGAAATAGAAAAATAATTTGATAACATTGGGGCGGTTTATATAGGTTAAGGTTTTTGATGGTCTCCTGCTATTTTATTGTCTGCTTTTCATTATTATGAATATGTTATTTTAAACTCATGAAATTGGAATATAATAGTGGTTCTTATAGTCACATCAGGTTGAACCTCTTCTATAGAGGGGCACAGGTGCAGGGATCCTGGAGCGATACCCCTGGTCTGCCATCTTTGTCCATATTTAGATCCACCCTTACCTTAATGCAGAACCTCTAGGTCATAACTGGTTTCATTTGATGTGAATCACAATAGATTTCTTGGAAATCACCTCTCAAATGTTGTAGATTATGATTTGATGGGTTGTTCTTGCAAGAGATTGGTTAAGATTAAGTCATAAAAAGTTAAAAAGCCTGCTAAATCCATTTTATAACATCACTATCAAATTATGCCTAATTAAGGATCTGAATCATATCCTTTTAAAAATCGAGGAACAGAGTAGTTTGGTCATTAAGATGATGGGTTTAATGAGACCAGAAATAGGTGAATCCACTCAGAAGAGATTCTGTGCTCTTTTGGAACAATGGAAGAATGAAGGGGAATCCAGTTCAAGAAGCCTTTCTTTTTCCACGAGAGCCGCGTTAAATTCTTTCCCAAGGTGGGAAATGAATTAACTAAAATAAAACTGCCCAATGCTTCCTAGGCATCCATTTAAGCAGTGCAATTTCTAAGTGTCTTTTGATTTTTCTTAAACCACCACTAGATGGGACTCTTGCATCCTTGGTTTTGGTTTCTTAGCATCTTTGTCTACAATTTGGGGGTCTAATTGTAGACCCCCAATTAGAAATAACAGGGAAGCTATAGGATTCTCTACTTGACAGATTCTACATAGGGCCTCTGCATACATCATTTAATCTTTGGAATTACATAAGCTGCATATTCTAATTCCCATTTTAGAGATAAAGCCACTGAGGCTCAGAAAGGAAGTAGAGAGGGGAGAATTTAACATTTGTGGGCAACTCTGTATTTAAGGCACGTATGCTTATAGGTTTTCCTTCCAACAACCCCCAAAATATCATTTCCCTTTTGCAGATGGAGGAAGCGTCTGCAGTTTAGCAAAGTCACATCATTGCTGTGGCACAAGCAGAATTCAAACTCTTGCCTGCCTTTAAGGCCCATTTTTCTCTATGTATAGCCACTTCTCAAGCAATTTAAACACTTTAATGTATGATGCAACTTTAAAATTCATAAAGATCTTAGCAACTTCACCAGTAAAATGCAAGGGTTAGATTAATTATATTGAAAAATACACAATTTAGACATAAGTGTCTTTGAAAGAAAATCTCATTTATAGATTCAGCAATATAATTTAGCAGTAAAGAGTGTGGACTTCTGAGTTAGGTTACCTGGGTTTGTATCTAATCTCTACTACTTGCTAACAGTATGATCTTCAGTAAGGTACTACACCTCATGTAAACTCAATTTGCTCATCTGTAAATGAGAATAATAATTATATGTTACTTACATGGTTGTTATATGAGCTACACAAATTAATACATAGAAATGTTCATCAGCAATCCTTCTGTCAGAGATGACTACTGTCTCCCAGTAACTTACAGAATAATAGAATTCCAGATTCAAGCTGGGTGTGTCAAATCAAGACTACATTCTTCTGCCCCCCCGCTTATAGCTATAGGAGCTAAGATATATGAGTAAAGCTCTCAAAGAAATATGAATAAATCTTAGTTGTATAATTTTCAGTTTGTTACCTAAATCTTAGGGAGATGCCCTTAAACTCGGGAACATGCCCTTAAAATGAATAGATATGCTTCTCCTTCCCTCTTCCACTTTCCGTTTGCTGGAAGGCAGTCTAGTGTTGGCAAGCCTTCCTGAACCTCAGGATCATGGCCAACACCTTAAATATGGCAGAGATACAAGAAACAGAAAACCTAGGTCTCTGATACCAAGACTATCCTGTGCTTGGATGTCTTGTGCCACAGTCGTTAAGTGACAGATAGAGAAGGAGAAAATTTATTTCCATCTTATCTTGTTTGTTTTCTTACCTTCTCACTCCGGAGAATGGTGTTTAGTTGGTGCTTGGCTTAATACATTTCCTAAAACTTAATACATTTTCCAAAACGTATCCCTCTCTCTCTCATATATATATATATATATATATATATATATATATGCATATATATATATATATGCATATATATATATATGCAATGAATGGTCTATAGAGAGACTGTCTAAATATATCTGCAGTGTGAACAGTGTGTATACACATACACACACACACACACACACACAGAGGGAGAGAGAGAGAAAGAAGAAAGTGAGGACAGAGAAGAAATATTTGAGGTAATAATGGCCAAGAACTTTCCAAATAAAACCACATATCCAGAAATCTCAGAGAACACTAAGAAGGATAAATTTAAAAAATGAAAAACAACAACAAGAATCACGCCTAGTCATATCACATTCAAAGTGCTGTAAACCAAAGACAGAGACAATCTTAAAAACAACTAGGGAAGGAAAAACAATACTACCTTAACTAAAAATAAATAATAGCCAAAGTAATATTTTAAATAAGAAATACTGATCATGCCACTACACTGTTTAAATTTCTGTCAGGGGTGGGGGGCTAGGGGAGGAATAGCATTAGGAGAAATACCTAATGTAGATGATGGGTTGATGGGTGCAGCAAACCACCATGGCATGTGTACAACTGTGTAACAAACCTGCACATTCTGCACACGTACCCCAGAACTTACATTATAATAAAAAATAGTTTCCCATTGCTCTTGAAAGTAAGTGATATTACCTTAGCATAATCAAACAGGCTTTGATTAGTCTGGCTCCTGCTTCCTTTTCTGGCCTCATCTTCTTTCATGAAACCCTTATTTCTTGCCTTCCTGCCTTGTAGCCTTCTGTCTGTTCCTCCTAAATGCCCTGGGCTTCACCATGTTCCTGGGATTTTCTGTACATGCTGTTTTCTAGTTTAGGATTATTTTTCCTTTTCTGGGGAACCCCGTTAACTTTGCCCCTACTTCTTAAGGGAAGCCCTACCCAACCCCCATTTCAAGGTGGGCTGCTCTATTATAAGTCATCTTAAACCTTGTCCAGTTGTGAGGTTGGGTTGTTTTGTACTTTTATTTTTTAATATCTCTTAGAGAGCTTATCTGGCTTTGCTAACACTCCATTCACAACTCCACAGTGCTCAGCACAAAGTGGGGACTAAATTTATGCTTGCTTCATAAAAGAAAGTATAGGTTTCTTGCAATTATCCTAAAAAATAAATATTTATTGATTACAGATTACTGGTGGGGTGGTTTCAATAAATATTTATTAATTTATTAAAAAACAAATGAAGCACTACCCTCAACTAAGCACATTCTTACATTGTGGGGAGAAGACACACTGGCTCTAATCCATATAATTTATTGGGGTTTACAGTTGTGCCAAATAACAAAAAATTGAAAAAGACAATATATCAAAGATGTGCATCAGACCAGGTTGTGTGTGCCTTTAGGAAATAAATTCTACAGATTGCAAAACTTGAGCTATATATACTGCAGCATTAGGAGAATTGGCACCCTAGGGTGCAGGAATCTTTGCAATTTTGTTAATTGGTGTATTCTCAGTTATTACAAAAGTACCTGACATTTAGTAGGCACTTAATAATAATTTATTAAGTAAAGACATAGAAGGTAGCTAAATAAAAAACAGGTAAACAAGGGACAGTGAAAAGACTCCAGGTAGAGTAAACAGCATGTACAATTCCCTAGACTGACAAAATTTTTATATCTCTGCAGCTTCACATTGATGCCAATATGAAAATGGCATCATTTAAATTGTGAAGTCTTTCTCTGAGAGAAAGACTTCAGGAAGAAAAGTGAGGAGAGGGATACGAGTTTTGGATAAATTAAATCCGTGATATATTTAGGTAAATAGAACAATTTTGATTCCTTCAACAGTGTTGTCCACATTATTATTAGCCTTTGAAACATTTTCTTCTAGATCATAATTGTTTCTTTATTCTCACCAATATTAAAGATGTGAGTTTGAGTTAAGGTTTTTGAGAAAATATGTCATCCAAATTCTAATTTCTCTCTCTAACACAGAGAAATTCCAGTGATTTTATCATTCAGATGCAGTACAGCTCTGTGTTAAAAATTATAACCTTTTACAGTATGCTGAGGTTGTATTTGTAAATGTTTATTTTACTTTATTTGGGGGATAGGGTATTTAACAAAATGTCAAAGGTTCTTGCACCTGAGAGTGCACATTCTACTAATGCTGCAGTATGCATAGCTCAGGTTTTGCAGTCTGTAGAACTTCCTTCTAGAGGCATATACAACCTGGTCTTGTGCATACCTTTGTTATATTCTGTCCTTTCAATTTTTATCCATTGGCCTGAAGCGGGGGAAACCCAACACATGTTATCAGAGTATCTTTTGTTTCTGTCATTCCAAGCAATAACCAGCAGGTGGTATCAAACAATTTTACATGTGTTCTATTGCAGTCTTTCGTGCCTGTTTGGTTTCTGAGACTTCTCCTTCTTAACTTCCACCCTGCACCCCAACCACAAATACATAGGAAGGTTTTATTTTATTTTGTCTTTCTGATTTAAATCTACCTTTGCTTTCAGAGTGATATTTTTGGCATAAATGCATTGAAGTATTTTTTTTTTTTTATATAGTAGGGGCACAGCTTTACATGAAGAAACTCATTTGATCTTAGTAACAACAGTATTGGAAAGCACTACTGGTGATCCTTACTTTAGAAATGGGGAAGCTGCTACAGCAGTGTCAGTCTCTATGTTAAACTACCTACCTTAGTTTGACTTTCTTCTCAGCGTGTATTTTTACCCAACACTCTTTGCTTGGACATCATTTGCTCAGCTATTATGAGTTAAAACATCAATTATCTAATGTTTTTGGCCTATACCTTGATATAAAAATATTATGTAAAATAAACCAAAATATAAAAGTGCTGTAAGTTAGGTATTGTCTGTGCATGGGGAATAATCACATATATTTCACATGTTATAGAGAATTTTAGTGCTAAAAACACTTTAAAGTACTTACCTTTTTTATTTTTAATTGACAAAAGAGCCTCCCAGAAAAGAAGTGAATTGTAGAGATCTCACAGAGGTGATAAAAAAAAGAAACAGTCTGTTAAAGAAATGCTAAGGAAACATTTAGAGAGTACCCAACTAGTGTAGAAAAATGCACATTGTTGGTAGAGAGGTACATGGAAGGTTTGTGAGCTTTCCAGGTAAGTGCACTATCTCTTTGTTTAATGTCCAGTACTCTCTGTTTATAGTGTCATGAGACCAGGCTACGCCAAAGCAGTAAACAGAAAAGGTGACATTTGAGAATCATATCTTTCCAGTAAAAAGACAAAAAGAAAGGGAAGACAGGAAGGAAGGAGGAGCGGATCTAGACAGAAAGTTAATAATGTTATTGTCAAATTTCCAAAATCAGATGAAAGAAAATATAATTTAGATATGGGGAAGACTGCCTCATAGTAGATTTATATTAAAATTGCTGTAATGTTTCATTGCCTAGAATGAATAGACCAAAATCTAATTTTAAACTATCAGTTTACACTTACAAACAAATTTCAACTTACGGTTTGCCATAATTTGGGCTTACATTTTATTGTAAATGTTTTTAGTTTTTTAGAAAATTAATCAGTATTAGTGCAACCATCAGATATTCCAAGAATTCACATTTGCATTACAATTGATAGATGCCATCAAGTATCCCTGCTTTAAATTAAAATTGTTGTATTATTTTTATCACAAAAGCAAAGCAGTTTCACTGCAGAAAAAGAATATAATACAATCTCCTCAGTATTAATTTTCATAAATAACTAATATTACCATATTAAATTGTATCATTAGAGATTTTATCTTTTAATTTTATTTCTGGTATTTCATTTTACAATAGTAAAAAAATGTGAAACAAAAAAAAGTCAGCCACAAGTCCGTTTTAATTTTCTCCATTCAATCCAAATACCACATTCTTCCCCAAAATGATAACTGTAGGTGTTTCTTTTCTGATTTTTTTTACTACGTTTATACAGTTACATTTATATTGATATATAAATCCAGCTGGGTGTATTTTCATTCAAATTGAATTATGAAACTTTTAATGCAGAATATTTGTAGTGAATATATAGCACTACTTTATCCTTTGTGATATTGTCATGGTATTTATCATGTAGGTATTCAACAACTTTTCAAACTATTTCTATATCAGTTAATAGGCCAATTTGCCACTCTGGCTTTTAAAAGCAGTGTTCAAAGAGGAGTCTTGTATATCACTTATCTCTATACTTTCTTTTTTATTCTCTATTGACACATAACTGTATATATACATATAGATTACAAAATGATGTTATGATTTTTAATACATGTGGGAAGATTAAAGTCAGCTAATTAATATATCTGTCACCTCTAATATTTAACATTTTGTAATGAGAATATTAGAAATACTCTCTTAGTGAAATAGAAGTTACAGAACTTAATTATTAGCTATATTTACCATACTCTGCAACTGTTCTCAAAAAAACATCAAAATTATTCTTCCTATCTGAGGCTTGGTACCCTTTGGTTATCATCTTCCCATTTCATTTATCTGACCTCACAGCCTCTAGTGACTACCATTCTTCTCACTGCTTCTATGAGTTCAATTGCTTTAGATTTTACCTATAAGTGAGAACATTGCTGTTTTTGTCTTTCTGTGTTTGACTTATTTAACTCAGCATAATATTCTCCAATTTTATTCATGTTGCCTCAAATGACAGAATTTCTTCTTTTTTTGAGGACTAATACTTTTCCATTGTACATATATACCACATTTTCTTTCTTAATTCATCCTTTGGTAGATACTTAGGTTGATCCCATAAGTTGGCTATTATAAGTAGTGTTGTAATGAACATGGAAGTGCAGATATCTCTTCACTATAGTGATCTCAAGTCTTTGGGGTAAATTCCCAGAAGTGGGATTGCTGGATCATATGGTAATTTTATTTTCTGTTTTTTGAAAAACTCCCATACTGTTTTCCATAAGAGTTATGCTAATTCACATAATTCACATTCCAACCAAGAATGTGCAATATACATCCTTGCCAACACATGTTCTCTTTTGTTCCTTTGATAACAGCCATTCTAAAATATATGAAGTGATATTCATTATGGTTTTAATTGATATCCTCCAATGTTTAGTGATGTTGGCCATTTTTTTCATGTATCTGTCAACTATTAACGTCTTCCCTTGAGGAATATCTTTTGAAGTCCCTTGCCTGTTTCTCAATTCAATTACTTGTTTTATTTCTATAGAGGTGTTTGAGTTTTTATATATTTTGTAAATGAAGCACCTTTCAGATGTGTGACTTGCAAATTTTTTCTACCAATTCACATATTTTTATCACTCTGTTAATTTTTTAAATATATGAAAACTTTTTATCTTGATGTAATCTCACTCATTTATCTTTGTTTTTGTTGCCTATGTTTTCACAGTCAAACCTAAAAAATCATTACCCGAACTAATGTCATATACCTTTTTCTTTATCTTTTATTCTAGGATTTTGTTATTGTTGTTGTTGTTGTTTTCTGTCATATCAGCAAGATACATTTTTTAGAATGGTAGTACAGGTCGACTATCCCTTATCCAAAATGCTTGGGACAAGAAGTCTTTTGAATATTTTTGGATTTTGGAACGTTTGTAGAATACATACTGGTTCAGCATCCATAATCTGAAAAATCTGAAACAGCATCCATAATCTGAAAAATCTGAAATCTACAATGACATCTTGGCACTTGAAACATTTCAGATTTTGGAGAATATTAAATCTGAGACTTTTAGCTGAGGGATCGTCATTCTGTTATAAAAACAAAAGTAGGAAGAATAAAAATAGCTAATGATTACATATTCTGTCCATTCATTAGATGACCCCCTAAGCTATTAAAACAGAGTCTTCAGTAACCCCTAACTAAAAATAATACAGACTTCATAGAATTAGTTAAGAAAAGCTAATAAACAAACAATAAGTACTTCAACAATAACAACAAACCCCAGAGAATGGTCAGAATCTGATTTCCAGATTTGCCACATTACAGTATTCCTAATGTCCAATTTTCAAAAAAGAATATGAGACATCCAAAATAAAGAGAAGCTATAACCCATTTTCAGGAAAAAAAAATCATTAGAAATTCTACCTGAGGAAGCCCAGACGTTTTACTGACCACACAAAGACTTTAACTGTGCTAACTATGATAAAAGAGCTAAAGGAGACCCTGTCGAAAGAACTAAAGGAAAATATAATAATGATGTTTCAAACACTTTACCAATAAAATGATATAAATTATTTAAAAATTGAAACAATTAGAAATTCTGTAGTTCAAATTATCATAACTGAAATAAAAAATTCACTAGAGGGGCTTACCAGCAGATTCAAACAGTCCAAAAAGAAAAATCAGTTACCTCAATGATAAGCCAATTAAGATTGTTGAATATGAGGAACAGAAAGAAAAAACAATGAGGAAAATTAATCAAAGTCTGTGAGACCTGTTGTACATCATCAAGCATATCAACACATGAATATACTGTAGTCACAGAACAAGAGTAGAAAGAGAAAGGTGAAAAAAGAATATTTGGACCATGCACGGTGGCTCACACCTGTAATCCCAGCACTTTGGGAGGCCGAGGATGGTGGATCATCTGAGGTCAGGAGTTCAGGACCAGCCTGGATAACATGGTGAAACCCCGTCTCTACTAAAAATAAAAATAAATAAGCTGGACGTGGTGGTGCATGCCTGTAATCCCAACTACTCGGGAGGCTGAGGCAGGAGAATTGCTTGAACCTGGGAGGCAAAGGTTGCAGTAAGCTGAGACCATGTCACTGCCCTCTAGCCTGGGTGACAGACTGAGACTCCATCTCAAAAAAAAAAAAAAAAAAAAAGAGAATATTTGAAGACATGGTGGCTAAAACCTTTCAAACTTGATGAAAACCATCTATCAGCACATCCAAGAAGCTCAATGAACTAGAAATAAAGTAAACGCTAAGAAATCACAACTGGATATATCATAATAAAACTGTGGAATGCCAAAGGCCAATAGAGAATCTCGAAACAACCAAATGTTACAAGCAAAGTAACACCTCATATAAAAGGGATCCTCAACATGATTAGCACCTAAAAAATCATCAAAAACCATGGAGACCAGAGGCCATGGGAAGATATTTGAAAAGAAAAATACTCAACCAAGAATTACTCATCAAAACTAAAATAAAATATTAAAAAGTAAATATAAAATTTATTTTATATTTATATTTAAATTTATAAATTTATTTTATATTTATTTTAAATATTAAAAATTAAATATAATAATTTGTTTACTATCTTATTAATATAAAATATTAAAATATTGAAATATTAATTTTAAAACATTAAAAATGAATATAACTAGACAGAAGATCAGCAAAATGTAGAAGACTTGAATAGAGAATACGCCAACTAGACCTAACATACTCTGGTCATAAAAAGCAGAATGCACATATTTCTCAACTGGGCATGGAGCATTCTCTAGGAAGATAATGCATTAGGCCATTAAACAAGTCTCAATAAATTCGAAGATTGAATTATTACAAAGTATGTTCTTACACCACAATAGAGTAGAATTAGAAATCAATAAAAAAGACAATTTGGAAAATTTGCATATGTAAACATTAAACAAGACATTTCTAAATAACCATGAAATCAAAGAAGAGATCACAAGAGGTTTTAGAAAATAAGATGAATGGAAACAAAAAATAACGTATGTTATGGAAAATACAAAAGCTTGTTCTTAAAGAGAAATTTGTATCTCTAACCACTTATGTTAAAAAGAGAAAAAAAATTCTCAAATCAATAACTTAACCATCTTCCTTGAAAAGTAGAATAGCACAAACTAAACCCAAAGCAAGAGGAAGAAAAATAAGTGTTAGAGTAGAGATAAATTGTAGAGAGAACAGAAATAACAAATAGAAAAAATTACCACACAGCCATAAGTTGGTTCTTGAACAGATCAATAACATTGACTTACTTTTAGCCACAATGACCAAGAAAAAAAGAGAAAAAAATCAAATTACTAAAATCAGGAAAGAAGATGGGACATCACTTCTGACCATAGAGAAAACATATATATATATATATAATATATACACAATATATTATATATATATTATATATATACACAATATATTATATATATATACACAATATATTATATATATACACAATATATTATATATATATTGTGTACACACACACACACACACACACACAGATACATATATAAAGTGGCAAGGCGCGGTGGCTCATGCCTGTAATCACAGCACTTTGAGAGGCTGAGGCAGGTGGATCACTCATTTGAGGCCAGGAGTTTGAGACCAGCCAGGCCAATACGACAAAACCCTGTCTCTACTAAAAATACGAAAACTAGTTGGGCATGGTAGCGTGCTCCTGTAATCCCAGCTACTCAGGGTGCTGAGGCACAAGAATTGTTTGAACCCAGGAGGTGCAGGTTGCAGTGAGCTAAGATCACACTACTGCATTTCAGCCTGGGTGAAATGTCAAGCAAGACTGACTCTCTCAATCTCTCTCTCTCTCTCTCTCTCTATCTCTCTCTCTCTTTATACATATATATATATATATGTATAAAGTAATTCTGGGAACAATTGTATGCCAAAAATTTAGATGATCTAGATTAACTATAACAATTCCTAGAAACTACTACACATGACCAAAATAGACTCAAGATTCTGAGTAAACCTTTAACAAATAAAACTGTGAGTTTAGTAAACAAAATCTTCCAATTAAGAAAATATCAAGGTCAAATGGCTTCTCTGGTGAGTTCCACCAAACATACAAAGAATTAACAACAATCTTTCTCAAAATCTTCCAGAAAATAGATGAGAAGGAAACATTTCCTGACTCACTTTATAAGGCCGTATTACCAAGATACCAATACCAAACTAGAGAAAGGAATCACAATAAAAAACCTACAGATCCATATTCCTTATAGATATAGATGCAGATGCCCTCAATAAAATACTAGCAAACTAAAATCAGCCACATTTTAAAAGGATTACATAGCATGACAAAGTGGGATTTATCCCAGAAATGCAAGGTTGGGTCAGCATACAAAAATCAAATCAATATAATACAACATATTTATGGAAAGTGAAAAAAAATGCAAACAATCATACCTATAGGTGAAGGATTAAAGTTTCTCCCTAACATCAGAAATAAGACACAGATGTCTGCTCTCACCAATTCTATTCAACGTTATACTACAGGTTCTAGCTAGGGCAATTAGGTAAGAAAAACAAATAAAAATATACAGATTGGAAAGGAAGAAGTAAAACTCTCCCTATTTGCATGATCTTATTTATAGAAGACCCTTAACGAACCACATCATAATTGTTACAGCTATTAAACAAATTCAACAAAGTTTCAGGGTACAAAATCAACGTAGAAAAAAATCAGTTGTGTTTTTGTACATAAGCAATGAACAGTCTCAACAGAATGTTAAGAAAACCATTCCATTTACATTAGCATCCAAACACATACAATATCTATAAATACATTTAATGAAGGAGATGAAAGACTTATACACTGAAAACTATAGAATGTTGCTGTATGAAATTAAAGAAGCCCTAAATAAATGGAAATGTTTATTATAGAGAAATAGAGAGAGAGAGAGAGAGAGAGAGAGAGAGAGAGAGAATTGATCTAATGGAAATATATCCTGTGTTCAAAGATTGAAAGACTTAGTATCATTAAAATGGCATTACTACCAAATATCATGTGCAGATTCAATGAAATGCCTATTAAAATTCCAATTACCTTTTTTGCAAAGATGAACAAAATGACCATAACAAAACCATAACAACATACAGAAATGTAAGGGATCCTGATTAGCCAAAACAATCTTGAAGAAAACTAAGACTGATGAATAAGAATAAGAAGGGACTCAAGCTTCTTGATTTCAAAAGTTAATTTAAAGCTATAGTCATCAAAACAGTGTAAAACTTGACTAAGGATAGATATGTATATCAAGGGTATAAAATTTGGAGTACAGAGATATCCCATATATCTATGGTCAATTGATTCTCAACGAAGTGTCCAAGATAATTTAATGGGGAAACAAAAGTCTTTTTTCACACATGGTGCTGGGACAATGGGCGATCTAGGTGCAAAAGAATGAATGTGAACATCTACCTTACACCACACACAAAAATGAACTCAAAATGGACCAAAGACTCACTGGTAAGACATAAAACTCTAAAACTGATAAGAAAAATAGGGCTAATTCTTCATGACCTTGGATTAGACAACAGTTTCTTAGGTATGACACAAATTTGTAATGCCCCATATCTTCCTCAATACCAGGAGAGTATCAATTTTTTAAAGTTTTACTAACATTTTGATGATAATACTGCTTTTAAAAAGCAACTTTTTTTGTATTACCTTTACAGTTGCTGCTGATTTGTTATTTTCATTTCCTATATTGTATGTATATACACATATATGTACATACATGTATATGTATATGTATATATGTACGTGTGTATTTGTCTTATATTCTATTCTTTTGTACAAAAGTCTCAGAGGAAAGCAACATATCTTTCTTTCTTTCTCTCTCTCCCTCCCTCCCTCCCTCTCTCTCTCTCTCTCTCTCTTTCTTTCTTTCTTTCTTTCTTCTTTCTTTCTCTCTCTCTTTCTTTCTTTCGTTCTTTCTTTCAACGGACTTTTGCTCTGTCGCCCAGGCTGGAGTGTAGCATCGTGATCTCGGTTCACTGCAACCTCTGTCTCCTGGGTTTAAGCAACTCCCTGCCTCAGCCTCCCAAGTAGATGGGATTACAGGCACCTGCCACCACGCTGGGCTAATTTTTGTATTTTTAATAGAGATGGGGTTTCACCATCTTGGCCAGGCTGGTCTTGAACTCCTGACCTTGTGATCCACCCACTTCGGCTTCCGAAAGTGCTGGGATTACAGGCGTGAGCCACCATGCCCAGCCTCTTGAAGTATGTTTAAATCACGGTTCCTTCATGATTACTTCTGTGGGTTATTGGTCCATTGCTTAACATGATTCAAATAAATGATGAACAAATTAATGTGAGGATTTTATAAGATTTCAAAAATATATATTAATTGTCAATGGGACCATTTAAAGTGCCTGCTTTTCCTTGTAGGTAATTCTACTTCGGTATCCCTAGTCTTTTTAACTTCAACAGTACTTAAGAAGAAGGAAGTTGATTTTTATACAGAACAAAAAATGGAAACCGAAAGTATTTTGAGAGTCATTACATCACGAAATATCATAACCATTTAAGATAATTAACTTTACACTTTAATATAAATTCCAGTATTTATTCATTTATTTATTATTATTTAGTGGATAAGAGTAGTAAAAGCTTTGGGGGCTGGAGGGAGAAAGAAAAGCTACTTCCCATGCTGTCCTGCTAGTACCTATTGATGTTTTCGATTCCTATCTTTTCTTTTGCAGGAGTAACAACTGTCCTAACAATGACAACTCTAAGCATCAGTGCTCGGAATTCTCTCCCCAAAGTGGCTTATGCAACTGCCATGGACTGGTTTATTGCTGTTTGTTATGCATTTGTGTTCTCTGCCCTAATTGAATTTGCAACTGTTAATTACTTCACCAAAAGAGGATGGGCTTGGGATGGGAAGAGTGTAGTAAATGACAAGGTAAGTGAGAGCTTCCGTGTTATCATTATTAAGAAAATACCCTAATGAATTCCGCTTGTAACAGATATGTTTCTAAAAACTGACATTAAAGACATCCATATATATATGAATTTGAATCATATCAATTTCTTTTAAAGTGTTCTTGCCTGAAATCCTTTAGGAGTTCTTGTAGTACTAATACTTCCATTAAAACCACTCCGTAGCATCTGTTGAGCTGTATGTGTCAGGCACTGTGCTAAGTGTTTTACATATGCTCTCTCACATAATCTTTATAGCATCCTTATGACTAGACTGCCTTCTTATTCTTATTTTTACTCATGAAGAATCTGAAGCAGTAAAGTTATTTTCTTGCCCAAGCTTACACAACTTGTTAGTAAGTATACTTGAACTCCGATCTACCTGTCTGACTGTTAAGTTCATGGTTTTAACACCACACTGCATTATTATAAAGAGATTAGAAAAAGAAAATGGGCATTAATTTTACTTATTATAGAATTCCAGGCTCTATCAATGAATTGAATCCTCTTCACCTGTTCCAGTCTCTGCTGATTGATTGTAAAAGCCCGGATAGCATTTTTTTAAAATCTTTCCCATGTTGTATGGAATAAATATGTCGGTGCTGGAATGCTTAGGAATTTTAAATTGTTCATATGGTCTAAAAGGGAAAAGTTATTTGTTTTTAAGATTAACTTCTTTTGAGATTATTGCTGTCCATATTTAGGTTTCAAGTACTGAATCTAATGGGAGATTTGTGCATTGATATAACAGCTGTTTCCTTTCATACTCTGTAGATTATGTATCTGCCTAAGAGGAGGCTTTGAATGTATCATAATCATCTATATTCTTAATAATGGTAAAAAGTTGTATTCAGAGGATATCTTTAACATTGTATCAACCTAAATGCTTCTTTTATTAAATTTGGATTAACATACTTGCAGATTTGATTTCTTTTTCAGTTATTTGAATATATTTTTTCATTTCTATGACCATGTTACAGTTTAAATATACAAGCAGTAAATGTTATAGTTTAAAAGTCTTGGTCTTTTTCCTTAATTTTGTAAGCCATAGAAATTTTAATAAGACTGATTATTTATTTCATTTTATAAGTTGTGTTTTCCCTACTAACGGAGCCAACAAATAAATATTAAAAGGAATCTGGTCCATTTTGTATGCTTAACTTCTGGGCTGTTTCAGCATTTCCATTACAATTTAATATTGATTTATGTTTTCATTGCCCATATGGTGTACTGCTTTTTCATGGTATCTATGCAATTATTTTTTAAGGTATATTGGTTACACATGCACCTTTATACTAATTTTTTGGAGATAAAATATTAGACCTTTGTAAATATGTCACAAAAGATAAACATTTTGTGCCATGAATTCCCGTATATAAATTTATTGATATATTATTTTAATATTAGAGAGTGCCAAATTGACATTCTGAAATGATATGCCTCCTCAACTCTTTACTTTGGAAAACAGAAGTACCTCTAAATGTGAAAAACAAATAATTGATAATGCTCTATAAAAGCAATAGCTTACTCCTCATGTATAGTGGATTTAAGTCTATCCATATGCCAAATTACACATAGCCAGGATAAATCTATGTCAAAATCACTGAGGTTCCAACCTAATTTTCAGGAAAAGAATTAACGTTGTTTATGTTATTTTAGTTCTTGTGGTTTACTTCAGGAAAACAATATATCAGACATTGCTTGTTCTCATTTCCTTTTCCACAGCTAGAGTGTCCAGCACAGTGCCTGGTCCTTAGCAGGCATTTCATAAATATTTATTGTATAAAAGAATGAATGAGTTTGTGATCTTAAATCCGACAATATAATACCAGTGGGAGGACTTCTTTGCCTTCATGGAAAGTTTTGTAAAAAAAAAACTTATAATGAATTTATCAGTGGGTATTCTATCCAATTTCATGATTCAGATGAGTTTTGAGAGATGTTTCATAAACCTACCTTCAGACTAAGAATTAAAATGTCCTTAAAACTAAAAGGATATCTAGAAGAGTGCCCTAAAGTAGCCTATCTGCCTAAAAGATATTTCAGTGTAATATACTTTTATCTTAATATTCCTTAGACTTAATTTTTAAGCAGAAAATTATAATTTTCTTTAAGTACAGAGTTTCTGTCCACAGGCTGTTTTTAGTGTCCTTTCTGACTAACCAGGCTTATGGAAGTCCTTTTGTTTTGACATTAGTAAACATGAGCAAATGCGGTTATCTGTCAATCCAACGAGCAAATGAAAAGTTCTTTGAAAATTCATAAAATACCAATTATCAATTTGCCCCATAAGAATAATGATTCAGCTCCATATTGATATTGTATGTTTTAAGAAAAAGACATATGTCTTTAACCTGTTTACATGTGCACACTCGACATATTACATGTAGAATGTGCACCGTTACTTAAATTTAGTTTTTGCAAATAAATAAATAAACACTCTCAGTTATACTCAAGCTACATTTGAGCCCTATATTAAAAGGCAGAGCTACCTTGCTCTGTGAGCTTGGGCAGGATTTTACACTACTTTTAGCCTCAGTTGTGAAATTAGACAAGAAAGTCTTATCATTAGAAAAATACAGTGCTGGATCAGATTATCAAACTCTGAATTGTTATGCCTTTCCTAATACAAAGGTGTCTATTTATGCAACCCCAGGCTCTTATGGAACCCTTTTTCATATCCGGTGTTTTTCCTTTTCTCCTTTTGCTCAATACAAATTCTTTCATCCTAGCTCTTGATTGGATCTCTTTCCTTCTTGCTTTCTCAAACCTGTTCCATTAGTTATTGTTTTCTTATTTTATGTCTTCAAAGCCATCTTACTATTTTCAACTGCCTCCTTTCTTTCAGCTTATGAAGATGCTTAATATGCTTAATTTACCAGGAAGAAAACTTTCTAATCCTATGCCACTTTCTTCCCACATCCTCAGCTTCTCCCCTCTTTTCTGTATTCAAACTTTTTAAAAGCATTGCTTGCAATGTTATCTTATCACTTTCAACTTAATTCTCGACCAACTATAATCTAATTTCCTTTTCATTTACTATCTTGTAGCTGAAGAGCGCTAATAACCTCCATACTTTAAGATCTGAAAATAATTTTCCTATTTTTCTCAAGGAATCCCCATTAAATTTTTTTACTGTTATGCTCCAGAATCATTCTTCAGGCCCAGCACAGCAACTTTTTCTCTTCTTTTCTTTCTTAAATCAAACTTCAGAGTATCTGCTTTCTTCCCTCACATCCTGGCAGCTGCCACTATTCATTTTCTGTTTTTTGATTCTCTGCCAGAGTTCAGAGTGGACCCAGCTTCCCTGGCATCTGTTCTTGTTTATCCCTAAAGACAGTCAATTCTGCTTTCTTTAATGCTGTTTTTGTTTTGAGTATTCACTGCGTGATTCTCACTTTAAGGGTTTTACTGACAATGCTTGCATGAATATCTGCAACACTAAGCATACTGTCCCCCCATTTGCCATCCTCAGCACAAATATCAATTCCTCAGGAAATTTCTGAGCCCTCCCCTGCCCTTGTAAATGATTAGGCCTCCATTATAAGTGTGTGCAGTACTCTGTTCTTTTGCATTAGAACCTTTATCGTAGTTTGTAATTGCATATTTCTGTCTCAACTCTTTCACTGATCATGACAATGACCATTTTTGTTTAACACATCACTTCTTTCTGGCATTTTGTACAGGTTCTTACATGTATTAGGTGCTCAGTAAATATGGTATGAGTTAAAGAGGTATTACCCAATCAAAATTTAAAACCCATGCCTTCATTTCACTATTCAAGGTCATTATTGATAACTATACACCATACCTTTTAACTTACGAGGTAATATATCTAACCTATTCCTGGAATATTTCTACCTGAATATAACATCTCAACCTCAGTCTCAACCTGAATATAACAATATCTGTTTTAGAAAGGATAAAATAAAATAGATTTTATATCTTTCCACTGCCCATACCTAGTTATTCATCACTAATTGATACTTCAGTTAATGCCACAACCTAATCTTATAAGCCAACAACTTGGAAGTATCGCTCAACATCTAGTCAGTCATTAAATCTTGTCCATTATTCTCCTTACATATCTTAGACCATATTTTCACCATCTCTCATACTTTTTATAGTTTTTTTTACTCCTTTCTATTTTTAATCATGTCTTCTTCTTATCTATCTCTACATTACTGTCAGAGTTATTCTAAATCATAAATCAGATCATTTAACTAACTCTTCAGTTCTTTAATCAATTATTAAAGGCAGTTATTCAAGGAGCTAAGCTAATATGGTCCAAGTATATAGTTTTCTCTTATGTTTGTTTCTATAATGAATAATAAGGAAGATTTTTTATTATGTTTTTGCTTCCATGTGACTGGGAGTATTTCTATTTTAGAAATGAGAATTGGTCAATAAAGTTACTTGGTCAGAATCACACATCTAATAGGTAGTGAAATCCAGGATTGAGGATAGATCTAAGTTTCATAATCATATTCTTTCTCTAACCATTACTAGCCACAATCATTTTCCCAAACATCCATGCCTCTTCACAGCTCCATAACATTAGACCTGCTGACCCCTCTTGCAATAATACCTCTTCTTCTGCTGCTAACTGACAAACTCCTATTATTTGTTAAGATCTATCTGATTTTACATAATATGAAAACTTTTCAGATTAATTTATTTAACTCCTCTCATTCCCCAAATTGTGTTTTGACACCATTTGGTACAAATTATTTTTACAACATCTCATTACATTATAGTTATATTGTAAGTAAGTCTGTTTCTTACACAAGTTTACAAGATCTGAGTGGGCAATATTTTGCCTTATTCATCATCGTATCTACTGTTACTTAGCACAGTATTTAGTACATATCTTATTGAGTTGATAAAAAAATGTATTTACTTTAATTCCTTGAGATTGCTTTCAATTCTAAATCTGAGTCAGTGAGTCCAAACTGGCTAAGGAAATTATAGAAAACACTAGATAATAATTTACTCAAAACGTAGACGTAGGAACAAAATATGCAAACAGTTATGGAATGTGCTATTGTTTTATGAGTCATTTTATTTAATTCATAGAAAACATCACATTTTCAAGTGTATTTATTTATTTATTTGCATTTATAACATCCTGCCTTGTTCCAAAATATTTCAGGCAGTTCATCAAAGAATGCATGCATTTAAATTATAATTAAATAAAATAGAAATAAAATTAGAAAATCAAGATGAAAGAAAATAGACTCAAATACATTCATCTTTGGGCCAGCACATTAGCTGCAGTCCATAGCAATAGCAGTTAAGCTTCAAATTCTCAGTTTCTTGGTGACCAAAGTAACACCTTGGGGGAGGGAAGAGTTATTTTTCTTTAGATATATAAGTTTTCTCAGAGAAAAACTTTTCCTTACACTGAAATTGCCTTTTGAAAAAACAAATGTTTTATTTTTTTTTTAATTAGGGGAAGCTGGGTACTGTAGAAAGTGATGTCAAATTTTTCCCAATAAACGCAATAATGGATTTCATATTGATGTTTCTTGTAGTCCCCTTCAATAAAAGCTGAAGGCATTACATTAACATACAACTCAGTGAAAGCAATTCTTCAAGGAGCTAAGCTAATATGGTCCAAGTATATAGCTTTCTCATGGCCCAGTTTATTCCAAGAAAAGACTTTAGAGTACTTAGAGAAGTGGATGGACTGTTTAACCTTCAAACAATCTTCTGTAAGTATCACTTTTCTCAGTCAGGATGATTAGTAGACAGTTAACAATAGCATTATCTGACCAATGAGCACGTTGTTATTTTACAAGTAATGAGCTTTCTAGTAGCCACAATAACTGTAAAAAGGCAACATGGTATGGTAGAAAAAGCATAGATTTGCCCTTTGGAGACCTGATTTTTTTCTCCAAAGCCTATTATATTTAGTGTTTGAATGAGAGCCCCATTTCTTTACTGTAAGGAACAGTCCCTAAGATTCTTTCTGACTCCAAACCATGTAATTGTTATTTTCATTCAAATGCCAGGTCACTTTACTCATAGGTGTTTATATGTTAGCTAGAACATCAGCTGAAGTTACTAGCAAATTATTTTCTCTATCACTCATAGGAAGTCAAGATTGTTTTGACACCATGGTGTAAGACATTTTAATTTCTGTAATCCGGGTTTTTCCAGACTTGATATTTTAAATATACATCCAAAGACTTCAATAAAGTAATACACTCAAAACATACTTAAACCTACTAAATGTCATTTTAAAATGGAAAATCAATTTGTGTGGGTTATATTTCTTTTTCATTCCACTTAATTGACAACTGAACATTCAACAAACTGTGTAACAGCATAGTTTACTCTACCCCCACCCAGATAATATATAAAAAATATATTTTATTTTGTTTATAAATCAAATCTTCACCTTCTGATATGGGTCTAAATCACAAGTAAAACAGCTTCCACAAGCTTTGATTTTTTTAAATTTAGCCTGTTTAATTATTTCCCAGTCTTACACATCTGTAGATGGTGAAATTGAAGACATTCAGGAGACTTACATAATAGAATTGTAGAATAAGCTATTGAATTCTGTATCAATTGATCTGATAAAGTATTTATTATAGTCTATATGACATATTATCTTGTTACACTTTATATGTTATATATACATTTTTATCATAGTAAGCGTTTTAGTTACATGCCACTCATTTATCATTAAGCAAACGTTTCTGAGCCTGCTCTGAGCCAGGAACTATGCTAGGAACTCTGCAATACACAGTCTGTGCCTTCAAAGAGCTTACAATGAAGTGAAAGGAAAACAAAAGTGAAAAAGATACATACATGTTTCATTATAGAGGCAAGCTCCAGGGTCCTCCAGAAAAGCATGAAATGGCAACTAAGTACAGGCAGTAGAAAGTGTTGTCTTGGTCGATGTGACTCAGAGCTGAATCAGTGTTAGCCTGGTTATGGTAAGGAGGTAACCAGGGGACAATGTGGAGTTAATTATCAGTTCTGACTGAATTGTGTTACCAGTCACAGATTAGGGGGTACAAGTGAGTGTACAGATTTCAGCAGGAAGTGAGAGTGGATGGAAGCTGAGTGCACTTCTGGACATTTTTTTGCTTTAATTACCTGTGGGATGTGTAGGTAGAGAAGTCTAGTGAAATTTAGTGGTTAAGAATTCCGGAGAGATATTTTATCAGTCATTCACGCATAGCTTTCAAAAGCCATGAGAATTACTTACAATTAATAGAAAATAGTGTCAGTTTGCCTGCATGATCCCCAGTCTCCTTCCCACTGATCCCATTCTCAACTTGTAACATTACCTTTTTTAAAAATCGGCTTCTGGAACACGGTGTATATTTTTGGCTATACCTGGCCTTATTCTCATAAATGATATGAAGTGGCCTATCTAGGTGCCTTAAAGTAGAAATACAGCATGAGATGAGGCAATAGGAAATTAGCCATCAGAACTATCCGAACTTTTCTAGTTTTCAAAAGAAACAAAAATTGTATAGGAACATAAGCGTTAAAAAATTCATTTATGGAAATGAGTACTGTTTTTAATCATTAACACAAAAGGTTTCATTGGACTATTTTTCTTCAGGTTCTGAGTGTAAGCTAAAAGTTACATTAAATAAAGTAAAATCAGTCATGTGGCCCAAGGATTCAACCTGCTGATGGTGTGGCTGGATCCAAAGCCTGCATGATATTCGAAGAGGTCTCTATAGTATGATTTCTCCCAACACAGTTATTTTTAATAGCAGTCAATAGTGAATAGGGCCATGTAATACCTCCTGGATATCATTTAGCTAGGGTATGGATATTCTTTGGGACTATCACTATCAAATCTGTGTCTTATAAAGAATATTAATAATATATATTATGTAGACTTAACCTATAGACTCTGCTTTAGAAGATCTTAGAATTGTAAGTCAGCTATGAATTCAACAGTATTTTTCTCTCCCTAAACATGGTTTTAATTTTAAACAAAGAGAAACAGTCTGCTTTACTATAGATTTGCAGTTATTACTTTTAAATGGACTGAGGGGACTTATTTTCCCCTTTAAAATAAGACTTTGTAAAATTCTGAGCCAGAAAAGCTTTGCTGTGCTGAGACTAGGAATTGAGAAGATGCAGCACCATAGGATTGCCCTGCCCTTCATTCAGTGAATTGGTAGGAAATTACAGGTGCCAGCAACTGGGTTCTTAACTAAAAATGGTACTTATAGCTGTTGTACTTTGCTTACTTGGTCCTGAAAATGGTAGTTTCCAAGTTACAAGAGAGCACTTTGAAGCCAAAACCATTACCTTTTGAAGTTCTGAGCCCTACTCTGAAGTTTTTGCTGATTCATAGAGTGAAGCCATACTTTAAACAATGAAGAAAATAAGGTGAATTTTGTTATTTATAGCTGTCAATAAAAATTGCAAACATAACTTGGAACGAGTTTTAACACTGCTTATTAAAGAGTCCACAGTGTTAGCATAAAACAAAAAGTGCCAACATACAAATATGCAGGGTTGATACTTGGCTGGTATGTGCTGCTGCTTGTATTTTACAGCCAACGTCAGTTCTGATTGGTCAGAGTATCTGTTCAGATTGGTTAGTCCCTCTGCTCTAGAGTTTTTCAGAGACTTTGTACCTGTATTTCCTGAGCATATATGTGCAACTGAAGGGTATTCAAGTGAGGGGCAAGAAAATATTGGTTAAAATTAGTATAGGGTTTCTAGCTGGAGACTCCTGTTGCAAAAAAAAAGATATTTACATTTTATGTTTCTTTGTCTACATGCCTAAATCCTACACCTTAGTTCCTCATCCAACATAAATGTCCTACTTCCATCAAACTTTCCTTGAGTTCTTCAACAAAATATTTGTCTTCTTCTACCTAACACATAATAAATTATATTGCCTTTACATCTTGTACACCAGTAATCACTGTCTGGCTTGTAATAGTTATGATTTGCACTCCACTAGGAGAATATATGTTTCTCAATGTGGTTAGAATAAGATATTCGTCCATTTGTTTATTACAACAGTTTGATATACCTTTAGTATCATTATCTTCCTTTTGTCAAGTTACAAGCTGAAGAAAAACATTAAGGAAATTTCTCAAGGCCCAGATTCTTTATATGTGCAATCTGATATCATTTTAAATGATGTTTCAATTTGGTTTAAATAATAATATAAACGCTATATGTTATATACATTATAAGTTGAAAAGCCCTTTTTGAAGATTGACCTAGAGATATAAACCTCAACAAGAATATTTTAGGAAAAAGCATACTCCATGTCTCAAACAGCTTCCTCAGACCAAAAATCATATGGCATGGTGTTTAAAAGCAGAGGTTTAGAAGTCAGATACATCTAAGTTTGAGCGCTTTTTCAGCCATTTAATAGGCGCAGACCTGGTCAAGTCAGAAAACTTTTTTAGCCTTCATTTTTGAACCTATATCATGGGGTTAATAAAGGAACTTCCTATCCCGTAGTGAGGTTTGTCAGAGATGTCACCTTGGCTAACAATCAACCCGACACATTCTAGTGCTCAAAAAGTGTTCGCTATAATTTCCTTATCAGTTTTTCACTTAGACATTATCCTCTATTTGTAACATGGGAACTATATGCATCATTACTGAAGAAGAGATATTTTGTAGCTTTTACAAAGTTACAAATGGTGATCTCTCATCCTTCCTTCTTTCATAATTAAGCCAGATCTGGAAGAATGTCAGCAGGGGAAAAAGGAGAGGAAGAAACTCAGGCCAGTGAAAGATGGGTAATCCATGACTGTTTTTAGAATCTCCTGGGCTTTCAGAGCTCCTTTTTAAACTTATTTGAACACTTTGAGAGCTCTTAATTAAAATAAATAAGAGTCAAAATATGATTGTAGACCAATTTGTCCTCTATATCTGTTGCTTTACACCCTGCTCACTATTTTGGATAATTCACTGCTGTCTCAATTTACTTTGTATTCAAGTAACCAAAAATATATTTATATTAGTAAAGAAACAGATAAGTACTATTTATATTTTCATTTTATTAAATGAATTATATATTATTTCACTGATGTATTATGTGGCTAACTTGTGGAAGGCTTCATGCTAAGTGCTAAGATTACAAAGGTGAACAAGACAGAAGCAGCACCAGCCTTCATTGAATGAGAAAGCAAGATGTCAGTCGAATAATCACATGACTAAGAAATAACACATTTTGAAAAATATCGTAATGGAAACAAATTAGAGTGTTATGAATGAGCATATATGGGAGCAAAGAGATGTTTAGTTAGAGTGACCTTAAGAAAGTCCTTTCTTAGGAAATGGCATTTAAACCAAGACCAAAATAAGAGAAAGAATTGGTGTTCATGTGAAAAATGGGGTGGGGAGATGGTATATCAGGTTTTCAAAACTGAGGTGTTCTGGGCTGGGGAAATATCATGGCTAAAAGCGTGGCACCAAAGCAAGAAAGTATTTTGAAAACTGAGGTTATTTCAGGGGAGCCAGTAAGTAATGAGCAAAAGAAAGAAGCCATTGTAAAAAAAAATGTTGTTTTCATTCTAAGTTCCATGAAATATTATTTAAGGGATGTAAGCATAGAAGTTAAATGATCCAATTTATGTCTTAAAAAAGATCCCTGTGGCCATAATGTGTCTAATGGTTAGACAAAGTCAAGCCAAGCTAGACGGACACAAAGTCCAGGCAGGAGATAATAGTGACTCAGACAAGAGTTTGTGATAATGGAACTAGAGATTATAAAGTGAAACGGGATGAGCTAAGCAAAAATCCAAGACTTTGTATTTTATTCTCCTTCTGTGTTTCTAGTATTTGTTGCACTGCCATCTTCATAAGGTTACAATTTCCCATCATCTGAGTAAAGCATTGCTATATGACTTTGACGTGAGGTGGGAGGGAATCCTGTTACTAAGCTAGAAATGTGGGATCATTCATTGTAGATTATCATTCCTCTTGTTAAAATATTTCTACATTTCAGTTATTCATTCAGTCATTCATTTGACAAATACTTGACTGACTCATGAGAAAAGAAAAGTTATATTGTTTTTTAAAGTTGCATTTTTCTATTGGTTATTTTCCATGTCAACCCACAACCAATAAGATTCCTCAAGAAAGTGGTACCACTAATTTTACTGGGGGTTTTCTCACCGTAATGGATTTGGAATTTAATAAACACCTTTATTTATTTTCCTAATTTCTGTTTTTTGCTAATGCATGATGATTTGTATTAGGATACCTTCCTTCAGAATTTGAAGTGGACTTTAGAAAATGTTAAGTAGCAGACTCAACCCACACTCTGTTAATTTTTGTATTTTTCAATAGAAAAAAGAAAAGGCTTCCGTTATGATACAGAACAACGCTTATGCAGTGGCTGTTGCCAATTATGCCCCGAATCTTTCAAAAGATCCAGTTCTCTCCACCATCTCCAAGAGTGCAACCACGCCAGAACCCAACAAGAAGCCAGAAAACAAGCCAGCTGAAGCAAAGAAAACTTTCAACAGTGTTAGCAAAATTGACAGAATGTCCAGAATAGTTTTTCCAGTTTTGTTTGGTACCTTTAATTTAGTTTACTGGGCTACATATTTAAACAGAGAACCTGTATTAGGGGTCAGTCCTTGAATTGAGACCCATGTTATCTTTGGGATGTATAGCAACATTAAATTTGGTTTGTTTTGCTATGTACAGTCTGACTAATAACTGCTAATTTGTGATCCAACATGTACAGTATGTATATAGTGACATAGCTTACCAGTAGACCTTTAATGGAGACATGCATTTGCTAACTCATGGAACTGCAGACAGAAAGCACTCCATGCGAAAACAGCCATTGCCTTTTTTAAAGATTTACCCTAGGACCTGATTTAAAGTGAATTTCAAGTGACCTGATTAATTTCCTATTCTTCCAAATGAGATGAAAATGGGGATCCTGTACAACCCTTTGTGGACCCTTTTGGTTTAGCTCTTAAGTAGGGGTATTTTCTACTGTTGCTTAATTATGATGGAAGATAACATTGTCATTCCTAGATGAATCCTTTGAAGTAACAAACATTGTATCTGACATCAGCTCTGTTCATGAGTGCTCAGAGTCCCTGCTAATGTAATTGGAAGCTTGGTACACATAAGAAAAACTAGAGATTTGAAATCAGCTATGAATTACTCTATATAGTATCTATAGCCATGTACATATTACAGCATGACAAGCTCAAATAATTATGAGTCAGCCCGAAAGGATGTTAATTATGCCTACGATGTAATAACTATTGGAATGTCATGGTCATTACATTTTTAGCTTCAGAGTTTATTTGAAAGTAATAATTGAAATCCTACAATTTATTTTAATCATTGGAAACTACCTTAATTAAAAAAAAAGAAAAGAAATGTGTCTTAACATTTCCAGGTATGTGTTGTATTGAAATTGATCAGCTAAATTTTACGGGTGCTGGAGACTGGAAAAAGCATCCAGTTTGGTTGCTGTGGAGCAACATGCATATTGGATTAGAAAATTGTGCCAAAAACTCCCACTGATGAGAATTCATAGGTGCCCCACACTATGACAAACACTTATATGATTCTCCTCTTTCCTGTTTACTGCAAATTCTGCCTTAAGGCTTCTTTTCAAGACTCAGAAGCCACTAATTATAAAGGAAAGGGCAGTTAATTGGCACATTTTTCTCTTGTGAAAGCAGTTCTTTCAGATAAGAATTAATGTAAATCTGCTTTTGTAAATTGCAACTTTAAATTTCGCTGACTCAAATTTACAACAGCTTTGTATACCAGAAGAGGTTTTGGTAAGGGTTGAACATTTTTACACTGCAACTTTAAAACATCACCAATAGATTGTGGATTATTTCACGTGCACAAACATACACACACACACACACACACACACACATACACAGCTAAATTAGAAAACACAATTTTAAATTTTATATAATTACTAGTTATTAATGGGTAAAATTCATTTTTCTTTTAATATCTTAAAATATTATTTATGCCCCGAAATATGCTAATAAAAGTTAAAGATTGTGTATTATGCCTAGATTCAAAGTTTTTGGCAAACTTCAAATACTTTTGATTGACATGTACATTAGCAGTTATTAGTTGACTTTTACTAAAACATGCACCTTTACGATGGTGTTTTTGTAGAAACATAAGTAGTCAAATAGTAACATTTATTGCAGTTTTGTACAGTATTTGAGTATAGTGCATAAATAGGTATGTTCATAAAATCAATAAAAGGAGTATCTATGGAAATAAGCAAAATATCAGCAAAAATTGCTATTCCTTTGCCTCATTTAATTTTTAAAATTTCTTTGTTTCCATGTGATTCTATTATATGCTTTGCATGCTTGTATAAAACCAAGGTCACAAATGCAACTTATTAACGGAATTTGCCAAGAAGACAGCCTTGACATTAAAAATTCCCTCACAAGAGGTAATCCATAATCCTTAATAAAATAAAATTGTTACATGAGCCAATAAATGTATTTCTTTAATTCCCTTCCAGTAACACTTTCTTTGTCACCTAGTTTTAAAATGTGCACTTTATTCATACATTGAAATAGAAGATATCCTATTTTCTTATACATTTAAATATAGCATAGCTCTTCTGTATAGTTTAGGGATGTGTGCAATTGTATAAGGAAGTACACAATGCCAGAAGGCAAGCAATGAAATTGCTCTATATGGTATGCATTATTAGATACTTTAAGAATATTTGTCTTGTAAAGTCCGCATTGCCCCCTTAATGTCTGACTATAAGTTATAAATTTATAAATATGTGTATATGTAAAAACAGTTGTAAATAACAGTTTCTGTATGACAACAGAAAAGGCTTATCTATACTTTGGGCAAAGAGCTGCTACTATATTGATGGCACCAGTATTATTAGCATTTATGGCAGATTGACCAGAAAACTTATCACTGTTATTCTTATTTTAAATTTCATGTGGTAAAATTTTATTTGAGTGCAATGACATTCTGGCAGTTCAGATTTTTCAGTGCTAGGGATCAGAATTCTTTGTTATTTCTTTAAACTTTGATGTACTTTTTACATATTTCTTCTTCTTTTAATGTTTAAATAAATCAAAAGGAGCTTCTTCTCTTGTGGGGAGACTAGGGATGCTCCGTGGAAATTGCTTTTAAATTATAGAACAAGATTCGTAACAATTATAATCCTTTCCATGAACCAATTTAAAAACAAATTTAAAAGGATTTTAATTTATCACAATAAGGCCAATTTTTCAGAAAATACATTTTATATATACTAACACTGATCTCTTTGGCCCATAAGATTATACCTATTTTATGCAGTTGTACAATGACATAAAGAGTTATGGTATGTACAAAATGTAGATAAATACATGTACATATATAGAGATATAATCTCATTATTTTATAGCTACTACTCTGATTTAACTAATATTTATTCAAAAATATTTTTTACCTCCTGTGCCATGCCCTGTAATTGGTGTTAAAATCACTCATGTCACACCCACTGAATTTAGTTGAAATTTTAAGTGCATCTCATTCTTATAATGACTTGAAATTAAAGACTATATAAAACATGTAAATTAATTTAGTACTGGGAGTTCTTTAATGAGCTATGATGCCACTAGTGTGCTAGGATAGGTGGCTGTTTTTCTCTTTTCTCCTGTTCATGTTCCCATGTGTTTGATTATAAAATGGAAGAAATATAACCATTTAATATATATTTTTTAAATTTTAATGATTTTATTAAGTGCCAATCTTAATGTTTAGAAATCTTTTCAGGTATCTCTCTATTTTGAATTTATCTCAGGTTTGGATAAGTGATCCCCTTGAGCCATGTTTCTAAATTTTTTTTCTTAAATAGTTCATAGTTTATTTTTAAAAACAACCCAGAATCTATTATTTTACTCTCATTATTTGGTAAGTATAATTTGCATTTATGTGGCTCTTTTTGAATTCCTGGTTGAGGGACACAAACCCTGCCATGATATAATCATGGATTCCAGAAGAGCACCAAAGTACTTTTCTTTGGCATGGCCGGTCATCATTCCAATGAAAGAAGAAAGGAAGTAGCTCAAGTCACCTTCTGCATTATCATGGTTCTTTGGCATCCATTAATAATTTGTTTAATGTATTCTATGCCTGATGCCCTCAGACACATGTCTGTGAAACACAGACATATTTATTATTTACTTGGAAATATGAGGTTATGTTAATAGATTTACTAAACAGATTATTATTGTTATTAGTCTCCTGGCACACTGACATTCATCTGCATGTTTTTGAAGCAATGACCAAATTTTTTATCATATGAAAACATTCAGAATTTTAAGGGGATTACTACCTGACTCATTGCTACCCTATAGTGCCATTCATTTTCCTTTTAATTGAGGTCCCATAGGCACCTCGTGCTTCCCTTTTATTAATTTAAAGTATGCAGAAGTGTAAAATTTTAACTGGGGAGGGGTGCAGTTATTTTTGACATCTGCATGCTTGAGAAACATGGACACTATACCAAAACCACTTGTAACAGTGTGGAGAAGACAAGTCATATTTTTATCTACTGAATTCATGCTCTAAAAATTAAAGTAAATATTTAACATAATTATTTAATATCCATAATATTTTGCTGTTAAAATTTATATTAAAGATATTAATATTTTCCATCAGTATTTAAGAGCTCAGAATTACTGAAAAGAAGAAACCACAGGAAACAGGAGACTGTTGTTAATTAAACCAAGTGAAGCATTTTTCCCTTTTTAACTTCCGAGAAAGTAGATAAATTATACATATGTAGACACACAAATATTTTAAGAGTCGTTATTCTATCATAGTAAGCATCATAACTAAAATACTAAAGTAGAGAAAGTTCATGTGAAAGTCATTTGGGAAGGTAAATTATTCAATATCTACTTATAAATATTATATATCATAATTTTGTTTTTTTGCTAAAATTCTTAATTATCAACATATCTAGACCACTGTGTCTTCCATCTTGTTAAGTTGAAATATTCTATTTTTGTTTGTTTATATATGAAGAAATACTTATAAAGGTGGTTATACGTCCCACCTCAAACTACTCAATGATGTATTTAATACATAACATTACCTAATATTGCCAATAGTAAAGAACAATTTACAGGTTTATGTTTCAGCTTACAGTAATGTTCCCAAAGATCTTTTAATAGGGTCTTAGCTGTGTGTGTCAGTGATGTGTGTATGTTTGCGAGTGTGTATGTGTGTAATTCCTAGGTATGTATGGAATAATGTTTTGAGAAATTCAGATAAATTTATGATATCTAAACAATTTGTTTTATTAATGGATCTTATCACAAATTCAGCTCTTATTAAACTAGCAATTAACTTGCACACTAGAACACATTTTTCAGTAAATCCATAACAAACTTATTAATTAGAATTAGGTTTGAGTTATGCATATGGTTAAAAATATCTTTTCTATGTTGGTGTAAACTTTTTCGAATGTATTTCTAGTTTTTTTTTAAAAAAAGATTAAATTCAAAATGATCTTGCAATTCTGCTTCATGAGATAGAATAGAAACATCTTTGAATGCCAGGTTTCTCAACGGAGGCTTGTGTAAGCTCTTCTAAAAGTTAAATATCTGGTTATTTACAAATACAAAGTTATGTATATTCATTACTGATTTGTTTCATACCTTACTTTTTGAATTGGAATGATTCAGAGTATAATTCTTACAGAGAGCCCATCACATACTAGTCAACGTTCTAAGTTTTTTATGCATATTAGTTCATTCAGTCCTCACAGCAGCCATCATCACTGTGTGATTCTTGAAGCTCTGGAAATCTAGGATTTCTATATAGTACACCAACATACCAGTTTACATATATTATAGGAAAGGTAAACGAAACAAACAAACAAAAAAACAAAAAACAACAAAAAAACCAAAAACCTGTGTTTTTTCTTTGCTTTAATTCAAATTTATATTCATGCCTTTTGGGGAATATTCATTCAATAAGGGAGCCATTACATGGTTTTCTACATAACAAAACAAACAAGTAAAAAGCAAACACTCAACAATAAAACTGTACTGTACAGTAAGCAATACCCGTTTTTGTGATGCTAGCTATTTACTAACTTCTTTGGTACAATTTAGTTTCTGGGAATATATTGCAGTTTTCTTTTTTGGTTCACAAGTAATGATCACGTATTAAAAATGATTAATGTTGATTAAGCAAAAGTAAGCACTTCCTTCATTTCCTTTTTTTTCTAATTTTGCCAGTTTTATTAGTGGTTGGAGAGATGTGTTTTCATTTGTCATATTGTTCGTTTCATAACATTTAATCCCATTGGGCTTCAAGGATTATGTATTGATTTCATCAAATATTTTGTTGTAAGTTACCGTTTATAGAATGACGCCTGAATTGATCCCAAGGGATGCCACCGGTGGGATTGCAATTGCTGAATTAGCTTACTAGGTTTGAAAATGTCAGTTTTCCATGCTTCTTTTTAGAAGACTTTGCCATAACATGATGCCAAAAGGCAAACTATGTTGCATTGGCTATATAAACTGTATTATTGGCTATACATGAATATTTCCAACAAAGTTTATTTGTAAAAACAACTGATGCTAAGAAAGCAAGAGTTAGTTGCAGAATTACTTTAGAAATAGTACTGATAGATTTGTTCAGAATTTATTTTTAACATATTCGACATAGTCGTTGAAGCAATTGATTGTGCTTTAAACTGATCATAATGTGTAAAAAGGTGTAACGTATAATTAGAAAGACATAAGTAAAACTCAATTATTGAGCCACAATTCTCATGAATTAAACTTTACCATCCACAGTTAAGTCCTTATTGCTTGTTAATCTTGGGTGCCTGCACTACACTTGATTTTAAAATTGTTGGTCTTCTATAAATTTTCAAGATTTTCCTGAGCAGATACAAATTCAGGTTTTGATGTGCTTCAAACTAAGGAACATCACCTTTCATGAAATGTTTCCAGTAGATGTGATGTGAGTGAAAACTTTAAAAAATGTCATACTTATTGCTACATTTGAATAGAAAATAAAAGGAATAAAGTATTTTTCCTTTGCTACAAATTAATAATACGATCACATGCAGAGAGAATGTGAGGAACCTTCAACACTAAACTTTGATAGTCACATTATGTGAAATTTGAAATTTTCTGGGTGACAGTATACTTATTGGTAGGTTTTCTGGTTCATGAAAATAACTCAAGAACTAATATTTGTAATTGTGACCTTGTTGTAATTGGGAAAGGCCACTAGTTGATCATATGACCTTTATTGAATATGTCATGCTTGCTGTTTAAAAAATTCCTAACTAATCACATGCAAATTAATGCTAAACAACTTTTTTGTATTTATTAAAAATGATTTAAATATATTTGCTCTGAAAATTGTGTTTTTTATACTCTGTTACACATTCGCTTACAATAATTGAATTTATTGTGTATGTGGCTTTTATATATTGGGATATAAAATGATATTTTGTAATAGCGGTTTTAAAAGTTGTTAGTTTCTTAAACTTCTCTTTAAGATAAAAAGCTGTAGGGTGACAGGAAAAGCATAAACATACCCTGAAATTTGAGGAGGAATCATATATTGCTAATGTTCATCTCTTCAACACTTTAAGAAAGTGGAAAACATAAGCTCACCCAGAAAATTGGCTACCTGCTATAATATAAAAGTGTCACGTTTACATGAAACTATTAAATAAATAGTATTTTCTTTTCTTTAAAGTAGCTTTAAGTTCACTATTCTCTCTGTAAACTCCCATATCTTGTAGTTTTCTTGTTTGACCTATTTTCTAAATTTAATGCAATATTATTTAAAAGAGTTCCTCTTTTGATTATTGCTATTATTGTTAATAGTACTGAAATAAAATGTTTTTAAATGCCAAAAAGGTATTAAAAACAAGACAATTTTTGTCATCATCGTTTTTCATATAATCGTGCTCAATCCTAGCCAAAATTTTAAATTAACTGAGAAGTTTTTTAAAAAATGGGCAAATCAGAATCTTGAGGGACAAGGGGCTATGAAAAAAATTTAAAACCTCTCCAAGTAATTTTCCTGTACAGCTGTGTTTATATGCTTTCATGGGCTCTCTGTAATCTCTTTCTTTTTTGAAGACCTCTGCTTGCTAGCCTATAGCTTTCGGTTTAGGCATAAAATTAAATGAATATTCCATCAATTTTTCACATCATATAGTAAGTATAATTGACAATGTTAAATCTTGTGTAACAAAGTAC